>NC_000007.14:92809809-93112839 GCF_000001405.40 Homo sapiens | reverse complement strand
CATGAGCATGAAATGTTCTCTCATTTGTTTGTGTCCTCTTTTATCTCATTGAGCAGTAGTTTGTAGTTCTCCTTGAAGAGGTCTTTCACATCCCTTGTAAGTTGGATTCCTAGGTATTTTATTCTCTTTGAAGCAATTGTGAATGGGAGTTCACTCATCATTTGGCTCTCTGTTTGTCTGTTATTGTTGTATAGGAATGCTTGTGATTTTTGCACATTGATTTTGAATCCTGAGACTTTGCTGAAGCTACTTATCAGCTTAAGATTTTGGGCTGAGACGATGGGGTTTTCTAAACATACAATCATGTCATCTGCAAACAGGGACAATTTGACTTCCTCTTTTCCTAACTGAATACTCTTTATTTCTTTATCCTGCCTAATTGCCCTGGCCAGAACTTCCAACACTATGTTGAATAGGAGTGGTGAGAAAGGGCATCCCTGTCTTGTGCCAGTTTTCAAAGGGAATGCTTCCAGTTTTTGCCCATTCAGTATGATATTGGCTGTGGGTTCGTCATAAATAGCTCTTATTATTTTGAGATATGTCCCATCAATACCTAGTTTATTGAGAGTTTTTAGCATGAAAGGCTGTGGAATTTTGTCAAAGGCATTTTCTGCATCTATTGAGATAATGATGTGGTTTTTGTCTTTGGTTCTGTTTATATGATGGATTACGTTTATTGATTTGTGTATGTTGAACCAGCCTTGCATCCCAGTGATGAAGCCCACTTGATCATGGAGGATAAGCTTTTTGATGTGCTGCTGGATTCGGTTTGCCAATATTTTATTGGGATTTTTGCATCGATGTTCATCAGGGATATTGGTCTAAAATTCTTTTTTGTTGTGTCTCTGCCAGGCTTTGGTATCAGGATGATGTTGGCCTCATAAAATGAGTTAGGGAGGGTTCCCTCTTTTTTCTATTGATTGGAATAGTTTCAGAAGGAATGGTACCAGCTCCTCTTTGTACCTCTGGTAGAATTTGGCTGTGAATCCATCTGGTCCTGGACTTTTTTTGGTTGGTAGGCTATTAATTGTTGCCTCAATTTCAGAACCTGTTATTGGTCTATTCAGGGATTCAACTTCTTCCTGATTTAGTCTTGGGAGGGTGTATGTGTCGAGGAATTTATCCATTTCTTCTAGATTTTCAAGTTTATTTGCATAGAGGTGTTTATAGTATTCTCTGATGGTAGTTTGTATTTCTGTGGCATTGGTGGTAATATCCCCTTTATCATTTTTTATTGCATCTATTTGATTCTTCTCTCTTTTCTTCTTTATCAGTCTTGCTAGCAGTCTATCCATTTTGTTGATCTTTTCAAAAAACCAGCTCCTGGATTCATTGATTTTTTTGAAGGGTTTTTTGTGTCTCTATCTCCTTCAGTTCTGCTCTGATCTTAGTTATTTCTTGCCTTCTGCTAGCTTTTGAATGTGTTTGCTCTTGCTTCTCTAGTTCTTTTAATTGTGATGTTAGGGTGTCAATTTTAGATCTTTCCTGCTATCTCCTGTGGGCATTTAGTGGTATAAATTTCCCTCGACACACTGCTTTAAATGTGTCCCAGAGATTCTGGTATGTTGTGTCTTTGTTCTTGTTGGTTTCAAAGAACATCTTTATTTCTGCCTTCATTTCGTTATGTACCCAGTAGTCATTCAGGAGCAGGTTGTTCAGTTTCCATGTAGTTGAGCGGTTTTGAGTGAGTTTCTTAATCCTGAGTTCTAGTTTGATTGCACTGTGGTCTGAGAGACAGTTTGTTATAATTTCTGTTCTTTTACATTTGCTGAGGAGTGCTTTACTTCCAACTATGTGGTCAATTTTGAAATAAGTGCGATGTGGTGCTGAGAAGAATGTATATTCTGTTGATTTGGGATGGAGAGTTCTGTAGATGTCTATTAGGTCCACTTGGTGCAGAGCTGAGTTCAATTCCTGGATATCGTTGTTAACTTTCTGTCTCGTGGATCTGTCTAATGTTGACAGTGGGGTGTTAAAGTCTCCCATTATTATTGTGTGGGAGTCTAAGTCTCTTTGTAGGTCTCTAAGGACTTGCTTTATGAATCTGGGTGCTCCTGTATTGGGTGCATATATATTTAGGAGAGTTAGCTCTTCTTGTTGAATTGATCCCTTTAGCATTATGTAATGGCCTTCTTTGTCTCTTTTGATCCTTGTTGGTTTAAAGTCTGTTTTATCAGAGACTACAATTGCAACCCTTGCCTTTTTTCGTTTTCCATTTGCTTGGTAGATCTTCCTCCATCCCTTTATTTTGAGCCTGTGTGTGTCTCTGCACATGAGATGGGTCTCCTGAATACAGCACACTGATGGATCTTGACTCTAACCAATTTGCCAGTCTGTGTCTTTTAATTGGAGCATTTAGCCCATTTACATTTAAGGTTAATATTGTTATGTGTGAATTTGATCCTGTCATTATGATGTTAGCTGGTTCTTTTGCTCGTTATTTGATGCAGTTTCTTCCTAGCATCGATGGTGTTTACAATTTGGCATGTTTTTGCAGTGGCTGGTACCGGATTTTCCTTTCCATGTTTAGTGCTTCCTTCAGGAGCTCTTGTAAGGCAGGCCTGGTGGTAACAAAATTTCTCGGCATTTGCTTGTCTGTAAAGGATTTTATTTCTCCTTCACTTATGAAGCTTAGTTTGGCTGGATATGAAATTCTGGGTTGAAAATTCTTTTCTTTAAGAATGTTTAATATTGGCCCCCACTCTCTTCTGGTTTGTAGAGTTTCTGCCAAGAGATCTGCTGTTAATCTGATGGGCTCCCCTTTGTGGGTAACCGGACCTTTCTTTCTGGCTGCCCTTAATATTTTTTCCTTCATTTCAACTTTGGTGAATCTGACAATTATGTGTCTTGGAGTTGCTCTCCCCGAGGAGTATCTTTGTGGCATTCTCTGTATTTTCTGAATTTGAATGTTGGCCTCCCTTGCTAGGTTGGGGAAGTTCTCCTGGATAATATCCTGAAGAGTGTTTTCCAACTTGGTTCCATTCTCCCCGTCACTTTCAGGTACACAAATCAAACGTAGATTTGGTCTTTTCATATAGTCCCTTATTTCTTGGAGGCTTTGTTTGTTTCTTTTTACTTCTTTTTCTCTAAACTTCTCTTCTGGCTTCATTTCATTAATTTGATCATCAATCACTGATACCCTTTCTTCCACTTGATAGAATCAGCTACTGAAGCTTGTGCATGCGTCACGTAGTTCTTGTGCCATGGTTTTCAGCTCCATCAGGTCATTTAAGGTCTTCTCTATGCTGTTTATTCTAGTTAGCCATTCATCTAATCTTTTGTCAAGGTTTTAACATCTTTGCAATGGGTTCAAACATCCTCCTTTAGCTCAGAGAAGTTTGTTATTACCAGTCGTTTGAAGACTTCTTCTCTCATCTCATAGAAGTCATTCTCTGTCCAGCTTTGTTCCGTTGCTGGCGAGGAGTTGCATTCCTTTGGAGGAGAAGAGGTGCTCTGATTTTCAGAATTTTCAGCTTTTCTGCTCTGGTTTCTTCCCATCTTTGTGGTTTTATCTACCTTTGGTCTTTGATGATGGTGACGTACAGATGGGGTTTTGGTGTGGATGTCCCTTCTGTTTGTTACTTTTCCTTCTAACAGTCAGGACCCTCAGCTGCAGGTCTGTTGGAGTTTGCTGGAGGTCCACTCCAGACCCTGTTTGACTGGGTATCAGCGGCAGAGGTTGCAGAACAGCAAATATTGCAGAACATCACATTTTGCTGTGTGATCCTTCCTCTGGAAGCTTCATCTCAGATGGGCACCTGGCTGTATGAGGTGTCGGTCGGCCCCTACTGGGATGTGTCTCCCAGTTAGGCTACTCAGGGGTCAGGGACCCACTTGAGGAGGCAGCCTGTCCATTCTCAGATCTCAAACTCCATGCTGGGAGAACCACTGCTCCTTTCAAAGCTGTCAGACAGGGATGTTTAAGTCTGCAGAAGTTTCTTCTGCCTGTTGTTCAGCTATGCCCTGCCCCACAGGTGGAGTCTACAGAGGCAGGCAGGCCTCCTTGAGCTGCTGTGGGCTCCACCCAGTTCAAGCTTCCTGGCCACTTTGTTTACCTACTCAAGCCTCAGCAATGGTGGACGCCCCTCCCCCAGGCTTGCTGCCGCCTTGCAGTTCAATCTCAGACTGCTGTGCTAGCAGTGAGTGAGGCTCCGTGGGTGTGGGACCCTCTGAGCCAGGCGCAGAATATAATCTTCTGGTGTGCTGTTTGCTAAGACCATTGGAACAGCACAGTATTAGGGTGGGAGTGTCCCAATTTTCCAAGTACCGTCAGTCATGGCTTCCCTTGGCTAGGAAAGGGAATTCTCCGACCCCTTGAGCTTCCTGTGGGATGCGATGCCCTGCCCTGCTTTGGCTCACACTACTTGGACTGCACCCACTGTCCAACAAGCCCCAGTGAGATGAACTCAGTACCTCAGTTGGAAATGCAGAAATCACCTGTCTTCTGTGTCTCTCACACTGGGATCTGTAGACTGGAGCTGTTCCTATTCAGCCATCTTGGAACCCGGCCCTGTGCTTTAGACTCGGCACCCTATGGCTTGAGGAGGTGACACTGTGTCCACATGCGTGTGAAGGGAGGACGGCTGAAGGTACATGCAGTCCCCCGGACATCACAAACTTTGCGGACACAAGTCACACCTGCGCGCACACACAGCAGAAGCCTTAGCCACACAGGCGCATGGCGAGGCACGGCAAGGCACGGCGGGCCACACCCATTCTTCCATTTTTATAAATACATCCAAGGCTATACATATTTCTCCAAGTATTGTAGACATTGTTCCTTACAACTCTTTATATGCAGCATTTTTATTACTGCTCAGTTCTAAATATGGATACCATTGCAGTTTTTTATTTTTTGAGTAAAATTTTATTTAAGATTATTGTAGATTCATATGTAGTTGTAAGAAATAATTTGATATTCTGTGTACTCTTTACCTAGCTTCCCCAATAGTAAAATCTTATAAAATTATAGTACAAAATCGCAACTAAGATATTGCCTATCTTTGCCTATTTTGAATTGATATAGCTGTAAGGTATGTTGCTTATTCACTTTCTATGTATACCGTAGTTACATATGAAAAAAATAATAGCTTAAACCTTGGACCATGGCTCTGGCATCTTCATGTCTTGAAAGAAAGGTAAATTCTAATCCTGAGTTTGTATCTGCCACTAGAAAACAATATTTCTGTGTATTATTTCATGAACTTGGGCCTATATAATAATTTATCTGCCACCATTCCCCAGGCTGTCTCCATTATTTAATTTGATGTCTCCCATGATAAATGAAAGTTTAGTTCATTAAAATGTCTCACAATTTTGGATCATACTTAAAGCTGACTATTATTATTTGAATTTCATTTTTTCTAACCATTGCTATATTTCTGTAGCCTAGATTGACATTAATTTTTCAGATAGTAGTCTGCAAATTTGCAAACTAAATAATTATGCCACAAGTTATTGCTCAGGAATCAGCTCTTATTAATTATTATGTGAAAAATTAGTTTAATACAACAGTAGCCAACAAGTTCACTACTCAGCAAGCTATTCCAGATGACATGGAACAGAACAGCTCACAGACAAAATTAAGATGCTTGAAGGGCATATTTTTAAAAATCAATTAAAATAACACAACAAGGCCAGGCATGGTGACTCACGCCTGTAATCCCAGCACTTTGGGAGGCTGAGGCAGGAGGATCACTTGAACCCAGGAGGCAGAGGTTGCAATGAGCCGAGATCGCGCCATTGCACTCCACCCTGGGCAACAAGAGCAAAACTCCATCTCAAAAAAAAAAAAAATTAAAATACCCAACAACACAACAAAGAGGTGGTCAACACATCTTGGGTAAGGAACAAGAAGGGTAGAAGGATCTCATTACCTGAGTTGTGCAAGTTAATATATCTTCTCTCTTCCTCTCTGATGTTTCAGCATTCTCCACTGATTGTACAATTTTGAGAAACAGAGTTGAGGTCTGTTTAAAGGGTCTTGGCAGATGGAAGAGGTCCTGGGTCAATGACATACACTTGCTGTAATCAGAGAAATGCAGAGGGATGAGTATGCCTGGCCACAGATACAGGTCATTAGCCTGATAAGCTACTATGGATTTTACTGATGTTTCTTCAATGGAGAACACAAATGATTAGAATGGGTGTCACCAAATAGGTAACCAAATTTAGACCTGAAAAACAGCAAATGCTTCATGTGTGTCTCATGAATATTTACTATTTGGTTCTTATATCCCTTTCTAACTATGCTTAATACTCATATGCTCTATTTACTTTATCTATGTCTATCATGATGTATCTCACAAACTTGCTTCTGTACTTAGTTTCAAATATCCTTCTTTTTTCTCTTATTTTCTATAGCAGAATTGAACGTTCTTAAATAATACAGCAAACACACATTATAGCAAACAATCATTAATAAGGATAAACTATCTCTATATATACTGACTGGAAGCATTCCCAAAATTTACTTAGTGAATGAAGCAAGAGAATTATGTATAGTATGCCACAATTTATGTGGGAAAAGTGTGTTCATGTGTTTGTATTTGGTATTCTTTCTCTGGAGGGATGCAGAAGAAACTGGCAATAGTCACATTCTCTCAAGAGATAATTCATTGGCATATCCTTTTGAGCTTTTTAAATTTTGAAAATTATGTATATATTATCTACTAAAATTGTTTCAAAATTTTACTTTTAATAATACTAAATAATTTTTCTTTTTCTACATATAGGTATCAGAATGGCAAAGCAACTTAACCTTCCAGAAAATACAGATGATTGGACAAAAGAGGATGTAAATCAGTGGTTAGAAAGTCATAAGATTGACCAAAAACACAGGGAAATTTTGACTGAACAAGACGTGAATGGAGCAGTCTTGAAGTGGTTAAAAAAAGAACATCTTGTTGATATGGGCATCACACATGGACCAGCTATTCAAATAGAAGAACTATTCAAAGAATTGCGGAAAACAGCCATTGAAGATTCGATTCAGACATCTAAGATGGGAAAGCCCAGTAAAAATGCTCCTAAAGACCAAACTGTGTCTCAAAAGGAACGTAGAGAAACTTCAAAGCAAAAACAAAAGGGTAAAGAGAACCCAGATATGGCTAATCCGTCTGCAATGAGTACAACTGCTAAAGGTTCTAAGTCACTAAAAGTTGAGCTCATAGAAGATAAAATAGATTATACAAAGGAAAGGCAACCATCCATAGACCTGACATGTGTATCATATCCATTTGATGAATTCAGTAATCCATATCGTTACAAGTTGGATTTTAGTCTACAGCCTGAAACAGGACCAGGCAATCTCATTGATCCGATACATGAATTCAAAGCCTTCACAAATACAGCAACAGCCACAGAAGAGGATGTCAAGATGAAATTTAGCAATGAGGTTTTCCGATTTGCTTCAGCTTGTATGAATTCACGTACCAATGGCACTATTCATTTTGGAGTCAAAGACAAACCCCATGGGAAAATTGTTGGCATCAAAGTCACCAATGATACCAAGGAAGCCCTCATTAACCATTTCAATCTGATGATAAACAAGTATTTTGAAGACCATCAAGTCCAACAAGCAAAGAAGTGCATTCGAGAGCCAAGATTTGTGGAAGTTTTACTGCCAAATAGTACTCTATCTGACAGATTTGTTATTGAAGTGGACATTATTCCACAGTTCTCTGAATGCCAATATGATTATTTCCAGATTAAAATGCAAAATTACAACAACAAAATATGGGAACAAAGTAAAAAATTCTCACTATTTGTGCGAGATGGGACCAGCTCTAAGGACATTACGAAAAATAAAGTTGATTTCAGAGCATTTAAAGCAGATTTTAAAACACTGGCAGAGTCCAGAAAAGCAGCAGAAGAAAAATTCAGAGCAAAAACAAATAAAAAAGAAAGAGAGGGACCAAAGTTGGTTAAATTATTGACAGGAAATCAAGATTTGTTAGATAATTCATACTATGAACAGTACATTCTTGTAACAAATAAATGCCACCCAGATCAAACAAAACACTTAGATTTCCTGAAGGAAATTAAATGGTTTGCTGTATTGGAGTTTGATCCTGAGTCTAACATCAATGGAGTGGTCAAAGCTTACAAAGAAAGCCGAGTAGCAAACCTTCACTTTCCAAGTGTATATGTAGAACAGAAAACCACACCAAATGAGACGATTTCTACTCTAAATCTTTACCATCAACCCAGCTGGATTTTCTGCAATGGCAGGTTAGACCTTGACAGTGAAAAATATAAACCCTTTGATCCAAGTTCCTGGCAAAGAGAAAGAGCTTCTGATGTCAGGAAACTGATTTCATTTCTTACACATGAAGACATAATGCCAAGAGGGAAGTTTTTGGTGGTATTTCTATTACTGTCCTCTGTGGATGACCCAAGAGATCCCCTCATTGAGACTTTCTGTGCTTTCTACCAGGATCTCAAAGGAATGGAAAATATACTGTGTATTTGTGTGCACCCACACATATTTCAGGGATGGAAAGATCTACTTGAAGCAAGATTAATAAAACACCAAGATGAAATTTCAAGCCAATGTATTTCTGCTTTAAGCCTTGAAGAGATCAATGGCACTATTCTTAAACTAAAATCTGTGACTCAATCTTCAAAAAGGCTTTTGCCATCTATTGGTTTATCGACTGTCCTTCTGAAAAAGGAAGAAGATATCATGACTGCTCTGGAAATTATCTGTGAAAATGAATGTGAGGGTACACTGTTAGAGAAGGACAAAAATAAATTCCTTGAATTCAAGGCATCAAAAGAGGAAGACTTCTATCGAGGTGGCAAAGTGTCATGGTGGAACTTCTACTTCTCTTCTGAAAGTTATTCTTCACCTTTTGTCAAAAGGGATAAATATGAAAGACTTGAAGCAATGATTCAAAACTGTGCAGATTCTTCTAAACCAACAAGTACCAAAATTATTCATCTGTATCATCATCCAGGCTGTGGGGGAACTACCTTGGCTATGCACATTCTCTGGGAACTAAGGAAGAAATTCAGATGTGCTGTGCTGAAAAACAAGACAGTGGATTTTTCTGAAATTGGAGAACAGGTAACCAGTTTAATCACCTATGGGGCAATGAACCGTCAGGAATACGTACCTGTACTACTCCTTGTTGATGATTTTGAAGAACAAGATAATGTCTATCTTCTGCAGTACTCTATTCAAACAGCTATAGCTAAAAAGTACATTCGATATGAAAAACCTCTGGTGATTATCCTAAATTGTATGAGATCACAAAATCCTGAAAAAAGTGCAAGGATCCCAGACAGTATTGCCGTAATACAGCAACTCTCTCCCAAAGAACAGAGAGCTTTTGAGCTTAAATTGAAAGAAATCAAAGAACAGCATAAAAACTTTGAGGATTTTTATTCCTTTATGATCATGAAAACCAATTTTAATAAAGAATACATAGAAAATGTGGTCCGGAATATCCTGAAAGGGCAGAATATTTTCACCAAGGAAGCAAAGCTCTTTTCTTTTCTGGCTCTTCTTAATTCATATGTGCCTGATACCACCATTTCACTATCACAGTGTGAAAAATTCTTAGGAATTGGAAACAAGAAGGCTTTCTGGGGGACAGAAAAATTTGAAGACAAGATGGGCACCTACTCTACAATTCTGATAAAAACAGAGGTCATCGAATGTGGGAACTACTGTGGAGTACGCATCATTCACTCTTTGATTGCAGAGTTCTCACTGGAAGAATTGAAGAAAAGCTATCACCTGAATAAAAGTCAAATTATGTTGGATATGCTAACTGAGAATTTGTTCTTCGATACTGGTATGGGAAAAAGTAAATTTTTGCAAGATATGCACACACTCCTACTCACAAGACACCGCGATGAACATGAAGGTGAAACAGGAAATTGGTTTTCCCCATTTATTGAAGCATTACATAAAGATGAAGGAAATGAAGCAGTTGAAGCTGTATTGCTTGAAAGTATCCATCGGTTCAACCCAAATGCATTCATTTGCCAAGCGTTGGCAAGACATTTCTACATTAAAAAGAAGGACTTTGGCAATGCTCTAAACTGGGCAAAACAAGCAAAAATCATAGAACCTGACAATTCTTATATCTCAGATACACTGGGTCAAGTCTACAAAAGTAAAATAAGATGGTGGATAGAGGAAAACGGAGGAAACGGGAACATTTCAGTTGATGATCTAATTGCTCTTTTGGATTTAGCAGAACATGCCTCAAGTGCATTCAAAGAATCTCAACAGCAAAGTGAAGATAGAGAGTATGAAGTGAAGGAAAGATTGTATCCGAAGTCAAAAAGGCGGTATGATACTTACAATATAGCTGGTTATCAAGGAGAGATAGAAGTTGGGCTTTACACAATCCAAATTCTCCAGCTCATTCCTTTTTTTGATAATAAAAATGAGCTATCTAAAAGATATATGGTCAATTTTGTATCAGGAAGTAGTGATATTCCAGGGGATCCAAACAATGAATATAAATTAGCCCTCAAAAACTATATTCCTTATTTAACTAAATTGAAATTTTCTTTGAAAAAGTCCTTTGATTTTTTTGATGAATACTTTGTCCTGCTAAAACCCAGGAACAATATTAAGCAAAATGAAGAGGCCAAAACTCGGAGAAAGGTGGCTGGATATTTTAAGAAATATGTAGATATATTTTGTCTCTTAGAAGAATCACAAAACAACACAGGTCTTGGATCAAAGTTCAGTGAGCCACTTCAAGTAGAGAGATGCAGGAGAAACCTAGTAGCTTTAAAAGCAGACAAGTTTTCTGGGCTCTTGGAATATCTTATCAAAAGTCAAGAGGATGCTATAAGCACTATGAAATGTATAGTGAACGAATATACTTTTCTCTTAGAACAATGCACTGTCAAAATCCAGTCAAAAGAAAAGCTAAATTTCATCTTGGCCAACATTATTCTCTCCTGTATCCAACCTACCTCCAGATTAGTAAAGCCAGTTGAAAAACTAAAAGATCAGCTTCGAGAAGTCTTGCAACCAATAGGACTGACTTATCAGTTTTCAGAACCGTATTTTCTAGCTTCCCTCTTATTCTGGCCAGAAAATCAACAACTAGATCAACATTCTGAACAAATGAAAGAGTATGCTCAAGCACTAAAAAATTCTTTCAAGGGGCAATATAAACATATGCATCGTACAAAGCAACCAATTGCATATTTCTTTCTTGGAAAAGGTAAAAGACTGGAAAGACTTGTTCACAAAGGAAAAATTGACCAGTGCTTTAAGAAGACACCAGATATTAATTCCTTGTGGCAGAGTGGAGATGTGTGGAAGGAGGAAAAAGTCCAAGAACTTTTGCTTCGTTTACAAGGTCGAGCTGAAAACAATTGTTTATATATAGAATATGGAATCAATGAAAAAATCACAATACCCATCACTCCCGCTTTTTTAGGTCAACTTAGAAGTGGCAGAAGCATAGAGAAGGTGTCTTTTTACCTGGGATTTTCCATTGGAGGCCCACTTGCTTATGACATTGAAATTGTTTAAGAGCCTGATATTCTTCCTCCAAGAATTTGATCTCAGTACCCATTTAATTTTTTTGGACTCAAGATCTATGCTTTAAACCGGCAAGGTTATAGATACAGCCTCTAGCTCTTCAGATCTGTACATGCAGTATTTAATTTCCTCTTAAACATGTTATGAGTTCTACAAAGACAATAGTGAAAAAGGAAGGAGTGAGATATATGAAAAGTAGCAAATATGTTCCTTGGTTTGGTTAACATCATTGATGACAAAATAATAAGGAGCTATGACTGGAGTCAGGAGAAGTTAGTGTAATAAGCTGGCTACACAGAACCCCACTACTTACCAGGCATGGATTGAAGAAGATTGTCTACTCAAATGGCATTTAGACATTAGAATGTCTGGGAAAATATTTCTCAAAGACAGCAAAAACCTCTCAAACTGAGGAGCAACATTTATTCTTACTAAGCAGATCATCAATGTATCATGTGCTTGGCACTCAAGGATCTTCCAAAACAGAGGACCAACCAGTCTTCTGAAGGTCATGCCCACAGAAGTCATCAGACCTTACCAAAGTAGGTTGGAGAATTAGATTGCCTTTTCATGCAGTGAGATTCAGTTAAGCAAAAATGAAATTTGTCTCTATAGCTAATTAGCTTATCAACTCCCCTCCAAACAAACAATTAAAAAAAAAACATACAGACACTCAAATTCCACAAGCTAATGAACAAAAGGGACTCTTGTGAGAAGACTAATGAGTCCCTCATCCAGAAGATGCCAATGTACTGGCAGATTAACATACAACCTATGTTTTGAACAAAAACAACCAGCGATACGTAATCAAAATGTAATTTTCCCCTAATAAAATTATGGATATGGGCAGTCATCAATGGCTGCCAAAACCATTAAGTGGAAAGCTGATTAAAAAACAAAAATTTCTAATGGATTTATCAAACTGTCCCAAATCCTGATAAATATTAACATCACAGAGGAAGACCAGACATTATGGGCCTGGAAGTACTATAGGAGTGCACACATCACCCGTGACATGGTCTTGCCAAATAATTAAACCTGAATTTGATCAGGTCTCTGGATCTTATTTGCAATTCAAAAGAAATTTTAAAAAAATCCTACTAACACCACCACAAATATGCAATCAGCAATATCCAGAAAGGGGAAATTCACAGGACAAAAACCTGGTTTTCTTTTTTGGTTTCTTCAACCAAAAAAGAAAGAAATTGCAAAGGACCAAAAAAATGTTGGGGAATCTATACATTATAAGGGACTTAACAACTAAAGGGCAACATATAGACTTTAGATCCTAATTTGAGCAAAATCTAAAATCAATTATTAGGCAATCAGAAAAATTTGAACACAGACTAGATATTTGAGGATATTAAGGTACTATATTATTGAAGATTCCATGGTTATGTTTTTTAAAGAGTTCATGCCTTTTAGAGATACATACTAAAGTATTTGTAAATAAATGACATGATCTAGAATCAGTAATTTTGTGTTTGGGGTGTGGGGGTGGTGAAAGGGAAGTAGAACCGAAACAAGATTAGTCCTGAGTTAACAATGGCTGCAAGCTGGATACATGGAATTCAGCACACTTTTCTCCCTCTTACTGATTATGCTTTTGAAATTTTCTCTTGTAAAACATTTAGAAAACAAAAACAAAAAAAATGTGATTTGTTTCTGTCTTCAAAATCTCATTAGAATTTTTTCACTGGAGGAAGATTTTCCCTTGCTTCTGCATAAAATTTTAACTCCATAACTTATAAGCTCACTCTTTATTGTTACTTTCTAATTGACAAATAAAAATTGTATATTATTTATGGCGTTCAGCCTGATGTTTTGATATAGATATATACTGTGAAATGACTAAATGAAGGTAATTAATATATCCATCACCTCTCAAGCCTGCTTGTGTGTGTGATGAGAACATTTAAAATCAACTCTCTTAAAAATTTTCAAGTGTACAATAATTATTAACTATAATCATTGTGTTGTACAATAGATTTCCAAAATTTATTCCTCCTAACTGAAACTTTGTACCCTTTGACCAACATCTCATTTCCCACTACCTCCCTCACTGCCCCTACAACCCTGGAAACCACCATTCAACTTTCTGCTCCTATGAGTTTAGCTTTTTTAGATTCCACATCCAATCTGAAATCATGCAGTATTGGTCTTTCTGTGCCTGGCTCATTTCATTTCAGCTCAATTTTTAAAATGTAAAAGAAATCCTCTGGTCAAACGGAGTTTCAATTAGAATGTCCAGTCACGTTTTTCTCTGAAGCCACTTCCCAGTCTGCCCCAGGTTTCAGTTCACTCTGCACAGAATTGTATCTTCTGGACTCCTGCCTTCTGGGGTGATTCTTTTGAACTCAAATTAAGCCAGTTTAGGCAGATGTTCTGTCCCCCGTGACCTGCCTTGGGGAACAGGAAACACTTATGGGTGTTTGTTCTGCCATTGGTAGGGAGTGAAGGTAATTTCCAGTTTGGGGAACAACATGTGTTGTAAATTCGGAGGGACACAGGTAAAGCGCTTCAAGTGAACCTTTTGAAGGCCCCCTCTCTCAAGGCTTGAGAGAAGGTTCTCATAGGGGTATGAGAGAACTTTCTCCAAAAGAACCTCTTCATAAGCCCTTATTTCCTCAATGCCAGCAGTGGGCAACCTACAGCCTCTGGGACAAATCAAGCCTACTGCTTGTCTTTGTAAATAAAGTGTTATTGAAACATAGCCCTGCTCATTTGTTGAAGTATTGTTTGTGGCTGCTTTTGCACTACAACAACAGAGCTGTGTAGCTGCCACAGAAACCCTACGGGCCACAAAGTCTAAAACATTTACTATCTGGCTCTTTACAGGAAAAGTTTGTTGACCCCCGCTCTATGCAGTTAACTCTTCTATTATGTCTTTATTATAGGTCAATTGTCAAATTGGTTCTTGAACGCCCTACTTTGAAAATATGCATTTTGGTTCATCACCTCTTTTGGTATCTAATTTTTATCATTTTAGAGCCAAAGTTAAATTTTAACATTTTTTAACAGGAAAAAAAGTCAATTTTCATATTATAATAATTCAGACCCACTTTTCCAAAGAACACCAGTGTAATAAATGTGTGTGAGTTTTCGTTCTGAAAATTTAAAAATTCCTGAATTGTGCAGGATCAATTTAACAGGCACCTTAATCTATCATAATTCTCTTTACCTATTTAGTTTTATATTTCCTTAGAACTATGAATTTGAGGGAAACATATTCAGACCATAGCATTCTACCTTTGACTCCCTAAATTTATATTCTTCTCATATGCAAAATACATTCATTCCATCCCAGTAGCCCCAAAAGTCTAACTTGTTCCAGTACCAGCTCCAATGTCTAAAGTCCGGAGTTTAATCTATATCAGTTACAGGTGAGACTTAAGGTATGACTCTTCATAAGGCAAATTCCTTTCCAGCTGTGAGCCTGTAAAATCAAACAAGTTATGTGCTTCCAACTACAATGGTGGGACAAGCATACGATAAACATTCCTAGTCCAAAAGGGAAAAATAGGAAAGAAGATCCCAAGTCCCAAGTAAGTCCAAAACACAAAGCAAACAATATTAAGTTTTGAGGCTTGGGAATAATCTTTTCTGACTCCATGCCGTGCCTTCTGCACACACTGGAGTGGAGGTTGGGCCCCCAATCCCTCAGACAGCACTGCCTTCATGGCTTTGCTGGGTGCAGCCCATGCAGCAGCTCTTAGGGGTTGAAGTCGAGTGCCTGAGGCTCTCTCAGGCTGGCACTGCACATTGCACACTGGTGGCTTTACAAGTCTGGGATCTCAGAGATCATCCTGCTTCCACAATTCCACTAAACATTGCCACAGTGGGGGCTTTCTGTGGTGACCCCAACTCCATAACTCTGTTGGGCATTGCCCTGGTGGGGCCTTTCTGCAGTGGCCCCACTCCTGCTGCTCCAATAGAAATTGCCCTAGTAGGGGCTCTCTGTGTAGCCCCATCCCTGTGGCAGCTCCCTGAACTTTTTATGACTTAATCCCCTCCTGAAGGCTCGATCTCTTAATACTATCACGAGGGTGATTACATTTCAACATATAAATTTTGGGAAGACACATTCAGACCATAACAGAAGGTGAGATTAAAATATTGATTTTCTCTTTCACAGGCCAGCAGTTCTCAATTGAACAGAACTCCTGAAGGTCTTTTCAAGTTGCACATTCTATTTCCCAATTCAGATACAACCTAGGGTGGAAAGACATCAGAATTTTTGTTAACTGTCCCTTTGGAAACCACTAATTAGGTCACTGTAATACACGATAGTTTCCAAACTCAGCGTTGAAAAAGAAAATGTTTATCAACAGTCCCAAAACAAATGGTAGCCTCAACAAAAGAAGTTTAGAAACTATAGCATGCCAAATTTTGCTTCTGGCTATTTAGGATGTGAAAAAAAAAAAGAAAGAAAAAAGCTCTCAGAAAGTAATACCAGAGTGAAGATTATTTGACTTATTTCTCTAAGAACAATAAAATTATTTAATTCCTCATTATTTTTATATCCCTTGCTCCTCCAAAGGTCTCCCTGTTGCTCAACTTAAAATGTGCTTAAAAAAAAAAAGAGTTCATATACACTGAAATAATTATAGATTTTTCACTTTATTGTCAAGAAGCTAATCTCCAATTAAAGTGTGTATACTATTGTTCTCTGTTCTTTTATGTATTTTTAAAACTTAAATATGTATGTACACCACCATCATAATATCATAGCCAAGTTTTAAATTCTATGGCATCCAATATGGCCTGAAAGTCATACCTCACCTCTGAGAACACTCAGGAAAGTCAAAAAGTGCATTTCCTTTCATTAGTGGAAGAAGGGAATTGTTCAGTTTGAAATCCAGAAATCTATCCTTTAGTGATAAGCTATCACCATTTCTTCCTAGTTGAAGTAAATATAATCTAATCCCATATTTTAGTGATTCATTTAAGTTCATGCTCTTCAAGTGAAAATCCTGGCAAGAAACAGATGACACATTTAAAAGTAGTCCTTTGAGGAGAGTTTAATAAAGGAACTATTTTCGAAAGTGTGGAGAGGGAGTAGGGAAGTCTCAAGGGATAAAACAGTGCCCTCAGACTAGCTAGTAGCGTGAGGAGCACCTACTATCCTTATTCCTGAAGGGCAAGAGAAGGGAACTGTTAGCAGGATGGCGGTGGGAGTAAGGTGAGGGCACTTTCTGGAGAGGACTGCTTAATAGGAACTGTGACCTTCAGTGGAGGGATGCAGCCAGCCTGAAGTGCCCCACAAGGAGAAAGCCCAGGGGAATAAATAATATAATTTTACTCTTCTTCCTCTCTTTAATCTCTTGCCTGTGCTTCCCATTGGTTCAAATTCAACCAGAAACTAGAGGACAAGGGAGCCCACTGATACAGTTCATACCGATCAGCAAGGTATGGAAAAGAGGAGAGCGTATATGGAGGGACAAACAAGATATCCAAGCATGGTATCCCTGAAACTCTTTAATTCCTACAACCATCTCCAATACCCATTTAAGTTTGAAACTTAAACGGCATTGACACATGACCTTAAAAAGCAAATTTCTTTCACTATTCCAAAGTGATAACAGTGACATCTTAACTTGATTTTAGTCTTTGTCCATTCACCTGAACTTCTTCCTGTTTTTTAAGAAAGCAGTTGAAGAGGACTTACAGGGAATTATTTAATGGGTATATGCTTCAGAACTGATTTAATTTTGTCTTCGTTCTTAACTATTACTCCCAATACATATCTGTTTCCAATTTATGGAAGTTTTGTGTATGTTTTAGAAGAACTTTAAGCTCCAAAACAGGGGCTATCCTTTCAATCATACCTTGAATCATGTGGCAGGTTTTCAAAGGTGTGTGAACATGGTATGTAAACTGACCAAGGTAGGCAGTGAGATAGAGAGTTCTATCCCTTGTATCTCAACTGTGTTTTCTTGCACTAATGCTTTTATTATTACTATTAATTGTTGTTGTTGTTGTTGTTTTATGTTTGTAGATTATTTTTCTCATTCCCTTGGGAATGCTACAAAAAATTCTAAGGTTAACACTTTATCTCCCCTTTTCACCAGGTTTTTTTTCAATCTATTACTCCAGGTCCTTCGAGAAGCAGATACCAAGAAAGGATTAAATGTGTGAAGATTTTATTAGAAAGAAAGCCTAGGAGTAAAAATTGGGGATCTAGTAAGTCAAGGATGCTTCACTTCTCCTTCACTTGGGTCAGATTTTCATCCCAGTTTGATAGCTCTCTCATTCTTACCAGAATCCAATCATGCTATCATGCTTTCTCTCTCTCTCTCTCTCTCTCTCTCTCTCTCTCGCTGTGTGTGTGTGTGTGTGTGTGTGTGTGTGTGTGTGTGTGTTTATTTGGGAGATATAACAGTCTGTTTGTGAGAGTGACTCATATATATATATCACATGTTATATATATGTCACTCTATATAAGACGTGTGTGTGTGTGTGTGTGTGTGTGTGTGTGTGTGTGTGTGTGTCTTAGCTAGGCACAGTGGCTTGCATCTGTAATCCCAATGTTTGAGGAGGCTGAGGCAGTAGGATTGCTTGAGGCCGTGAGTTTGAGACCAGCATGGGCAATATAGTAAGACCCCTTCTCTACAAAAATTTCAAAAATTAGCTGGGAGTGGTGGGAAACACCTGTGGTCCCAGCTACTTGGGAGGCTGGGGTGGGATTATAACTTGAGTCCAGAAGTTCAAGGTTGCAGGGAGCTATGATTACACCACTGCATTCCAGCCTGGGTGACAGAGCTAGACCCTGCCTCTAAAATTATACATACATACATACATACATACATACATACATACATACATACATACAAAAGGAAGAAGAAAGTAGACAAAACCAGTCTACCAGATTCCAAGACTTATTATTTAGCTATAGTGATCAAGGCTGTGTGGTATTGGCAGAGGGACAGACATAATGGGATAGAATGGAGACTCCATAAATAAACCCACACAATAAGCTCAATTGATTTTTGACAAATATATGAAAGCAATTCAATGGGGAAAGGATAACCTTTTCAATAAGTGGTATGAAGCAATTAAATATCCATAGGCCAAACAATGAACCTCAACCTGAATCTCACATCTTTTTCAAAAATTAACTCTAAAAGAATCACAGACTTGAGATATATATAGATACACACACACACACACACACACACACACACACACACACAGAGTCTGGCTCCATTGCCTAGGCTTGAGTGTAGTGTCATGATCTCAGCTCATTGCAACCTCTGCCTTCCGGACTCAAGCAATCCTCCCACCTCAGCCACCCGGGTAGCTGGGACTATAGGCACATGCCACTGTGCCCAGCTAATTTTTGTATGTTTTGTAGAGACAGAGTTTTGCCATGTTGTCCATGCTGGTCTCGAACTCCTGAGCTCAAGCAATTCACCTGCCTCAGCCTCCTAAAGTGCTGGGATTACAGGTGTGAGCCACCATGCCTGGCCTCACAAACTTAATTATAGAATGTTTAAATTCTGTAATTTGGAGGAGGAGGAGGAGCAAGATGGCTGAATAGAGCCCTCCAGCAATCATCCCCCTGCAGGAACAGCAATTTGAACAACTGTTCATATAAAAATCCACCTTCATAAGAACATAAAATCAGATGAGTGATCTTAGTACCTGGTTTTAACCTACTGATAAGGAAAGAGGCATTGAAGAAGGTAGGAAGGACAGTCTTACATTGCCTACACCACACCTCCCCGAACCCCAGCAGCACAATGTATGGAGATAATCTGTGTGTTTGAAGGAGAAAGAGCAAAGTGAGTGTGAAACTTTGCATTTGAACTCAATGCCACTCTGTCACGGTGGAACACAACACCAAGTAGAATTCTGCCAGTGTCCATGAAGGAAGCATTTAGACTAGCCCTGAGTCAGAGAGAAATTCTCTGTCTCAGTGGGAGAAAGTTTAGTCCTGGCCAGCTTCACCACCAGCCAACTAAAGTGACCTGGTGATATGGTTTGGCTCTGTAGTGTAGAGAACCAAGGATAAACCTAGTCCTTGAAGGATTCACCACCTGCTGACTAAAGTGGCTGTGGGCCTTGAGTAAACATCAGTGGCCGCCAGGCAGTAGTGGCCATGGGCCTTGGGCAAGCACCAAAACTGTGCTGGTCTGGGAGACAATGGGCTTCAGGTACAACCCAGAGCAGTGCCTGCTGGGGTGGCCATAGGAGTGTCCATGTCACCCTTCCAACAGTTCCAGAAGGCCCAGTGCAGAAAGAGAGACTTTTGCTTAAGGAAAAGAGAGGGAAGAGAGTAAGAGACTTTGTCTAGGAACCCAGGGAATTCTCCTTTATCTTCCCCAAGTCCACCAAGATTGTGTATCTAGGAGTCTGCAAAAGCTTCAGTGTTCTTGGGCTTAGGGCACTCCCTAGTGTTGAAATGACTGCAGTAACCATAGGCTTAAGTAGCAATACTCAATACCCTTTGAAATCATGAAAAACCCTCTCAAGAAAGACTGGCATGAACAAGACAAGACTGTGAATACTGGAATAAACACCTAACTTTTCAATGCCCAGACATCAACAAACATCCACAAGCATCAGAAACATCCAAGAAAACATGATCTCATCAGAAAGACTAAATAAGCCACCAGTGATCAACCTTGGGGTGACAGAGATATGTGACCTCAGCCAGGGAATTCAAAATAGCTGTCTTGAGGAAGCATGATGAACTTCAAGATAATACAGAGAAGGAATACAGAATTTTCAATCAGAGAAATTTAACAAAAATTGAAATAATTTAAAATTTAAACCGAAATTCTGAAGCTAAAAAATTTAATTGACAAACTGAAAAATGCATCAGAATATCTCAACAGCAGAACTGATCAAGCAGAAGAAAGTATTAGTGAGCTCAAAGGCAGGTTATATGAAAATATACCACCAGAGAAGAAAAAAAAATGAAGTATGCCAACAATATCTAGAAAATAACCTTAAAAGGGCACATGTAAGAGTTATTAGCCTTAAAGAGGATATAGAGAAAGAGATTGGGATAGAAAATTTATTCCAAGAAATAACAAAGAATTTGCAAACTTATGAGAAAAAATATGAATATCCAGGTACAAGAAGATCAAAGAACACAAAACATATTCAAACCAAATAAAACTACCTCAAGGAGTAAACTAATTAAGTTTTCAAAAGTAAGGATAAAGACAGGATCCCAAAAGCAGCAAGAGGAAAGAAGCAAGTAACATGTAAATGAGCTCCGATATATCTGGCAGCAGACTTCTCAGTGGAAACCTTATGGATCAAGAGGGAATGGATTGACATATTCAAAGCGCTAAAGGAAAACAAGTTTTAAACTAGAATACTGTATCCAGTGAAGTTATCTTTCGAACAGGAATGAAAAATAGACTTTTCTACATAAACAAAAATAGAAGAATTTAATCATCACCAGACCTGTCTTATGAGAAATGCTAAAGGAAGTTCTTCAATCTGAAAGAAAAGGATGCTAATGTGTAATAATAAATCATAAAACTCACTGATAAAATTAAGTACCCAGGTAAATACAGAATACTGTAATACTGTAATTATAGTGGATAAACCACTCATATCTTTAGTATGAATACCAAAAGGCAAATTATCAAAAATAATAACTACAACAATTTGCTAAGAGATAGACAATATAAAAAGACGTAAACAGAGACAATAAAATGTCAAAAAGTGGAGGAGATAAAGTGTAGAGTTCTTCAATTTTCTCTTTGCTTGCTTGTTTTTTCTTTTCTTTTTTGTGAACAAAGTTGTCATTAGTTAAATATAATTGGTTATAAGATGTTATTTGCAAGCCTCATAGCAACCACAAAGAGAACACCTATTTGATACACAAAACATAAAAAGCAAGAAATTAAAACATACTACCAGAGAAAATCACTTATACACAAAGGAAGACAGGAAGAAAGGAACAGAGGACTAATAAAACAACCAGAAAACAAAATGATAGTAGTAAGTCCTTACTTATAATAACATTGAATACAAATTAACTAAATTATCCAATTAAAAGGTGGAGTGGCTGGATGAATTAAAAACCAAAACCCAACTATATGATGCCTACAACAAATTCACTTCACCTATAAAGACACACATAGATGGAAAATGAGGGGATGGAAAAAAAGATATTCCATGTGAATGTAAACCCAAAAAAAGGTCAGGAGTAGCTATACTCATATCAGATAAAATATATTTCAAACAAAATCTGTGAAAGAAATAAAGCAGGTAATTACACAATGACAAAGGGGTTAACTCAGCAAGAAGATATAACAAGCAAATATTAGGGCCAGAGTAAAAGAGACAGAGAGACAGAGAGACCCCAATACAATAATAGCTGAGGATTTTATCACCCCGCTCTCAGCACTGGACAGATCATCTAGACAGAAATCAACAAAGAAATATTGGACATAATCTATAATATACATCAAATAAGCCTAAGACATTTGCAGAACATTTTATCAAATAGCTGCAGAATATACATTTTTCTCTTCAGCACATACAAGATTTTCAAGGATGTACCAAAATGCATCTCAAAAAATTCAAAAAATTTGAAATTGTGTCAGGTATTTTTTCTGATGACAATGGAAGAAAACAGAAATCAATAACAAGAGGAATTTTTAAACTACACAAATACATGGAAATTAAATAATATGTTCCTGAATGACTGTTCAGCAAATAAAGAAATTAAGCAGAATAATTAAAAATTTCTTGAAACAAATGAAAATGGAAACATAATATACCACAACCTAGAGCACACAGCAAAATCAGTGCTAAGAGGGAAGTTTATAGCAATAAAGGCCTACATCAAAAAAGTACAAAGACTTCAAATAAACCACCTAATGATGCGTGTTGAAGAACTAAAAATATAAGAGCAAACCAAACCCAAAATTAGTAGAAGGAAAGAAATAATAAAGATCAGAGCAGAAATAAATAAAATCAAGACTAAAAAGACAAAAAATCAATGAAATGAAAAGGTGGTTTTTATAAAAATAGACAAAATCAACAAACCTTTAGCCGGACTCACTAAAAACAAAAGGAGAGAAGACCCAAATAAATAAAATCAGAGATGAAAAACAGACATTACAACTGATACCACAGAAATTCAAAGGATCATTAAAGTCTACTGTGAGCAACTACATGCCAATAAATTGGAAAACCCAGAAGAAGCCAAGATTGAACCGTGAAGAAATACAAAACCTGAATAGACTAAAAACAAGTAATGAGATAGAAGCCATGATAATTGAAAAAAAAAAAAAGTCTCTCATCAAAGAAGAGCCCAGAAACTGATGATTTCACTGCTAAATTCTACCAAATATTTAAAGAACTAATATGAATACTCCATAAACTATTCAAAGACACAGGAAAAGGGAACACTTCTGACTTCATTCTATGAGTCCAGTATCACCCTGATACCAAGACTAACAAAGACACACACACACAGAAAGAAAACTACAGGTTAATGCATCTGATGAACACAGATGCAAAAATTCTCAAAAAAAATACTAGCAAACCAAATTCAACAACACATTAAAAATGTCATTCATCATGATCAAGTGGGATTTATCTCAGGGATGCAAGGATGCTCTGACATGAAAATCAATAAACATAATACACAACATCAACAGAATAAAGGACAAAAACCATATTGTCATTTCAATAGATGCTATAAAAAGCATTCAATAAAATTCAACATCTTTTCATCATAAAAACTCTCAACAAACTGGGTATAGAAAGAACATACTTCAACATGATTAAGTCCATATAGGACAAACTCACAGCTATTATACTGAATGTGGAAAAACTGAAAGCCTTTCCTCTAAAATTTGTAACAAGACAAGGATGCCCACTTTCATCACTTTTATTCAGTATGATACTGGAAGTCATAGAGCAATAAGACAAGAGAAAGAAATAAATGGCATTCAAATTGGAAAGGAAGAAGCTAAATTATCCTTGTTTCCAGACGATATAATCTTTTTTATGTTATAGGAAGCTCTGCCTCCTGGGTTCACACCATTCTCCTGCCTCAGCCTCCCGAGTAGCCGGGACTACAGGCACCTGCCACCATGCCCCGCTAATTTTTTTGTATTTTTAGTAGAGACAGGGTTTCACCATGTTAGCCAGGATGGTCTCGATCTCCTGACCTTGTGATCCGCCCGCCTCAGCCTCCCAAAGTGCTGGGATTACAGGAGTGAGCCACCGTGCCCGGCTCTGATATAATCTTTTATTTGGAAAAACCTAAAGACTCCACCAAAAAAAAAAAAACCATTAGAACTGATAAACAAATTCAGTAAAGTTGCAGAATATGAAATCAACATATGAAAATCAGTAGCATTTCTATATGCCAAAAGCAAACAATCTGAAAAAGAATCCAAGAAAGCAACCCTATTTATAACAGCTACAAGTAAAATACTGTAACTAGAAATGAATTTAAACAAAAAAGTCAAAGATCTATACAACAAAAAGCATAAAAAATTGATAAAAGAAATCAAGAGGACAGGAAGGAAAATATTCCAGGACATGAAAAAAGGAAAGATATTCCATGTTTATAAATTGGAACAATTAATACTGTTAAAATGTCCATGCTATACAAAGGTATCCACAGACTCAATGCAATCCCTATCAAAATACCAATGACATTCTTCACAGAAATAGAAAAAAACTATCCCAAAACTTATATGGAACCACAAAAGACATAGAATAGCCAAAGCAATCCTGAGCAAAAAGAGAAATGCTGGAGGCATCACATTACCTGACTTAAAATACTAGAAAGCTGTATTAACAAAACAACGTGGTACTGGCATAAAAACAGACACATAGACCACAGTGGACAGAATAGAGAACCCAAAAATTAATCCATACATTTGCAATTGACTCATTTTTTTAAGACACCAAGTACATACATTGGGGAAAGGACAGTCTCTCCAATAAATGGTGCTGGAAAAATTGGATATCCATATGCAGAAGAATGAAACTATATCTCTATTTCTCACTATATACAAAAATCAAATCAAAAGGGAATAAAGACTAAAATGTCAGACCTGAAACTATGAAATCATTGCAAGAAAACATTGAGGGAATTCTCCAGGACATTGATCTGAGCAGCAATTTCTCAAGTAAGACCTCAAAAGCACAGGCAACCAAAGCAAAATGGACAAATTGGATCACATTAAGCTAAAAAGCTTCATGCAGCAAGGAAATAATCAGCAAAGTGAAGAGACAACCTACAGAATGGGAAAAAGTATTTGCAAACTATTCAACTGACAAGTGATTAATATCCAGACTATGTAAGGAACTCAAACAACTCAATAACAAAATAACAAATAATCTGATTTTTAAATGGGCAAAAGATCTAAACAGACATTTCTCAAAAGAAGATATGCAAATGGCCAGCAAATGTATGAATAATGCTCAACATTACTAAGCATCACGTAAATGCAAATCAAAACCAAAACATGATATCATCTCACCCCAGTTAAAAGGACTTTTATCAGGCTGGGCATGGTGGCTCACACCTGTAATCCCATCACTTTGGGAGGCTGAGGCAGGTGGATCACTTGCGACCAGGCATTGGAGACTAGCCTGGCCCACATAGCGAAACCTCATCTCTACGAAAAAAAAAATACAAAAAAAATTTAGCCAGGTGTGGTGGTGCACACTGTAATCCCAGCTACTTGGGAGGCTGAGGCACAAGAATCACTTGAATCCAAGAGGCAGAGGTTGCAGTAAGTCAAGATTGCGCCACTGCACTCCAGCCTGGGCAACAGAGCAAGACTCAAAAAAAAAAAAAAAAAAAAAAGACAAAAAACAATTTTGGTGAGAATGCAGACAAAGGAGAAGCCTCATACACTGTTGGTGGATATGTAAATTAGTATGGCCACTATGGTAAGTAGCATGGCGGTTCCTAAAAAAACTAAAAATAGAACTACCATACGATTCAAAAATACCACTATTGGGTATATGTCCAAAAGAAAGGAAATTGGTGTGTCAAAGAAGTATCTAGACTCCCATGTTTATTGAAGCACTATTCTCAATAGCCAAGATGAGGAAGCCACATAAGTTTTCATCAACAGATGAATAAAGAAAGAAAATATATGGAGACATCTCCCTAATCTACCCAGAAGGACACAGCATTACAATACCACCTGGACCCAGTGGTGCAGCCACATCCCTAGTACCGAATCCCATATAGCACCTTATGCCCTGTGAAACAGATGGTCCTGTGCATCAGGGAAGTTGTCCCCCGAATATAGGGAGCCAAAACATGTACTCCCAAGAACCTGAGAGCCACCTGCCCAGAGCCACTTCTGTCAACACTGACCCTGACCCCTTCAACAGCAGGGCCACAAGCACCACTCAGGGACCCAAGCACTGCACTACTTGGGGCGTAACACCACCACCACCAGCAACTTCACTTCCTCCAGCAGCAGGGCCACCATGCATGCTGGCCAGGGTTTTAAGGATCAGCTCACCCAAAACCTGTTGCCACCACTGCCAGCACCCACATGTGCCACCCAGGGGTACAAAAACCAGCCCACCCAGGCCCATCACAACCACCACAACCACTGGTGCCTGAACATGCTACCCAGGGGCCTGAGGACCAGCCCACTCAGGGTCTGTCATCACCACCACTGGAAAACCCTCCCTTTCCAGAAATGGGGCCATCACACACCTGCGTGGGTCCCCCATGGTCCCAAGGACTGGCCTGCCCAGTGCCCCTGTCTCCATCAAAGCTGCATCACAACCTTCACAAATATCCACAGCTTAAGTCACTGAGAAACTCACAGACTGCACTGGTATTGATGATAGCCCAAGAGAACATACAAGGACTATACTACAGCCCCCAGGACCAAAGCCAAAGCACCCCACCCAACTGACACTATAGATACATGTATAGGGCAAAGTTTTTTCCTGCAAAAGCTACTCCATAAAATTGGAAGAGCAATTGTTACACCAGATGCACAGATATCAATGTGCATGACCAAAACAAAAAAAAGAAAAGAAAAGAAAAGAAAAAGCAAGGAAATATGACACCTCCACAAAGGAACACAATAATTCTCTAGTAACAGACCCCAGAGAAATGAGAATCCATGAAATACCTGAAAAACAATTCAAGGTAATGATCTTAAGGAAACTCAGTAAAATACAAGAGAACACAGCCAATACAAAGGAATTGGGAAAATAATTCATAATTTGATGAGAAATTCCACAAAGATATTCTTTGTTGAATAATAATAAAAAGATAATAAGATAATAAATCTTTTTATTTAAAAGATAATTAAAATATAAAAGAATTTTTATTATTATTATTTTTAAATTTTAGATTTGGTGGTACACATGCTTGTTTGTTACATGGGTATATTGCACACTGGGATTGAGCATCTAGTGTACTCATTACCCAAATAGCAAATATTATACCTGATAGGTAATTTTTCAACCCTTATTCCCATCATACCCTCTCCCTTTTGGAGTCCCCAATGTCTATTATTTCCATCTTTATGTTCATGTGTACTCATTGTTTACCTGCCTCTTATAACTGAGAACATGTGGTATTTGACTTACTGTTTCTGAGTTAGTTTACTTAGGATAATGGCCTCCAGCTCCACCCATGTTGCTGCAAAAACCATGATTTCATTCTTTTTATGGCTGAGTAGTATTCCGTGGTGTATATATGCCACATTTTCTTTAATGATTCAACTGTCAATGGACACTTAGGTTGGTTCCATGACTTTGCTATTGTGAATAGTGCTGCAATGAACATACAAGTACGGGTGTCTTTTCTATATAATGATTTCTCTTGCTTTGAGTAAACACCCAGTACTGGATTTACTGGGTCAAATGGTAGCTCTATTTTTAGTTGTTTGATAAATCTCCATACTATTTTCCATAGAGGTTGAACTAATTTACATTCCCACCAACAATGTATAAGTGTTCCCTTTGCTCTGAATCCATGCCAGCATCTTTTGCATTTTGATTTTTTAATGATAGCCATTCTGACTGGTGTAAGATGATATTCTTATTGAAGTTTTAATTTGTATTTATCTGATAATTAGTGATGCTGAACATTTTTATGTGTTTGTTAGCTGTTTGTATGTCTTCTTTTAGGAAATGGCTGTTCACATCCTTTGCCTAGCCTTTAATGGGGTTGTTTTTGGCTTTTTTTTTTTTTTTTCTTATTGAGTTGTTTGAGTGAGTTCCTTGTAAATTCTGGATATTAGTCCTTTGTCAGAGGCATAATTTGTGAATATTTTCTCCAATTCTGTAGGT
Organism: Homo sapiens; assembly: GCF_000001405.40. Taxonomy (NCBI): domain Eukaryota; kingdom Metazoa; phylum Chordata; class Mammalia; order Primates; family Hominidae; genus Homo; species Homo sapiens. The sequence goes on along the minus strand of NC_000007.14, from coordinate 93,085,046 downwards.
GGTCTGCTTACTCTGTTAATTATTTCTTTGTTGCTTATTTCTTTGCAAAAGCTTTTTAGTTTAATTAAGTCCTATGTGTCTATTTCTTTTTCTTGAAGTTGCTCTTGGGGTCTTTAAAAAAAATTCTTTGCCAAGGCCAAAAGAGTTGGCCTAGGTTTTCTTATAGGATTTTTACAGTTTCAGATCTTACATTTAAGTCTTTAGAATATTTTTCCTAGGTTTTCTTATAGGATTTTCATAGTTTCAGGTCTTACCTTTAAGCCTTTGAACATTTTGAGTTAAGTTTTGTATGTGTTGAGAGACAGGGGTCCAGTTTCGTTACTCTGCATATGGCTAGTCAGTTTTCCCAGTACCATTTATTTAATAGGGTGACCTTTCCCCATTATTTTAGTTGACTTTGTCAAAGATCAGCTGGTTGTAGGTGTGTAGCTTTACATCTGGTCTCCCTATTCTGTTCCATTGATCTATATTTTTACACCAGTACGATGTTATTTTTGTTAATATAGATTTGTAATATAATTCCAAATCAGGCAGTATTATGCTTCTGACTTTATTCTTTTTGCTTAGGATTTCTTTGGTTATTTGGTGTTCTTTTTGGTTCCATATCAACTTTGGGATTGTTTTTTCTAATTCTGTAAAAATTAGACATTGGTAATTTGATAGACATCGCATTGAATTTGTACATTGCTTTGGGCAGTATGGTCATTTTAATGATACTGATTCTTCCAATCCATGAGCACAGGAAGTTTTCCATTTGTTTGTGTAATCTTCAACTTCTTTCATCAGTGTTTTATAATTCTCTTTGTAGAGATATTTCATCTCCTTGGTTATATGTATTCCTAGGTATTTTATTTTCCTGTGGCTTTCATAAATGCGATTGAGTTATTGATATCATTTTCAGCTTGAAAGTTATTGGTGTATAGAAATGCTACTGATTTTTGTACTTTGATTTTGTATCAAAGTTGTTTGCTGAGTTTGTTTATCAACTCTAGGAGTTTTTTTTGGAGGAGTCTATAGGGTTTTAGGATATATAATCATTTCATCAGTAAACAGAGATAATTTGACTCCCCCTTTTCTAATTTGGATGCCTTTTATTTCTTTATCTTCTCTGATTGCTCTGGTCAGAGCTTCCAGTACTATGTTGAATAGGAGTGGTGACCGTGGACATTCTTGTCTTTTTCCAGTTCTTACAGAGAATGCTTTCAACTTTGCTCCATTCAGTATTAGGTTGGCTATGGGTTTCCCATAGATGTCTTATTATTTTCATATATGTTCCTTTGATGCCTAGTTTGTCGAGGGTTTTTATCATTAAGGGATGTTGGATTCTATCAAACACCTTTTTGGCATCTGTTGAGATGATCATATGGTTTTAGTTTTTAGTTCTGTTTATTTGATGAATCACATTTATTGATTTGTGGATGTTGAACCATCTTTGCATCCCTGGAACAAAACCCACTTGAATTATGTTTTTTGATGTGCTGTCGGAGTCAGTTTGCTAGTATTTTGTGGAGGATTTTTGCATCTGTGTTCATCAGGGATACCGGCTTGTAGTTTCGTTTTCTCTCTCTTTTTTTTTTAATTGTCCTTGCCTGATTTTGGTATCAGGGTAATACTGATTTTGTAGAATGAGTTAGGAAGGACTCCCTTCTCCTCAATTTTTTGGAATAGTTTCAATAAGATTGGTCCCAGCTCTTCTTTGTAAATCTGGTAAAAATTGGTTATAAATCCATCTGGTCCTGAGATTTTTGGGTTGTTGTTGTAAGATTTTTTTTACTATTGATTCAATTTCATTATTCATTATTGGTCTGTTCAAGATTCCTATTTCTTCCTGATTCAATCTTGGGGGGGTTGTATGTTTCCAGGAATTTATCAATTTCCTCTAGGTTTTCTAGCTTGTGCACACAGAGGTGTTCATAGGGGTGTCTGATGATCCATTTGTTTCTTTTGTATCAGTTGTAATGCCCCCTTACTAATTTCTGCTTATGCTTATTTGAATCTTCTTTTATCTTGTTTAATCCAGCTAGTGGCCTGTCAATTTTGTTTATCCTTTCAAAAAATCAAATTTTTGTTTCTCTGATCTGTTATGCTGTGGATTTTTACTTTCAAACTTACTTAGTTCTACTCAAATCATTGTTACTTCTTTTCTTCGACTATCTTTTGGTTTAAATTGTTCTTGTTTTTCTTTTTCCTTGAGATTTGATGTTATGTTGTTAATAAGACATCTTTCTGTCTTGTTGATGTGGGCATTTACACCATAAACTTCCCTCTTAACACTGCTTTTGCTCTTTTCCCAGAGGTTTTCATATGTTGTGTCTCCACTTTCAATTGTTTTGAAAAATGTCTTGATTCTTGCCTTAATTTTGTTGTCTTCCCAAGGATATTTCAGGAGCAAATAGTTTAGCTTCCATTATTTGTGTAGTTTTGGAGTTCCTCTTAGTATTGATTTCTAATTTTATTCCACTATGGTCCAAGAAAATACTTGATATGATTTTGATGATTTTAATTTATTGATTGAGTGATTGATTTTAAGTTCTGGGATACATGTGCAGAACACACAGGTATGTTACAGAGGTACACACGTGCCATGGTGGTTTGCCGCACCTATCAACCCATCACTACATTTTAAGCCCCACATGCGTTAGCTATTTGTCCCGATGCTCTCCCTCCCCTCGCCCCTCTCCAACAGGCTCCAGTGTGTGTTGTTCCCCTCCCTGTGTCCATGTATCCTCATTGTTCAGCTCCCACTTATGAGTGAGAACATGCAGTGTTTGGTTTTCTGCTCCTGTGTTAGTTTGCTGAGGAGAAGGGCTTCCAGCTTCATCCATGTACCTGCAAAGGTCATGATCTCATTCCTTTTTATGGGTATTCCGTGGTGTATATGTACCACATTTTCTTTATCTAGTCTATCATTGATGGGCATTTGGGTTGGGTCTTTCTTACTGTGAATAGTGCCACGATAAACATACATGTGCATGTATCTTCATAATAGAATGATTGTATTCATTTGTGTATATAACCAGTAATGAGATTGCTGGGTCAAATGGTATTTCTGGTTCCAGATCCTTGAGGAATTACCATACTGTCTTCCACAATGGTTGAACTAATTTACATTCCCACCAATAGTGTAAAAGCATTCCTATTTCTCCACAGCCTCGCCAGCCTCTATTGTTTCTTGACTTTTTAATAATCACCATTTTGACTGTCATGAGATGGTATCTCACTGTGGTTTTGATTTACAATTCTCTAATGACCAGTAATGTTAAGCTTTTTTTCATATGTTTGTTGGCCACATAAATGTCTTATTTTAAGAAGTGTCTGTTCATGCCCTTTGCCCATTTTTTGATGGGGTTGTTTGGTTTTTTCTTGTAAATTTGTTTAAGTTCCTTGTACATTCTGGATATTAGACATTTGTCAGATGGGTAGATTGGAAGTTTTCTCCCATTCTGTAGGTGGCCTGTTTGCTCTGATGATAGTTTCTTTTGCTGTGCAGAAGCTCTTTAGTATAATCAGACCCCATTTGTCAATTTTAGTTTTTGTTGCAAATACTTTTGGCAATTTCATCATAAAATCTTTGCCTGTGCCTATGTCCTGAATGGTATTGCCTAGGTTTTCTTCTAGGGTTTTTAAGGGTTTGGGTTTTACATTTAAGTCTTTAATCAATCTTGAGTTAATTTTTGTATAAGGTGTAAGGAAGGGGTTCAGATTCCATTTTCTGCATATAGATAGCCAGTTCTCCCAGCACCATTTATTAAATAGGGAATCCTTTCCCTATTGCTTGTTTTTGGCAGGTTCGTTGAAGATAAGATGGTTGTAGATGTGTGGTCTTATTCTGAAGTCTCTATTCTGTTCCATTGGTCTATATGTCTGTTTTAGTACCAGCACCATGCTGTTTTGGTTACTGTAGCCTTGTAGTATAGTTTGAAGTCAGGTAGCGTGATGCCTCCAGCTTTGTTCTTTTTGCTTGGGATTGTTTTGACTATACAGGCTATTTTTTCATTCCATATGAATTTTAAGGTAGTTTTTTCTAGTTCTGTGAAGAATGTCAATGTTAGTTTGATGGGGATAGCATTAAATTTATAAATTACTTTGGGCAGTATGGCCATTTTCATGATATCGATTCTTCCTATCCATGAGGATGGAATTATTTTCCATTTGTTTTTGTCCTCTCTTATTTCCTTGAGCAATGGTTTGTAGTTCTCCTTGAAGAGATCCTTCATGTCCCTTATTAACTGTAGTCCTAAGTATTTTATTATCTTTGTAATAATTGTGAATGGGATTCCATCCATAATTTGGCTCTCTGCTTGTCTATTGTTGGTGTATACAAATGCTTGTGATTTTTGCATATTGATTTTGTATCCCGAGACTGCTGAAGTTGCTTATCAGCTTAAGGCACTTTTGGGCTGAGATGTGGGGTTTTCTAAATATAGGATTATGTCATCTGCAAACAGAGACAATTTGACTTCCTCTCTTTCTATCTGAATACACTTTCTTTCTGTTTCCTGATTACCCTGGCCAGAACTTCCAATACTATGTTAAATAGGAGTGGTGAGAGAGGGCATCCTTGTCTTGTGCTGGTTTTCAAATGGAATGCTTCCAACCTTTGTCCATTCAGTATGATTCTGGCTGTGGGTTTTTCATAAATATCTCTTATTACTTTGAGATACATTCCATCAATACCTAGTTTATTCAGAGTTTTTAACATGAAGGGATTATGAATTGTATCAAAGGCCTTTCCTGCATCTGTTGAGAAAATCGTGTGGTTTTTGTCATTGGTTCTGTTTATGTGATGGATTAAATGTATTGATTTGCATATGTTAAACCAGCCTTACATCTCAGGGATGAAGCCAACTTGATTGTGGTGTATAAGGTTTTTGATGTGCAGCTGGATTTGGTTCACCAGTATTTTATTGAAGATTTTTGCATCAATGTTCATCAAGGATATTGGCCTGAAGTTTTCTTTTTTTGTTGTGTCCCTGCTGGTCTTTTGTACCAGGATGATGCTGTCCTCATAAAATGAGTTAAGGAGGAGTCCCTCCTTTTAAGTTGTTTAGAATAGTTTCAGAAGGAATGATACCAGCTCCTCTTTGTACCTCTGGTAGAATTCAGCTGTGAGTCTGTCTGGTCCTGGGCTTTTTTTGGTTGGTAGACCATTTATTACTGCCTCAATGTCAGAACTTGTTATTGGATTCAATTCAAGGATTCAACTTCTTCCTGGTTTAGTCTTGGCAGGATGTATGTGTCCAGGAATTCATCCATTTCTTCTAAACTTTTTAGTTTATTTGCGTAGAGGTGTTTATAGTATTCTCTGACGGTAGTTTGTATTTCTCTGGGGTCAGTGGTGATATCCCCTGTATCATTTTTTATTGTGTCTATTTGATTCTTCCTTCTTTTCTTCTTTATTAGTCTAGCTGACAGTTCATCTATCTTATTAATTTTTTCAAAAAACCAGCTCCTGGATTCATTGATTCTTTGAAGGGGTTTTCATGTCTCTGTCTCCTTTGGTTCCTCTCTGATCTTAGTTATTTCTTGTCTTCTGCTAGCTTTTGAATTTGTTTGCTCTTGCTTCTCTAGTTCTTTTAATTGTTATGTTAGGGTGTCACTGTGAGATCTTTCTAGCTTTCTGATGTGGGCATTTAGTGCTATAAATTTCCCTCTTAACACTGCTTTAGCTGTATCCCAGAGATTCTGGTACATTTTCTCTTTGTTCTCATTGTTTTTAAAGAACTTCTTGATTTCTGCCTAAATTTCACTATTTACCCTAGAGTCATTCAGGAGCAGGTTGTTTAATTTCCATGTAGTTTTGTGGTTTTGTGTGGGCTTTTTAATCTTGAGTTTGTAATGCACTGTGGTCTGAGATACTATTTGTTATTATTTCAGTTTTTTTGCATTTGCTGAGGGGTGTTTTACTTCCAATTATGTGGTCAATTTTAGAGTAAGTGCCATGTGGCACTGAGAAGAATGTATATTCTGTTGTTTTTGGGTGGAGAGTTCTGTATATATCCATTAGGTCCATTTGATCCAGAGCTGAGGTCAAGTCCTGAATACCCTTGTTAATTTTCTGTCTTGTTGATCATCTAATATTGACAGTGGGGTGTTAAAGTCTCCCACTATTATTGTATAGGAGTTTAAGTCTCTTTGTAGGTCTCTAAAAACTTATTTTATGAAACTTGGTGCTCCTGTATTGTGTGTGTGTGTGTGTGTGTATATATATATATATATATATATTTAGGGTAATTAGCTCTTCTAGTTGCATTGATCTCCTTACCATTATGTAATGCCCTTCTTTGTCTTTTTTTATCTTTATTGGTTTAAAGCCTGTTCTGTCAGAAACTAGAATTGCAACCCCTGCTTCTTTCTTCTTTCCAATTGCTTGGTAAATTTTCCTCCATCCCTTTATTTTGAACCTATGTGTGTCTTTGCATGTGAAATGGGTCTCTTTAATATAGCACACCAATGGGTCTTGACTCTTTATCCAATTTGCCAGTCCTTGTCTTTTAATTGGGGCATTTAGCCAGTTTACATTTAAGGTTAATATTGTTATGTGTGAGTTTGATCCTGTCATCATGACGCTATCTGATTATTTTGCATACTCATCGATGCGTTTCTTCATAGTGTCATTGGACTTTGTATTTTAGTGTGTTTTTGCAGTGGCTGGTACCAGTTTTTTCTTTCCATATTCAGTGCTTCCTTCAGGAGCTTTTGCAAGGCAGGCCTGGTGGTGATGAATTCCCTCAGCATTTGCTTGTCTATAAAGGATTTTATTTCTCCTTCATTTATGAAGCTTAGTTTGGCCAGATATGAAATTCTGGATTGAAAATTCTTTTCTTTATGAAGTCAAATATTGGCCCCCACACTCTTCTGTCTTGTCAGGTTTCTGCTGAAAGATCTGCATCTGCTGTTAGCCTGATGGGCTTCCCTTTGTAGGTGACCTGGCCTTTCACTCTGGCTGCCCTTAACACTTTTTCCTTCATTCTGACCTTGGAGAATCTGATGATTATGTGTCTTGGGGTTGATCTTCTTGTGAAGTATCTTACTGAGGTTTTCTGTATTTCCTGAATTTGAATGTTGGCCTGCTTTGCTAGGTTGAGGAAGTTCTCCTGGATGATATCCTGAAGTGTGTTTTCTAATATTTCAATCTACCTGTCTCTTTCAGGTACTCCAATCAGTTGTAGGTTTGGTCTTTTTACATAGCCCTGTAATTCTCAGAGGTTTTATTCATTCCTTTTCATCCTTTTTTCCCTAATCTTGTTTGCCTGCCTTATTTCAGCAAATAGTCTTCAGTCTCTCATATTCTTTCCTCTGCTTGATCAATTCAGCTATTGATACTTGTATATGCTTCACAAAGTTCTTGTGCTGGGCTTTTCAGCTCCATCGGGTCATTTATGTTCCTCTCTAAACTTGTTATTCTAGTTAGCAGCTCCTGTAACCTTTTATCATGGTTCTTAGCTTCTTTGCATTGGGTTAGAACATGCTCTTTTACCTCAGAGAAGTTTGTTATTACCCACCTTCTGAAGCCTACTTCTGTCCATTCATCCATCTCATCCTCTGTCCAGTTCTGTGCCCCTGCTGGAGAGATGTTGCAGTCATTTGGAGGAGAAGGAGCACTCTGGGGTTTTCAGCATTTTTTCATTGATTCTTCTTCATCTTCATGAGTTTGTCTAGTTTCGATCTTTGAAGCTGCTGACCCTTGGATGAGGTTTTTGTGGGAACTTTTTTGTTGATGCTGTTGTTATTGCTGTTTGTTTGTTTTTCTTTCAATAGTCGAATCCCTCTTCTGTAGGGCTGCTGCAGTTTGCTGGGGGTTAACTTTAGGCCCTGTTTGTCTGGTTCACTCCCACGCCTGGAGATGTCACCTGAGGAGGCTGGAGAACAGCAAAGATGGGTGCCTGCTCCTTTCTCCGGGATCTTTGACCTCAGGTGGCACTGGCCTGATGCCAGCAGGAATGTTCCCATATAGGGTCTCTGTGACCCCTGTTGCAGGGGTTTCACCCAGTTGGGGGGATACAGAAAGCAGGACCAGTTTAACGGAGCACTTTGGCTGTCCCTTGGTGGAAGGGGTGTGATGCACTGGGGGGAAACCCACTTGTCTGGGCTGCCCAGATTCCTCAGAGCTAGCAGGAGGAAAGAATAAGTCTGCTGGCCCATGGAGACTGCGGCCACCCCTCCCCCTAGGGACTTAGGCCCAAGGAGATCAGAGTTCTGTCCTTGAGCCTCTGGCTGGAGTTGTTGGAGTTCCTGCAGGGAGTCCCAACCCAGTGAGGAGATATGGGTCAGGGTCTGGCCTGAAGAAGCAATATGGACATGGACTGCCATAGCCAGTATGCTGTACTGTGGGGAATATCTCTCACGACCAAGCTGTCCAGCCTCCCTGGCTCCAGCCAGGGTAAAGTGCAGCCTGGAGTTATAATGATGGCTGCCCTATTGATTTATTTATTATGACCAAACATATGAGCAAATTTGGAGAGCATTCCACGTAGAGGTGAGGATGTGTATTCTGTGGTTAGAATGTTCTGTAAGTGTCTATAAGATACATTTGGTCTATTATCCAGTTTATTTGAATTCAGTTTATTTGTTTGAGGTTGTTTTTAAAATGGCAGGGTCCCAGGACCCCTGTTTCCAGGCCTGAGAAAGTGCCTGCAGCTTTTCCTGGTGTCTTGCCCTCTCAGCATCTCCCAGCCTCTCCCCATGTTAGCTTCAGGGATTGGAAGAAACCAAGTGCTCTCCCTTGGCCTGGGTTGCATGGATTCCTAGTGGAAAGATGAGTCAAAGAAGGAGATTCTCTGTCTGTCTCATGTACAGTGGCTTCATGCAGTTTTATCGGCTGAACACTGTAATGAGGATTGCTTGCTCACATCCCCTTTTCCAGGATCTGGGGTGTCCTTCACTACTCTGGTGAATTTCTATTTTCCTTCTTTAATTAAAAGCTCACAGAGTTTATCTTTATGCTCATTTCACCATTTCCAAGTAACTGAGACATACTAAAAGCCAGAAGAAAGAATGTTTAAACTTGAAGACAGGTCTTTCAAAATAACCCAGTTAGACTAAAAAATAAATAAAATAAAATAAAAAAGAAGAAAGCCCACATGACACGAGACAGCATTGAACAGATTTTTGCATTTTGGAAATTCCAAAAGGAGATAAAATGGGAAAAGGCACAGAAAACCTATTTCATAAAATAACTGGAGACTTCCCAAGTATTGAGAGAGATACAGACAGCCAGATACAGGAAGCTCAAAAATTCCTAAAGAGATTCAACCCAAAAAGGTCCTCTCTGAGATACATTATAGTCAAAAATCAAAGACAAACAGAAAATTCTGAAAACAACAAGAGAAAAGTATCAAGTCATATCTATGGGAATCATTATCAGACCAACAGGAGATTTCTCATCAGAAACCTTACAGGCCAATATAGAAAGTGATGAAATATTCAAAATGCTGAAAGAAAAAAACTTGCTAACCAAGAAAACCATACCCAACAAAGCTATACTTCAGAAATGAAAGAGAAATGAAGCCTTTCCCAAACAAGCAAAAACTGAGGGAATTCTTTAGATCCACTAGATCAGTGCTACCAGTAATGATCAGGAGAATCCTACCTCTGGAAGCAAAAGGATGATATATACCAACACAAAAACATACAAAAGCATAAAATTTACTGGTAGAGCAGACACATGAAAGAGAAAGAAACCAAATATTATCACTACAGAAAACCATCAAACCACAAAGTAAACAGTAAGAGAAGAAAAGAACAAAACTATACAAACAATCCAGAAAACAATTAATAAAATGACAAGTGTAAGTCCTCACCTATGAATAATAACCTTGAATGTTAATTGTTTAACTCTTTCAATTAAAAGATACAGACTGGCTGAATGGATTTTTTAAAAATCACAAAACCAAACTATACGCTCTCTGTAAGAAAATCACCCCATCTGTAAAGACACACATAGACTGAAAGTAAATGCATGGAATAAGACATTCCACACAAACAGAAACCAAAAGTATGCAGGAATAGCTATGTTTGTATATGACAAAATAGACAGTAAGCCAAAAAGTCATAAGAAGACACAAAGGTAATTATATAATGATAAAGGGATCAACTTACCAAAATGATATAACAATTATAAATATATATGCATTCAACACTGGAACAACCAACAATATAAAGCAAATATTATTAGAGATTAAAAAGAGAGATAGGCCCAATACAATAATCGGGCTTCACTACACTTTTTAGCACTGGACAGATCACCTAGATGGAAAATCAACACAGGAACATAGGACTTAAACTGTCGTATAGAACAAATGAACCTAACAGACATTTACAGAACATTTCACCCAATAGCTGCAGATACAAATTCTTCCCATCAACCCATGGAACATTCTTCAGGACTGACTATATGTCAGGCCACAAAATTATTCTCAACTAATATTTTTAAATATCAAAATCATATAAAATATTTTCTCAGACCACAATGGAATAAAATGAGAGATCAATAACAAGAGGAACTTTTAGAACTATACAAATATATGGAAATTAAGTAACATGCTTCTGAACAACCAATGGGTCAATTAAGAAATTAAAAAAGGGCTGGGCGCGGTGGCTCATGCCTGTAATCCCAGCACTTTGGGAGGCTGAGGCAGGCAGATCACGAGGTCAGGAGATCGAGACCATCCTGGCTAACACAGTGAAACCCTGTCTCTACTAAAAATACAAAAAAAAATTAGCCGGGCATGGTGGCGGGCACCTGTAGTCCCAGCTACTCAGGAGACTGAGGTGGAGAATGGCATAAGTAAAACCCAGGGAGGCAGAGCTTGCAGTGAGCCGAGATCACACCATTGCACTCCAGCCTGGGTGACAGAGCGAGCCTCCATCTCAAAACAAAAACAAAACAAAAAAACAAAAACAAAAACACAACAAAACAAAATAAAAAAACAGAAATTAAAAAGGAAATTTTAAAACTTCTCAAAACAAATGAAAATACATACACAACATAACAAAACCTATGAGATATAGCAAAAGTAGTAGTAAGAAGGAAGTTTATGGCAGTAAGTGCCTCCATCAAAAAAGTAGAAAGGTTTTAAATAAACAACAACAGTGGAGCCAAGATGGCCGAATAGGAACAGCTTCAGTCTACAGCTCCCAGCATGAGCAACACAGAAGACAGGTGATCTCTGCATTTCCAACTGAGGTACTGGGTTCATCTCACTGGGAAGTGTCAGAAAGTGGGTGCAGGATAGTGGGTGCAGCACACCAAGCATGAGCCGAAGCAGGGTGAGGCATCGCCTCACCAGGGAAGCACAAGGGGTCAGGGAATTCCCTTTCCTAGTCAAAGAAAGGGGTGACAGACAGCACCTGGAAAATCAGGTCACTCCCACCCTAATACTGCACTTTTCCAACGGTCTTAGCAAATGGCACACCAGATCATATCCCGCGCCTGGCTCGGAGGGTCCTATGCCACGGCGCCTTGCTCATTGCTAGCACAGCAGTCTGAGATCAAACTGTAAGGTGGCAGCGAGGCTGGGGGAGGAGCGCCCGCCATTGCTGAGGCTTGAGTAGGTAATCAAAGTGGCTGGGAAGCTCTAACTGGGTGGAGCCCACCACAGCTCAAGAAGGCTTGCCTGCCTCTGTAGACACCAGCTATGGGGGCAGGGCATAGCCAAACAAAAGGCAGCAGAATCCTCTGCAGACTTAAATGTCCCTGTCTGACAGCTTTGAAGAGAGTAGTGCTTCTCCCAGCATGCAGCTAGAGATCTGAGAACAGACAGACTGCCTCCTCAAGGGGGTCCCTGACCCCCGAGTAGCCTAACTGGGAGGCACCCCCCAGTAGGGGCAGACTGACACCTCACACGGCCAGGTACTCCTCTGAGACAAAACTTCCAGAGGAACGATCAGGCAGCAACATTTGCTGCTCACCAATATCCACTGTTCTGCAGCCTCCACTGCTGATACCCAAGCAAACAGGGTCTGGAGTGGACTTCCAGCAAACTCCAACAGATCTGCAGCTGAGGGTCCTGACTATTAGAAGGAAAACTAACAAACAGAAAGGACATCCACACCAAAACCCCATCTGTACATCTCCATCATCAAAGACCAAAGGTAGATAAAAACACGAAGATGGGGAGAAACCAGAGCAGAAAAGCTGAAAATTCTAAAAATCAGAGCACCTCTCCTCCTCCAAAGGAACGCAGCTCCTCACCAGCAATGGAAAAAAGCTGGATGGAGAATGACTTTGATGAGTTGAGAGAAGAAGGCTTCAGATGATCAAACTACTCCGAGCTAAAGGAGGAAGTTCGAACCCATGGCAAAGAAGTTAAAAACCTTGAAAAAAAATTAGACTAATGGCTAACTAGAATAACCAATGCAGAGAAGTCCTTAAAGGACCTGATGGAGCTGAAAACCATGGCATAAGAACTACATGACAAATGCACAAGCCTCAGTAGCCGATTGGATCAACAGGAAGAAAGGGTATCAGTGATGGAAGATCAAATGAATGAAATGAAGCGAGAAGAGAAATTTAGAGAAAAAAGATTAAAAAGAAATGAACAAAGCCTCCAAGAAATAAGGGACTATGTGAGAAGACAAAATCTACATCTGATTGGTGTACCTGAAAGTGACGGGCAGAATGGAACCAAGTTGGAAAACATTCTGCAGGATATTATGAAGGAGAACTTCCCCTATCTAGTAAGGCAGGCCAATACTCAACTTCAGGAAATACAGAGAATGCCACAAAGATGCTCCTCGAAAAGAACAACTCCAAGACACATAATAGTCAGATTCACCAAAGTTGAAATGAAGGAAAAAATGTTAAGGACAGCCAGAGAGAAAGGTCGGGTTACCCACAAAGGGAAGCCCATCAGACTAACAGCAGATCTCTTGGGAGAAACTCTACAAGCCAAAAGAGAGTGGGGGCCCATCTTCAACATTCTTAAAGAAAAGAATTTTCAACCCAGAATTTCATATCCAGTCAAACTAAGCTTCATAAGTGAAGGAGAAATAAAATACAGACAAGCAAATGCTGAGAGATTTTGTCACCACCAGGCCTGCCCTACAAGAGCTCCTGAAGGAAGCACTAAACATAGAAAGGAGCAACCGGTACCAGCCACTGCAAAAACATGCCAAATTGTAAACACCATCGATGCTAGGAAGAAACTGCATCAAATAACGAGCAAAAGAACCAGCTAACATCATAATGACAGGATCAAATTCACACATAACAATATTAACCTTAAATGTAAACGGGCTAAATGCTCCAATTAAAAGACACAGACTGGCAAATTGGATAAAGAGTCAAGACCCATCAGTGTTCTGTATTCAGGAAACCCATCTCATGTGCAGAGACACACACAGGCTCAAAATAAAGGGATGGAGGAAGATCTACCAAGCAAATGGAAAACAAAAAAAAGCAGAGGTTGCAATCCTAGTCTCTGATAAAACAGACTTTAAGCCAATAAAGATCAAAAGAGACAAAGAAGGCCATTACATAATGGTAAAGGGATCAATTCAACAAGAAGAGCTAACTCTCCTAAATATATATGCACCCAATACAGGAGCACCCAGATTCATAAAGCAAGTCCTTAGAGACCTACAAACAGACTTAGACTCCCACACAATAATAATGGGAGACTTTAACACCCCACTGTCAACATTAGACAGATCCACGAGACAGAAAGTTAACAAGGATATCCAGGAATTGAACTCAGCTTTGCACCAAGCGGACCTAGTAGACATCTACAGAACCCTCCACCCCAAATCAACAGAATATACATTCTTCTCAGCACCACATCCCACTTATTCCAAAATTGACCACATAGTTGGAAGTAAAGCACTCCTCAGCAAATGTAAAAGAACAGAAATTATAACAAACTGTCTCTCAGACCACAGTGCAATCAAACTAGAACTCAGGATTAAGAAACTCACTCAAGGCCGGGCGCGGTGGCTCACGCTTGTAATCCCAGCACTTTGGGAGGCCGAGGCGGGCGGATCACGAGGTCAGGAGATCGAGACCATCCTGGCTAACACGATGAAACCCCGTCTCTACTAAAAAAATGCAAAAAAAATTAGCTGGGCGTGATGGCGGGCGCCTGTAGTCCCAGCTACTCAGGAGGCTGAGGCAGGAGAATGGCGTGAACCCGGGAGGCGGAGCTTGCAGTGAGCCGAGATTGAGCCACTGCACTCCCGCCTGGGCCACAGAGTGAGACTCCGTCTCAAAAAAAAAAAAAAAAAAAAAGAAACTCACTCAAAACCGCTCAACTACATGGAAACTGAACAACCTACTCCTGAATGACTACTGGGTACATAACGAAATGAAGGCAGAAATAAAGATGTTCTTTGAAACCAACGAGAACAAAGACACAACATATCAGAATCTCTGGAACACATTTAAAGCAGTGTGTAGAGGGAAATTTATAGCACTAAATGCCCACAAGAGAAAGCAGGAAAGATCTAAAATTGACACCCTAGCATCACAATTAAAAGAACTAGAGAAGCAAAAGCAAACACATTCAAAAGCTAGCAACAGGCAAGAAATAACTAAGATCAGAGCAGAACCGAAGGAAATAGAGACACAAAAAACCCTTCAAAAAAATCAATGAATCCAGGAGCTGGTTCTTTGAAAAGATCAACAAAATTGATAGACTGATAGCAAGAATAATAAAGAAGAAAAGAGAGAAGAATCAAATAGACACAATAAAAAATGATAAAAGGGATATCACCACGGACCCCACAGAAATACAAGCTAACATCAGAGAAAACTATAAACACCTCTATGCAAATAAACTAGAAAATCTAGAAGAAATGGATAAATTCCTTGACACATACACCCTCCCAAGACTAAACCAGGAAGAAGTTGAATCCCTGAATGGACCAATAACAGGCTCTGAAATTGAGGCAATAATTAATAGCTTACCAACCAAAAAAAGTCCAGGACCAGATGGATTCACAGCCGAATTCTAACAGAGGTACAAGGAGGAGTTGGTACCATTCCTTCTGAAGCTATTCCAATCAATAGAAAAAGAAGGAATCCTCCCTAACTCATTTTATGAGGCCAGCATCATCCTGATACAAAAGCCTGGCAGAGACGCAACAAAAAAGAGAATTTTAGACCAATATCCCTGATGAACATCGATGCAAAAATCCTCAATAAGATACTGGAAAACCAAATCCAGCAGCACATCAAAAAGCTTACCCACCATGATCAAGTGGGCTTCATCCCTGGGATGCAAGGCTGGTTCAATGTATGCAAATCAATAAATGTAATCCAGCATATAAATAGAACCAATGACAAAAACCGTACGATTATCTCAATACATGCAGGAAAGGCCTTTGACAAAATTCAACAACACTTCATGCTAAAAACTCTCAATATATTAGGTATTGATGGGACGTATCTCAAAATAATAAGAGCTATCTATGACAAACCCACAGCCAATATCATACTGAATGGGCAAAAACTGGAAGCATTCCCTTTGAAAACTGGCACAGGACAGGGATGCCCTCTCTCACCACTCCTATTCAACATAGTGTTAGAAGTTCTGGCCAGGGCAATCAGGCAGGAGAAGGAAATAAAGGGCATTCAATTAGGAAAAGAGGAAGTCAAATTGTCCCTGTTTGCAGATAACATGATTGTATATCTAGAAAACCCCATCGTCTCAGCCCAAAATCTCTTTAAGCTGATAGGCAACTTCAGCAAAGTCTCAGGATACAAAATCAATGTGGAAAAATCACAAGCATTCTTATACACCAATAACAGACAAACAGAGAGCCAAATCATGAGTGAACTCCCATTCACAATTGTTTCAAAGAGAATAAAATACCTAGGAATCCAACTTACAAGGGACGTGAAGGACCTCTTCAAGGAGAACTACAAACCACTGCTCAATGAAATAAAAGAGGAAACAAACAAATGGAAGAACATTCCATGCTCATGGGTAGGAAGAATCAATATCATGAAAATGGCCATACTGCCCAAGGTAATTTATAGATTCAATGCCATCCTCATCAAGCTACCAATGACTTTCTTCACAGAATTGGAAAAAAACTACTTTAAAGTTCATATGGAACCAAAAAGAGCCCACGTTGCCAAGTCAATCCTAAGCCAAAAGAACAAAGCTGGAGGCACCACGCTACGTGACTTCAAACTATACTACAAGGCTACAGTAACCAAAACAGCATGGTACTGGTACCAAAACAGAGATATAGATCAATGGAACAGAACAGAGCCCTCAGAAATAATGCCGCATATCTACATCCATCTGATCTTTGACAAACCTGAACAAAAACAAGAAATGGGGAAAGGATTCCCTATTTAATAAATGGTGCTGGGAAAACTGGCTAGCCATATGTAGAAAGCTGAAACTGGATCCCTTCCTTCCACCTTATACAAATATTAATTCAACATGATTAAAGACTTAAATGTTAGACCTAAAACCATAAAAACCCTAGAAGAAAACCTAGGCAATACCATTTAGGACATAGGCATGGGCAAGGACTTCATGTCTAAAACACCAAAAGCAATGGCAACAAAAGCCAAAATTGACAAATGGGATCTAGTTAAATTAAAGAGCTTCTGCACAGCAAAAGAAACTGCCATCAGAGTGAACAGGCAACCTACAGAATGGGAGAAAATTTTTGCAATCTACTCATCTGACAAAGGGCTAATATCCAGAATCTACAATGAACTCAAACAAATTTACAAGAAAAAAACAAACAACCCCATGAAAAGTGGGCAAAGGAAATGAACAGACACTTCTCAAAAGAAGACATTTATGCAGCCAACAGACACATGAAAAAACGCTCATCATCACTGGCCATCAGAGAAATGCAAATCAAAACCACAATGAGATACCATCTCACACCAGTTAGAATGGTGATCATTAAAAAGTCAGGAAACAACAGGTGCTGGAGAGGATGTGGAAAAATAGGGACACTTTTACACTGTTGGTGGGACTGTAAACTAGTTCAACCATTGTGGAAGTCGGTGTGGCAATTCATCAGGGATCTAGAACTAGAAATACCATTTGACACAGCAATCCCATTACTGGGTATATACCCAAAGGATTATAAATCATGCTGCTATGAAGACACATGCACACGTATGTTTATTGCGGCACTATTCACAATAGCAAAGACTTGGAACCAACCCAAATGTCCAACAATGATAGACTGGATTAAGAAAATGTGGCACATATACACCATGGAATACTATGCAGCCATAAAAAGTGATGAGTTCATGTCCTTTGTAGGGACATGGATGAAGCTGGAAACCATCATTCTTAGCAAACTACCAAGGACAAAATACCAAACACTCCATGTTCTCACTCATAGGTGGGAACTGAACAATGAGACCACATAGACACAGGAAGGGGAAAATCACACACTGGGACCTGTTGTGGGGTGGGGGAGGGGGGAGGGATAGCATTAGGAGATATACCTAATGTTAAATGACGAGTTAATGGGTGCAGCACACCAACATGGCATATGTATACATATGTAACTAACCTGCACGTTGTGCATATGTACCCTAAAACTTAAAGTATAATAAAATAAATAAATAAATAAACAACAACACACTTCAAGGAAATAGAAATGCAAGAACAAACCAAACCCCAAATTAGTAGAAGGAAATAAATAATAAAGATCAAAACAGAACTAAACAAAATAAAGACTTAAAAGATCTTTAAGATCAACAAAACAAAAGTTTTGTTTTTTGAAAAGATATATAAAATTGACAATCCCCTGGCTAGTCTAAGAAAAAAACAGAAAAAAATAAACAAAATTGGAAACTAAAAGGGAGATATTACAACTGATACCACAGAAACTCAAACAATCATTAAAGACAATTATGAACAACTGTATGTCAAACTATTGGAAAATCTAGAGAAAATAGATAAATTCCTGGATACCTATAACCCACTAAGATTGAACCAGGAAGAATAGAAAACCTGAACAGACCATTAATGAGTAGGATACCTGTAACCTACCAAGATTGAACCAGAAAGAATAGATAACCTGAACAGACCAATAACAAGTAATAAGATCAAATCAGTAACATAATTCCCCCCTAAAAAATAAGTCCAGAATCAGATGGCTTTATTGCTGAATTCTACCAAACTCACAAGAAACTAACACCAGTTCTCCTCAAACTATTCTAAAAAAAAAAACGAAGAGAAGGGAATTCACCCTATCTCATCCTATGAGGCCAGCATTACCCTGACATCACAACTAGACAAGGATGCAACCAGAAAGAAACTACAGGGCAATATCCATGATGAACATAGATGCAAAAATCTGCAATGAAATCAATCCAATAATACATTAAAAAGATAATATACAATGAGCAAATGACTTTTATCCCAGGGATGCAAGGATGGTTCCACATACATAAATTAATAAATGTAATACATAATGTAAACAGAATGAAGGGCAAAAGCCATATAATCATCTCAATAGATGGAAAAGCATTTGAAAAATTCAACATCCCTTCATGGTAAAAACTTTCAACAAATTAGGAACAAAAGGCATATATCATAACACAATAGAGGCCATATATGACAAACCAACAGCTAACATCATACTGAATGGGAAAAAGTTGAATGCCTTTCCTGTAAGAACTGGGGCAAGACAAAGATGCCCACTTTACCTTTCTTACTCAAAATAATGCTGGAAGTCCTAGCCAGAGCAATTAGGTGAGAGAAAGAAATAAAGGGCATCAAAATTAGAAAAGAGAAAGTTAAATGGTCCCTTTTTGCAGATGACATAATCTTATATATAGAAAAACCTAAAGATTTCATCAAAAAACTCTTATAACTGATAAAGTCAGTAAAGTTGCAGAATACAAAATTAGCATACCAAAATCAATAGTATTTCTATACACCAATAATGAAACAGCTGAAAAAGAAATCAAGAAATCAATCCCATTTGCAGTACCTGCAAAAAAAGGAAAATACCCTAGAAATAAATGTAACTATGAAAGTGAAGGATTTCTGCGATGAAAACTATAAAACACTGATGAAATAAATTGAAGGGGAAATAAACAAATGGAAAGACATCCCATGTTCATGGATTGAAAGAATTAATATTGTTATAACAACTGTACTACCCAAAGCAATCTACAGATACAAAGCAATCCCTATAAAAATATTAATTATGTTCTTCACAGAAATAGAAAAAAAAAACCTAAAGTTCATATGGAACTACAAAAGACCCAGAATAATCAAAGCAACACTAAGAATGAAGAACAAAACTAGAGACATCACACCACCTGACTTCAAAATATATTACAAAACTATAATAACTAAAACAACATGGTATTTTGTATAAAAACAGACATACAGACCAATGAAACAAAACAGGAAACCCACAAATAAATCCACATTATTTACAGCCAACATGTTTTTGACAAAGGCA
Source organism: Homo sapiens (assembly GCF_000001405.40). Taxonomy (NCBI): domain Eukaryota; kingdom Metazoa; phylum Chordata; class Mammalia; order Primates; family Hominidae; genus Homo; species Homo sapiens. Next base: position 93,065,642 of record NC_000007.14, on the reverse strand, counting down.
CCAAGAACATATACATTTGTGAAAGGACAGCCTTTTCAATAAATGATGCTAGGAAAACTGGGTATCCCTATACAGAAGAATGAAACTAGACCACCATTTCTCACCATATATGAAAATCAACTGAAAATGGATTAAAGACTTAAATGTAATATTCAAAAATATAAAACTACTAGAAGAAAACATAGGTGAAACACTTCAGGACAGTGGCCTAGACAAATATTTTATGAGTAAGACTTCAAAAGCGCAGGCAACCAAAAAAAAAAATAGATAAATAGGACTATATCAAGTGTAAAGGCTTCTGCATAAAAAAACAAAATAATCAAATAGAGTGAAGAGATAACCTAAAATGGGAGAAAATATTTGCAAACTATTTACCCAACAAGAGTCTAATATCCAGAACATACAAGGAACTAAAGAAGTTCAATAGGCCAGGCACAGTGGCTCACGCCTGTAATCCCAGCATGTTGGGAGGCCGAGGTGGGCGGATCACGAGGTCAGGAGATTGAGACCATCCTGGCTAACACAGTGAAACCCCGTCTCTACTAAAAATACAAAAAAATTAGCCAGATGTGATGGTGGGCGCCTGTAGTCCCAGCTACTCGGGAGGCTGAGGCAGGAGAATGGCGTGAACCTGGGAGGCGGAGCTTGCAGTGAGCCGAGATAGCGCCACTGCACTCCAGCCTGGGCGATGGAATGTGACTCCGCCTAAAAAAAAAAAAAAAAGAAAAGAAAGAAAGAAATTCGATAACAAAACAAATCTGATTAATGGGCAAAGCATCTAAATAGATATTTTTCAAAACAAGATATGCAGATGCCTAAGAAGTATATGAAAAATACTCAACATCACTAATTATCAGATTAATGTAAATCAAAACCACAATGAGGTCATATCTCACCCCATTTAGAATGGCTCTTATCAAAAAGACAAAAAAAAATGAATGCTGGTGAGGATGTGGAGAAAAGAGAATCCTTATACACTGTTGCTGGTAATGTAAATTAGTAGAGCCATTATGGAAAGTAGTATGGAGTCTTCTCAAAAAGATAAAAATAGTATTACCATATAATCCAGCAATTCCATGACTGTGTATTTATCCAAAGGAGAGAAAGTCAGTATATGGAAGAAATATCTACACCCTCATGTTCATTGAAACATTAGCCATGATAGCCAAGATATGGAATCAACCTAAATGTGCATCAATAGATGAACGGATCCAGTTAATGTGGTATATACATATAATGGAATACTATTCAGTCATAAAAAGTAATATAATCCTGTTATTCATGGCTATGTGGATGACCCTGGAGGACATTATGATAAATGAAGTAAGTCAGGCGCAGAAAGATAAACACCACATGTTCTCAGTCATATGTGGAAGCTTTAAAAAGTTGAGCTAATAGAAATAGGGAGTAGAATTGTGGTTGTTACAGGCTGGAAAGGATAGGGTGGAGGGGGGGATAGGAAGAGAGTTAACAGATACAAAATTACAGCTGGATAGGAGGAATAAGTTCTAGTGTTCTATAGCACTGATGGGCAAATATGGTTAACTGTAATGTAATCTACTGTACATTTTCAAAAAGCTAGAAGAGAGAATTTTGAATCTTTCCAAAACAAAGAAATGATAAATGTCTAAGGTGATGAGTATGCTAATTACCCTGATATGATCATTACACATTGTTTACATGTATTGAGATATCACTCTGTATCCCATAAATATGTACAATTATTACATGTCAACTAAAAATAAAAGGGAGAAAAATAATCTCTACTTGAGGAGAATTAAATAAATTATTAGGTTAAAAAAAATTTATGCTGAAAGAAAAAATACTATATCCAGAATTCTATATCTAGAATTCTATATCCAGTAAAAAAAAAAAATAATTCCTCAAAAATGTATCCAGAAAGATATATTTTCTGGTAAATAAAATCTAAAATAATCCATAGCCAGCAGATTCAAAACTAAAAAAAAAGGGCTAAGAGAATTCTTCAGTCTAAAGTGAAATAATACCAAATGGAAATTTTGATCTACAGAACGATACAGAGAGCACCACAAATAATTTTTAAAATAGGTAATAGAGAATTTTAAAATATAAAATATTTTTTAAAGAAAATTACTTTTTCTAGCAAATACAATGACTAAAATACTGTGAGGTTTATAACATGTAAAAGCAAAACATAAAACAACAATAGTGCCAGGAGAAAATTCTCCATGGGTTTCTTGTGTTTCTGAAGCTGTTCTGAGAAGTGGCACTGACTTTGTTTGATCCAGAATATCTTCTTGAGATTATTTTTACAGTGAACAGTTTTGGAAATAGTGTCTCCCTCAGGAGGCTTGCTAACCATTATAAAAGATTCAGATTTCCTACACTTGGGATTGCTCTCCTAGAATGCAACCGACAGCATGTGCAAGTGTTACCTGGTCTTTTTCATGTTGCCCTTTAGGAATTGGAGTCTTAAGTCTTCCACTATGGTCTGTGAAACTACAGCAAGCTAACTTGTTAGCTTGCAAGTAATGTAAAATTTCAGACCCTCCACAGTGCTTGACACACAGCAAGAGTTGCACTGAAACAAAAGCTATGGTTGCTGCTCAAGCCACTTGAACATCTGTGTCAAAGGTCAGCAGGTAAGAGAGGAGTTACAGCAATGGGTATTGACCCTGCCATCAGGAGAGGTGAAGCTGCTGTTATACAGTGATAGCAGAGAAGAATGTTTTGCATGTAAGTGATATCTTTGGGTGAATCAGTACCCTGTTGCCAATTTTGACAGTAGATGAACGATTGCAGCAGTCACGGCCTGAGAAGGGCATGGTAACCAAGGATTCAGAACCCTCAAGGTTTAAGGTTTTGTAACACTGAGTTAGCCACCAAGACCAGCAGAGATGCTAGATGAGGGTGAGAAAATCTAGAATAGAGAGCAGAGAGGCAAGATTACGAGTATCAGTTTCAGTCCTAAGAATGCCTACATTGCAAGGGTTGTAGTTTGTCCCATTCGCTTTCCTCCTACTGGTTTCTAAAAGAGGTCTTCCAGAATCCTAGAAGATCTGCTCCTCAAATGAAGAAATAAATCCAAGCAGCTCAAGAGGTGGGCTGTAGTGAATGTTGTGATGTACCGCTGAAATCCCTTTGGGATCAAAGAGCTTATTTTCCCAGAAGCTGGGTGTGCTGCCAGAATAAATTATTTATTTCAGCTGAAAAGAGCCTGTATCCAATAATTGATATGGAATATAAAGGCTATGCCCCCCTCATCCCGACTCTGAACAACTCTCAGTAACCACCTTGTCTTCATTTTCCCATATGGTCAACTGAGGCTTTGTTGAGACTGAATTGCAGCCCAGCTTCTCCCTCTGCTCAATCTTGCTTTCGCTCCTTCCCTTCCACATGTGTTGATCCCAATCACCCTCCTTAACAAACTCCCTTCTATCAGAGTCTCAAAGTCTGCTTCCTGGAGGGCTGAACCTGCAAAATAGACCAATGGGACAGATTCACCAGACCATAAACCAAGCCTCACATATATATGGATTATTGATTTATGAGAAAGGTGGAATAGCAGAACAGATTTTCCAATAAGTCATAAAAGGTAAATTTGTTATCCATATGGAAAAAGTGAAATTGAACACTATATCACACTCCCTACACAAAAATCATTTCCAGGTGATTTAAAGATCTAAATGAAAAAGGTAAAATGCCAAAGATTTTAGGAGAATCATCATGAATCTGGGGTACATAAGGATTTCTTAAGCACCTCACAAAAAGCACTAAAGAGAAATATTTGTTATTTAAAATTAGGAATTTCTATACATTAAAAAAATCACATAAGAATACAGAGACAAGCCACAGAGAAGATATGAACAACCTATAACCAACAACTGTCCAGAGGCCAGATTATATAAAGAATACCTACAAATAAATGAGGATGAGGAAGATAAGCCAATTTTTAAAATTGATCAACCTGGCCAACAAAGACTTGTAAAAGTGATTAACCCCATTAGCTAATAATGAAATACTAATTAAAACTCTGATGAAATATAATTAATTAGATTGGCAAAGATAATTTATGTAATTTTAACTTTTATTTTAGATCAGGAGGTACATGTGCAGGTTTGTTACATGGGTATATTGCCTGACACTGAGGTTTGGGGTACAAATGATCCTGTCACCCAAGTAGTGAGCATAGCACCCACTCGGTAGTTTTTCAACCCTTGTTGCACTCCCTGCTACCCTCAGCCCATGGACCCCAGCGTCTATTGTTCCTTTCTTTATGTCCATGTTTACCCAATGTTTAGCTCCAACTTAGAAGTGAGAATATGCACTATTTGGTTTTCTGTTCCTACGTTAATTCTCTTAAAAGGATGGCCTCCAGCTACATCCATGTTGCTGCAAAGTACACAATTTCACTGTTTTTATGGCTGTGTAGTATTCCATGGTGTATATGTACCACATTTTCCTTATTCAGTCCACCACTGTTGGGCTCCTAGGTTGATTCCATGTTTTTGCTGTTGTGAATAGTGCTGCAATGAACATATATGTGCATGTGTCATTTTTGTAGAATGACTTGTTTTCCTTTGGGTATATACCCAGTAATGCGATTGCTGAGTCAAACGATAGTTCTGCTTTAAGGTCTTTGAGAAATCTCCAAACTATTTTCCATAGAGCTGAACTAATTTACATCCCCACCAACACTGTGTTTAAGTGTTCCCTTTTCGCTACAGCCTCACCGGCATCTGTTCTTTTTTGACTTTTTAAGTAATAGCCATTCTGAGTAGTGTGAGATGGTATCTCGTTGTGGTTTTGATATGCATTTCTCTGATAATTAGTGATGTTGAGCATTTTCTCATGTTTGTTGTATGTCTTCTTTTGAGAAGCATCTGTTCATGTCCTTTGTAGATTGGCAAAATAGTTTTGTTTTTTTGTTTGTTTGTTTGTTTTGAGATGAAGTCTTGCTCTGTCACCCAGGCTGGAGTGCAGTGGCGCGATCTCGGCTCACTGCAACCTCCACCTCCTGTGTTCAAGCAATTCTCCTGCCTCAGCCTCCCGAGTAGCTGGGATTACAGGTGCACACCACCAAGCCCAGCTAATTTTTGCATTTTTTAGTAGAGACGGGGTCTCACCATGTTGGTCAGGCTGGTCTCCATCTCCTGACCTTGTGATCCACCCGCCTCAGCCTCCCAAAGTGCTAGGATTACAGGCGTGAGCCACCGTGCCTGGAGCAAAATATTTTTAAGCTGGTGATATTTAGCGCTGGTGCAGATATACAGCATCGGGAAGCCTCCCACTCTGATGATGGCAGTGTAAATTGATACAATCACTCTAGAAAACAGAATGGTAGTATTGTATAAGTTTGAAGATAAATATACTTTATCAGCCAGCAATTTCTCTCCCAACAATATAACCCAGAGCAGGGTTTGTCAAGCTCAGCACTATTGACTTTATAGGTGTGTTAATTCTTTGTCATGGGTGGCTGTCCTGTGCGTTGTAGATCGTTTAGCAGGACTCCAACTTCTACCTACTAGATGCCAGTAGCACTTGCCAGTTGTTACAATAAGAAAAGTCTCAAAACGTTGACCAATGTCTCCTAGGAAGCAAAATCTCCTTAGGTGAGAACGAGTCTCCTGTAGCATCATTTCTAATTGCCGAAATCACAAAACAATCCAAGTGCTAATCAAAGATGAAATAAATTATTATAGTGTAGAACATACAAGCTCTAGTTACTTATATAGCAATTAAAATTTTTAAAATTAGATTCATTAACAATATAGGCCTTACAAACATTATATTGAGTGAAAAAAACACCTGTGTTTTTACACAGAAGAATATACATTATGATCCCATATATATTATATATAAGAAAAAAAACAAAACTGTATGTTGTAGGGAACTTTACATGGGCAGGAAGTAATGGAAAGCAGGGAAATGACTACCATTAAGGTAAATCTTCCTACAGGGGTAGGCATACTGGGAAAAACAGGACGTTCGTATTTTCTTGGTATTGAAATGTTCTATTCTTGATTCAGCTAGTAGTGAGATGAGTAGTATCTTTATAACTATTTTAAAACTATATATATAAGTGTAGTACTCTTTTCAGTATGTATATTTTGAAATTTTAAAAGAAACGTTTAAATAGAAATCCTGTCTTGACTCATTTCTCCAAATAGCATATCCATGCCTTTCCTCACCTTTACAGCCCTTTATTGAAAAACTCCAAAAACTTACTGAAATTCACTGTCTGTCTTCCTTCTTTTCATTCTCTTTTGAACACGCTTTAATCTATAACCACTATTGCTCCATTGGAAATATTGCTATAAGATTGCTTCTCAGCAGCATTTAACACAAATGATCACTTCCTCCTTCCTGAAATATTTTCTCCACTTGGCTATCAAGACACCTCACTCTCTCGATTTTCTCCCAACCTCACTGGCTGCTCATCCTTAGATTACTTTGCTTGTCCCTCCTTATCTTTAAGAGCTTTTGCTGCCACAGAAGCTGCAGCAAGTAAACTGGAAGATCTTCCTAAGATAACTGATGAAGGTGGCCACACTGAACAACAGATTTTCAATGTAGATGAAACAGCCTTCAAAAAGTCCATCCCTGGCTTCAAAGCTTCAAAAGACAGGCTGACTCTCTCTTTTTTTTTTTTTTTTTTTTTTTTTTTTTTTTTGAGACGGAGTCTCGCTCTGTCGCCCAGGCTGGACTGCGGACTGCAGTGGCGCAATCTCGGCTCACTGCAAGCTCCGCTTCCCGGGTTCACGCCATTCTCCTGCCTCAGCCTCCCGAGTAGCTGGGACTACAGGCGCCCGCCACCGCGCCCGGCTAATTTTTTGTATTTTTAGTAGAGACGGGGTTTCACCTTGTTAGCCAGGATGGTCTCGATCTCCTGACCTCATGATCCACCCGCCTCGGCCTCCCAAAGTGCTGGGATTACAGGCGTGAGCCACCGCGCCTGGCCGACAGGCTGACTCTCTTTTTAGGGTTTGATGCAGCTAGTGACTTGAAGTTGAAGCCAACGCTCATTTACCATTCCAACAACCCTAGAGCCCTTAAGAATTGTACTGTATCTACTCTGTCTGGGCTTTATAAATTGAACAGCAAAGTCTGAATGGCTGCACATCTGTTTATAGCATGGTTTGCTGAATAATTTTAAGCCTACTATTGAAACCTACTGCTCAGAATACAAAATTTCTTTCAAAACGTTACTGCTTATTGACAATGCACCTAGCCACCCAAGAGCTCTGATGGAGATATGCAAGGAGATTAGTGCTGTTTTCATGCCTAACACAACAGTCAGTCTGCAGCCCACAGATCAAGGACTAATTTTGACTTTCAAGTCATATTATTTAAGAAATATATTTTGTAGGGCTGTAACAGTCATAGATAGCGATTCCTCTAATGGAGCTGGGCAAAGCGATTTGAAACCTTCTGGAAAGAATTCACCATTCTAGATGCCACTAAGAAAGAATATATGTTATTCATGGGAGGAAGCTGAAATACCGGCATTAACAGGAATTTGGAAGAAGTTGATTCCAACCCTCATAGATGACTGAGGGGCTCAAAACTTCAGTGGAGGAAGTAACTGCCGATGGGGTGGAAACAGCAAGAAAACTAGATTTAGAAGTGGAGCCTGAAATGTGACTGAATTGCTATAAACTTATGATGAAACAGTTGAGGAGTCACTTCTTATGGATGAGCCAAAAAGTGGTTTCTTGAGATAGAATCTACTCCTGGTGAAGATGCTGTGAACACTGTCGAAATAACAACAAAGGATTTAGAATATTATTATACATAAAGTTAGTTGATAAAACAGCAGCTGGTTTAAAAGGATTGACCCAAATTTTGAAAGAAGTTCTACTGTGGGTAAAATGCTATCAAAGAGCATTGCAAGACAGAAATTTTTCATAAAAGGAATAGTCAATGGATGTAGCAAACTTCATTATCCTATTTTAACAAATTGCTACAGCCACCCCACCCTTCAACAGCCACCACTCTGAAGAGTCAGCAGCCATCAACATCGAGGCAAGACCCTCCACCAGTAAAATGATTACAATTCACTGAAGATTCGGATGGTTGCTGGCATTGTTTAGCAATAAAGTATTTTAATTTAAGTATATACATTGGTTTTTAGACAGAATGCTACTGTCTAAACCTGCACTATCTCTGAGGTATGCCTGTAATTGAAAAAGAAGCTCAAATATATTTCATCAAAATATGTTTTTAGTATTTAAAGTTTTAATATTTATGCTTAATACTTATCAAAATAATTATTATCTTGCTTTGACTAATTTTATACTACTAATAATAGTGCTAATAACTCAATACAGAATAAAATGTTTTACCTTTCAGTCTTTTAATCACAGAGAAAAAATGTTTTTTAAAATTTTGATTTATAGTCTATTATGGAGAAATATGAAGATGATTGAGAAAATATTTTCATACATTAAAGGAATGCATTGGGATAAAACTCTGTGGAGTGAAATGGAAATGTGAGTGTAAGGAGAAAAAGGAACAATGTAAAATTTGACTATTCCAATAGAGCATCTTCATGTTTCTTTATACTGATGGTGGTGCTGCCTCAATATCTGAACCACTGTATTTTAAAATATTAATATTTTAATAAAGCAAAAACTACATCATTTTCTACTATTGAAATTTAAAGTAAAAAATTTTTAATGTTATCCTGAAAATGTTCAAGGAGGCCAGGCACAGTGGCTCACACTTGTAATCTCAGGACTTTGGGAGGCCGAGGCAGGAGGATCACTTGACCTCCCAGGAGGTCAGGAGTTCAAGACCAGCCTGGGCAACATAGCAAGACCCCATCTCTACAAAAAATGTTTTTAAAAATTAGCTGGGTGTGATGGCATGTAGCTGTAGTCCTAGCTACTTGGGAGGCTCAGGTGGGAGGATCACTTGAACCCAGGAGTTTGAGGTTGCAGTGAGCTGTGATCACACCACTGCACTCCAACCTGGACAACATAGCAAGACCCTGTCTCTAAAATAAAATGTTTAAGGAATTACATAGTTTTTCAAGATTATTTTAGGAGATGCATAAGCAAATGAGTCACTTTACAGAAATTCTCACATATGTGTACATGAAGAAATGTAAAATAACATCATTCTAACATTGCTTGATGAAAGGAAAACTTGGGGAAAATACTCAATGTCCATCAACAGAAGAATAAGTTGGAAAAAATGTACATATATAATATTCCTATACAGGTATTAAAATGATCAGCCAGAAGTAGATGAATCAACATGAATGAATATCAAAAATATAATGTTAATGCAGCAGATATATTATTTATATAAACATTTTTTAATTTAAAACTGCTGAAATATATTGTTTAATTAGAAAATACAGAATAAAACCTTAAACCATGTATGGAATTAATAACCATCAAACTGATGAGAAAGATGAACTCTGGAGACAGAGGGAAATAGAATTGAGAAGAAATATACAGTCTTCAACTAAATCTGTAATGTTTTCTCCTTTTAAAAAATCTGAAGCACTTATAGCAGAAAGTTAGGTTTATTAAAATTTCATAAAGCTAAGGTGCGGGCACATAGGTCATCATATACTCATTTGTATATTTGAACTATTTCATAATAAAAATAGTATGAGATAAAATATAAAAGAAAACAGTGATACAATATATCCTAAAATGACAAAAGAAAGAATTTAAAAAATCAATCCAACAGATTATAGGGACAAAATACAAAGAAAAAAAAGGTGAATTAAAAACACAAAATAAGGTGGTGGAATATATCAGTGATTAATTAGAATTAGATCTGAGTTTAAATGTTGCCTCAGACAATGGCAGTAACACATAGAATCCATTAGATGGCAGTGTTACTTTATATTTATTCTCATTTTTCAGCACGGTGGGTTCACGACTCAATGGCATTCAACGAATTAGATTTCAGACTCAATTAGATGCCGTTTTAGGTTTGACTCAAACATCTAATAATGAGTAAATAATAATACCTATAGTAACATTTTTAATGTGCAATACAAATATAAATTTTTATTACACAATAATTTTTAAAATCTCTTTCTGCATATTTTCCATTAATTATTCTTTAACTTGCTAAAGCAATTTTGTGTTATTCTATAGGCCCTTCAAGAGGCAGGCAAGACAGAAAGCATTTCCTATTGCTTTGGGAAAAAAATAGGGTCTCTAAATTGTCTCTATACACATTTGCAATAAAGTTTGTGGCTCTTAGAAATACAGCCCTGTGACGTAAGCAATACATGGAATTAAAAGAGATCTTGAAAAACCATCTATTCTAACCCCCAGCATCTTGAAAATTGACAAATGGGGAACTAGTCTATTTTTAAAGATTTCAAGGAAGGAAATCATCAGTCAGAAAGTTCTTCTTCCCATCTAACCTAAATCCCTCCTGATGAAGTGTAATCCCATTTCCTGTAGTGTGGACCTTTCCAGTGAGGTTGAAGGACATCTGCGGTCCACAATCCTCATCTAAAGAATAACCCTTCACATCCCAGAATACGTGCATATTAGGCTCTTATGAACTATAACATGGATCTCAACAAGGCAGGTGTCTATGAGCAACTGTCAGTAAATTACTAATAGCCCAAATGTTATCATTAAGAGACTACCTCACAAAAGCCTGTTGTAAAGAGAGCCAACCTTGAAACAAACGGTTATGGAGTTATGACCTTGAAGTAAAGAGAGATGGGTTCTTATCTCCAGTAGCATTTTAGGTTACTTTAGGGGGTTCCATTAAATATAATCATGATTAAACACCTACTATGAGCAGGGTGCTTTCATTTTTTTTTTTTTTTTTTTTTTTTCTTAGGCAGGATCTCACTCTGTCACCCAGGCTGGAGTGCCACTGCACGATCATGGCTCACTGCAGCCTCAACCTCCTGGACTCAAGCCATCCTCCTGCCTCAGCTTCTGGAGTAGCTGGGAACACAAGCATGCGCCGCCACACCCAGGTTTGTTTGTTTGTTTTGTACAGACAGGGTCACATTATGTTGCCCAGGCTGATCTCGAACTCCTGGGTTCAAGGGATCCTTCCACCCCATCCTCCCAAAGTGCTGGGATAACAGGGGTGAACCTGGCCAATTAATTCTTTATAATACTCAAAGTCCTGGCCAATTAATTATTTGTAATCCTCACAAAAGGCCTGCAAGTTAGGAGTTGTTATTATCATCGTTACTATTATGATTCTAACTATTTTCCAAATAAGGAAACTGAGGCTCAAGAAAGTTAATTAGTTTGCCCAAAGCAAACAGCTGTTAGGAGACAGAGCTGGCTTTCATTCTTGCCTGACTCCAAGGCTGTACAGGTACAGTACACCACTGTTCTTCAAGTTCTTCTGGCTTTAAAGTGATAGGATAAATATATATATATAATTTATTTATTTATGGGGTGGGGGGAGGGAGTTTTGTCCTCCAAGTCATTGTTCCTCCTTTAACATTAACGAGATTAACTGAAAGTTAACATTGTGTGTGATGATATGTGATGATCACTGATTCCGTTTCTAGCCTGGGGACAGAAGTACTCAGATATAAGGAAGTAATAACCTGAAGGTAAAGATCAGTATACATAAAAATGTTACCAAGGGAAGTTGTGGAATCGACTACTCTGTCTTTAAAAATAAGAAATATTCACTACCTTCTCAAGGTGCAGAGATCAAATCTATGGTCCATAGACTAGAAGGATCATTCTGCCAAGCCCTGAGCAATTCAGAACATTGACGATTAGATTGTCTTTGCTTCTGCATTTCAGAGACCTGCAGTCTCCCTTCCTGTTTCCTTCCTCTCCTTCCCCTCCCAGCTCTTCCTTTCCTTTCTCTCCCCTCCCCTCTCTTTCCTTCCTCCCTTCTGTTTTTTCTTCTTCCTTCCTTTTTCTTCCTTCCTTCACTTTCCTTTTCCTTCATTTCCTTTTGTCTTTTTCTTCTTCTTTTATTTTCTTTCTCTCTTTCTTTCTTTTTTAAAGACAGGGTCTCACTCTGTCACCTAGGCTAGAGTACAGTGGTGAGATCCCATCTGCAGCCTCCACCTCCTTGACTCAGGCGATCCTCCAATCTCAGCCTTCGAAGGAGTAGCTGGGACTACAGGTGCAAGCCATTCTTTTCTTTTTTAAATTACAAAACAACCACACATCCATTGAGAAGACAAATCAAACAATATAGGCATATAGAAAGCAAAAAAAAAAAAAAAATGAAAGTTCTCACCACCTCTCCACACCCTCTCTCCAGGTGGTAACCACTGATAAAAGTTTAATGTGTATCCTTCGGGTCATTTTCTATGCATTCACAAAGAAAAAGGAAGGAGAAAAGCAGAGAAAAAGAAGAGAGAATGGAGGAAGTTATTTCAAAACAGATAATATCGTGTGCATTTTGTTCTGCAGCCTGCTTCTTTCAAACAAGACTGTCTTATAGACATCTAATATTTATATTTTCTTTTACCAGCTGCACAGTATTTGTTAGCATAGAGGTGCCATAGTTTGTTAACTCTTCCCCTGTCAGTAGACATTTAGCAGTCTCTAGTTTGCTCCTGTTCCAAGATATACTACGGTGGAATTTTTGTCCACGTATCTTTATACATTTAATGTGAATATTTCTGTGGAACAGGTGTCAGCAAGGGGGGTTGCTGGGTCAAAGGTAAGAGCAATTTGAGTTTTCACAGGCATTGTTAAATTGTCTTCCTAAGTGTCTAGGAAGTTATGCTTCTACCAGTTATTAGTTTAGCTTTCTTTTAAACATTTTACATAAATAGAAACTATTATTATTTTCACAAAACAGACAAATGGGAGTAATGACTAGAAAGTATACAAAGGCTTCAGGATCTTCATTTAAGAATACTTTTCACTCCCTTTTATCAATGTTTTGCGACATTGTTGCTTTTTCTCAAGGGGAAATAGTGGCATTCATGAGGTTTGTTTCTTGGCTTTGTGGGGAGGGGGGTGCTAAAATTAACATACAGTGAAAGTCACAAATCTTAAGTATACATACAAGTCAATGAGTTTTGGTAAATGTAACAGAGGATATTTCTATCACCTCAGAAAATTCCCATATACTCTCTTCAATAAATCCCAGTTTCCATGAATACCCTCCTGCACATATTTTTGTGGACACATTTTCTGTTCCTTTGGCTAAGTTTATAGGAGTAGAAATGCTGAGTGATAAGTGTTCTATGTTTAACTTCATAAGAAATTACCAAACAGTACCATTTTATATATTTATCAGCACTGTACAAAATTTCTAGGGGTTCCACAGTCTCACCAACATTTGATATAAAATGATATATTATTATAGTTTTAATTTTTATGTCCCTGATGATTAATGATATTTGAGCATTTATTCTTGTACATATCTTTTGAGAAGTATCTGTCCAAGCATTTTGTCTATCTATTACACTTCTTATTTGTTTTTCCAATTATTGACTTGTAAGAGTTATTTATGTATTCTCTATATAAATCCTTTGTAGGATATGGGTATTATAAATATTTTCTCACAGTCTATGGCTTACTGTTTTTAATTAATGGGTCCAATATTGTCCTATGTTTTCTTTTAGTAACTTTCAACTTTTAGGTTTTAGGTTCAGATCTGTAATAATCCGTCTGATTAATTTCTGTATATTATGTGAGGTAGAAGCTGAGGATCATTTTTACTCTATGTTTACCCAATTTTTCCAGTACTGTCATAAAGACATAAGTCACCCTTATTTTATTATTTTAATGTCTATAGCAGGGGTCCCCAATCCCCAGGCCACAGACAGGTACTGGTGCGTGGCCTCTTAGAACCTGGGCCACACAGCAGAAGGTGTGCAGTGAGCGAGCAAGCATTACTGCCTGAGCTCCGCCCCCTGTCAGATCAGCGGTGGTATTAAATTCTCATAGGAGCACTAACCCTATTGTGAACTGTGCATGCAAGGGATCTAGGCGTATGCCCCTTATCAGAATTGAATACCTGATGATCTGAGGTGGAAGAGTTTCATCCCGAAACCACCCACTCCCCAATCATTTCATGGAAAAATTGTCTTCCACAAAACTGGTCCCTGGTGCCAAAAAGGTTGGAGACTGCTGGTCTATAGGCGCTACAGTTTTATTTTATTCCTGATATTAGTAATTTCTGCTTCTATTTTTTTTCTTGAATCAGCTTTGCTGGGAGTTTATAAATTTTATTACTCTTTCCAAAGAAACAACTTGTCAGCAAACTTTCGCAAGGACAAAAAACCAAACACCGCATGTTCTCACTCATAGGTGGGAATTGAACAATGAGAACACACGGACACAGGAAGGGGAACATTACGCACCGGTACCTGTTGTGGGGTGAGGGGAGCGGGGAGGGATAGCATTAGGAGATATACCTAATGTTAAATGACGAGTTAATGGGTGCAGCACACCAACATGGCACATGTATACATACGTAACTAACCTGCACGTTGTGCACATGTACCCTAAAACTTAAAGTATAATAAAAAAATAAAATAAATAAAAAAGATATATAAGATAATATCACCAAAAAAAGAAACAACTTGTGTCTTTTGTTAATTTTCTTTATTCTTTTCTATTGCATTGATTTCTACTTTTACATTTATTATTTCTATTATTTACATATATATGGTTTAACTGAGTTTAATTTGTTCTTTTTGTAGTGGCTTGAAGTGAAAATTTACATCATTGATTTTACATCTTTCTTGAACTAAATACCAGCTGGAGTGCAGTGGTCTGGCTCTGTCTCCCAGGCTGGAGTGCAGTGGTGCGATCTGGGCTCACTGAAACCTCCACTCCCCCAGCTCAAGCAATTCTTCTGCCTCAGCCTCCTGAGCAGCTGGGATTATAGGCATGTGCCACCACACCCAAAAATAAAAAGTTTTGTATTTTTAGTAGAGACAGGGTTTTGCTATGTTGGCCAGGCTGGTCTCAAACTCCTGACCTCAAATGATCTGCCCACCTCGGCCTCCCAAAGTGCTGGGATTACAGGAGTGAGCCAAGCTCCCAGCCTAACTAAAATATAAACATTTCAAAGTGTATTTCTTCTAATAACTGATTTACCTGCATTCCACAAATTTTGATATATGTTCATTATCATTCATTTTGAAAGTTTCTCATTTTTCTTGTGATTTCTTCTTTAACCTACAGTTCATTTAGCAGTCTTCAAGAGATCTTATTGTAATTAATTTCTCATTTAACTCCTCTGTGGTAAGAAAACATATTTGTAAAATGCCAGTCCTTTGAAATTTGAGTCTTGTTTTATGGCCCAGCATATGGTCTATCTTGATGAATGCTCTTTATGTACTTAAAAAGAATATATCTTCTGAAGTTACTGGTTACAGCATTCTGTGAATGTCAGTTAGGTCAAGATGGTTCTTAGTATCAAAATCTCCCATTTTTTTGTTTTTGAGATGAAGTCTCCTGTGTCGCCCAGGCTGCAGTGCAGTGGCGCAATCTCGGCTCACTGCAAGCTCCGCCTCTTGGGTTCATGCCATTCTCCTGCCTCAGCCTCCCTAGCTGGGACTGGGACTACAGGCGCCCGCCACCACACCTGGCTAATTTTTTCTTTTTTTTTTTTTAGTAGAGACGGGGTTTCACCGTATTAGCCAGGATGGTCTCGACCTCCCAAGGTGTTGGGATTACAGGCGTGAGCCACTGCTGCCGGCCTAATTTTTCACCTAGTTATTCTTTCAATTACTGGGAGGGTGATGTTAGGTCTTTATAATTGTGGATTTGTTTGGTCCCCTCTTTAGTTCTGTCAGTTTTTGCTCCTTATATGTTGAAGTTTTATTATTAACTGCATATACATTTATAATTATTATGTCTTTCTGATGAATTGATCTTTTATCATTATGAAATGCCTTTAACTTCTACTAATATTCCTTCGTTTGAAGCCTGCATTTCTCTAGGGTGAACACAGTCATATCCCGTTTCTCTTGCTCACAGTTTGCATGGTATATATTTTTACTTTTATTTCCAACCTATCTGTATCTTTATATTTAAGGTGCATATCTGATAGACTGTTTATGGTGGAATCTTGCTTTTTTATATTATTTGGCAATATTTGTCTTTAGTTAGTGTTTAATCCATTTATGTTTAGTGTAAGTATTGATATAGTTGGATTTAGGTTTACCATTTTGTTATTTATTGTCTATTTACCCCATCATTTTCCTTTGTTTCTCCTTTCCTACATTATTTTTGCTTACTCACATTTTTGTAGTATTCATTTTAGTTTTCCCATGGATTTAACTATACATTTTTGTATTTTTAAAGTAATTAGGTATTATAACACGCATTATTGACTTACCACAGCCTACCTAGAGTGAATGTTTGACCCCCTTATGTAAAATGTAAAAGCCCAGAAACAATAACATTCCATTAATTCCCAGTCACATGCTATATATCAACATACATTATAATGCCACAATGCAGTGTTTTAAATGTTGCTTTAAACAATGAGCTATGTTTTTTAAAAAGGAAGAAAAAATATTGTATATTTACCTACTTTTGAAAAAACATTTTTGGTGTTCTTTATTTCTTCTGTTGATCTGAGTTGGTACTTAGTATTATTTCCTTTGGTCTGAAAATGTTCTTTTAATATACCTTTAGCAGGTCAGCCTTTATCTTCATTTTTGAAGGATATTTTAGTTGGATGTAGAAGTCCAGATGGACACATTTTATCTTTCAGCACTTTGAAGATGTTGTTACATTGTATCTGTCTCATCGTTTCTGTTGAAAAGTAGGTGATTAATTATATCATTGATCCCTGTATGTGATATCTTTTTCCTCTGACAACTTTGGCTAAACTGTGCCTAGATGTTTGTTTTGTTTTGTTTTGTTTTGTTTTGTTTTGTTTTGTTTTGTTGTACTTGCCTTGCTTGGGGTTTTCTGAGCTTTGTGGATTTATAATTTGATATTTTTCCATTAGTCATCTATTATTTTTTAAATGTTTTCCTTTTCCCTGTCTTCTTTTTCTGGGAAGCCAATTTCATATATATTGGATTATTTGATACTTTCCCACAGGACCTTAAAGTTCTCTTCACACACTGTTTCACATAATTTTTCTTCTCTCTATTCTTCAGACTGGATAGTTTCTATGGATGTCTTCTAATTAACTAATCCTTTGCTCTTAAATTCATCCAGTAAATGTTATTTCAGACATTGTACTTTTTAGCTTGAAAATTTATATTTCATTCTTTTTTAGTTTGCATTTTTCTGCTGAAATATTCCATCTGTCCACTTATTATGACTATCTTATTCTTTAATTCCTTAAACAAATATATAATAGCTAATTTTAAGTCTTTGTAACATCTGAGTCATCTTGGGTCATTTACTGTTTGGTCACGTTTCCCCATTTCTTCATATGTATGTCTAGTACTTCTTTAGTGTATACTGGACATCATAAAGAATACGTTATAAAGTCTAGTTTCTGTTTTTTCCTCTCAACAGTACCGAATTTTGTGGTCCATGGCATTTAAATTACTGGCAGCTCACCAATGAACTTTTAGAGGCTTAATTTTATGCTTTGATGGGGTGTGTTTCCATTGTGTTATTAGTCCTAAAGCAAATCTCTGGAATCTGATAACTAGTCTTTATAACTAAAGCATGAGTTTTCTAGAGTTTAAGTGGAAATCTTGAAAAACTACCAAGCCCCTCAAACTTGGCAGGACTCAAACTCTAAACTCTGTCTTGGTGCAGTGAACAAGAGCTTAAAAATTTCTGTTCTGTTCTTTCAGTCTCTCAGCTACAGTTTTTCACTGGTCAACTTGGAGTTTCCCCTTCACACGTACAGTTCAGGGTCACCAAAGATTAGAGAGGAGATTATGAGCAGATTTGGGGCCTACCTAGCCCCACTGTGATCTTTCTCTCTGGGATTTTTACCCCTCAATTTCCAGATGTTGTGAAAGCTCCAAACACTATCCTTTGACTCCTCAGGTCAATAAGACTGTAGCTTTCTGCTTCAATTCTAGCTGTCCTGCACCAAGTGGAGTATAGAGCACCTTTGGAAAAATCAATAAATACATTGATTTTATCTAATGTGGTTCCTTATTTCAAGGATCAAATTCTCTCTGGTTTTGGGCTGCTTTGTTGTCTCCCCAGTATGTTTCAATTGTTTTCTTTTAATATTTTGTCCAGAGTTCACAATTGTTATCTGTAGGAAGGGCAGTCTGATACAAACTACTGCAACACAACCAGAACCAGAACATATGCAGGCAACTTTTTCATTCTATTTCACTTCAGTAAAAAGTTTTGCACAGGTAGCATAAATTACAGCAAATTTGAAATTTTAGGTGAATCTTTTATTTTTGAATCACAGGTTTCCATTTCTAGATAATCATTGCTTTATTAAAAGGTAGATGCTCCAAAGAGAGAAATAAATGCTTGCCTTCCTTGAGACAATCTCAAAGGAAATGCCATGTCTGTTTTTGTTTAATTTAGTATTTGTAATATAAAGAGGCTTAAGACCTCAGCCTTCTAAAAGTTTTCAACCTGAAAGATGTGAGTTTATTATTATCTATGTGGCCTCCCAGTTTTGCAAATAATCCCTTGAAAACCTCCCTATGGCTGTTTATGTAAATAAGAGATAACTCTGTTTTAATTCATTTCACTGGGTATAGTGTACAAATTAAGGGAAGGAGAGCCAGGTATAAGAATCTAGTGAGCTGGGAAATATGGGATGTTTATTTTGTAGGATGTGGTTTAGAGATTCCTGGTTGGAATGGCCCATACCATAAGAGTTCCGGGTGGGTGCCATGCCACACAGGAAACAATTGTAGCCTGCCCCTGGGAGTAAGCCAGAGAGCTAACAAATTCAGTGTGCATTGTAATGCTTCATCAACACGCCTTCTGCAGGGCCTGCCCTCTCTGCTGGGTCACTGACCTTTATAAGTGCACAGTCATGGCCATCGCCTGACAGGCATGAAAAGGAGACAGACAATGGACGAGAAGGAGACATGCACAGAGGGGGAAAATGCACTCATTCAAGGGATTTACTGGTCAAGGATGTCATGTCCTATGTCCAGTCCCAGAATGCATGTGGTGGTGTTTAAGCCATGCATATCTAGCTACATAAATATAAGGAATGATTATCATCAATATATGAACATAAAAATATCCCTGAGAATCGTGATTGATTTTTGTGGCAGCACAGAACAATGTAGAAAGTAGTTTTGTGCTATAAAATTTTTCACCAATTTATAAAAGCTTTAGATCATTAAAATTGATTAGAGTGTCATACAGCCTGATTTCAAAGGCATTCCAGACTCCAGAGGCGGCATCAGATAGTGACCCGCAAGCTGGGGAGAAAAACATTGAATTTGCATCCTGAATTTGTCCTAAAGGAGCTGTGCAACCTTTGGCCATTTGTTGCAAACAATCAGGCTCCCATTTCTTCATCTGTATACGAGTAGGTGCCATCTTAGTACAATGATACCATTTCCCCGATATTTTAGGATTTCTGTGTTTGTTACTATTCCTTTGCATCCTGAGATGATTCATATAGTTTCTTTTTCAGGAAGTTTAGGAAACATGTTAACACAGTGATTTTCAAAATGAACTTCTGAAACCCTATGTATTTCCCCTGTTCAGTAAGACATACTGGTATTATTTTACATATTGGAATGCCATGTGGACTTTTATTTCTTTTTATTCCATTTTTAAAAGGAGTCTATTTCAAGTCAAAAAAAGCATTTGAAAACCAGTTCTGAAGGATGTTCCTTTTACCTCTGATGGTGTATGATTCTTGTAATGAAAAGGGGATGCATAAATTTGTATCTTTTATTAATAAGCATTTTTCAAAGGCTCTTAACAGTGATATTAAATTAAATGTCTCTCCTATTGATTCTTGATCAAAATAGTGTTCTTATAGAAAAACTATGTATAGCAGATGCATCTGGAAAGGGACATGTGTTCTGAGAACCCCACTCTAGAATGGGAGCACTGTTCTAGAGTACATATACAGCCTCTACCACTACAGAGATTGTCACACAGAGTGGTATTATCACACTGGGTTTGTCAGCATTTCATGGTCTCTAATGGTCTCCTGTGCTTATAGAGCCCAGGGGCATCTCAAAAATGGCATCTTGGCTGGCATTCCACCTCAAAGTGCCTAACAACCCATCTTGCTTCTTGAAGAACTTCTGCTGATTATCAGTGGTTCAGGAAATGTAATCTAATTTTTAACACAAACCAAACCCAAACATAATTACATGCTAAATATGTAGAAAGAACAAGCATATGATGCAGTTCAAAGCCAAATAAACGTGATTTCTATTTTTGATCATTGAAAAGTAATCTTTCTCACCACTGCCTTCTGTAAATATAAGGTAATGTGTGTGAGCCACATGCAAGTGGGTTCCTAAATCCCACTGTATATTTAATATTTATAGTAACTTTCACTCAAGAATCTACTCCCATATGTGCTAGCAATCATTTTTCCACTTTGAAAGCGTGAAGAAATTATTCCCATTTTACAAAAGTAAATAAATTTAGTCCTGGAGAGGATAACATTACAGTTCATTTTCATGTATAAATGGCCTTCCCTGCTAGAGACTGAGCACCTCTATGGGAAAAGAGTGGTGTCCGATTAAATGCTAAGGTGAAAAGTCCAGTTCATCCTCTGGAAGAAAAGAATGATATGTCCTTGTTCATCCCTAAGCCTTCCGGGTTGGAATAACGATAACTGGGATTTCATGAGAACCTAGAAGAGTGATCTTGTTTAATGTATTCACTCCCAAAATACAGTTTCTGGACTACCCTCTAGAAGCTTTTATTCTGTTGTATACAAACTCATTATCATTCATACAGCCTAAAATTTCACATAATCATTTGCTGAACACTTTGCAGTTAGGCTTTTTAGATATATTTTTAGTTTGTTCTTGATTTCCCTATTTGTTTTTTTTTTCTTGCTGGGGGAGAGGGTGAGACATATTGAAATTTAATAGAGATGATTGTTAGACAGAATTTTGAAGGAAGTGAGTGTACTCACCCCACCCACTTCATCAGGAGATGCTTCCTCTGTGAGGTGGGATTTGAGTCATATTAATTTGTCCCAGACCACACCAAAATTAAGCTGTTCACGTCTGAAACATTCCATGAATTCAGTTGCGAGGAGGAATTTGTTCAGCCATGTTATGGATTCATATTTCTCTCCTCTCCCAAGAAGGTCTGGGTGTCCTTATAAGGGAGAACGCCTCTGTTTCCCACAGTGTGGAGAGCGAAATAAATACTCTCTCACAGTCAATGCAGAGGTAACTTTTTTTTAATGGATTAAAAAAAAAAAAAAGCAGTTCTGAGAGTCCATCACTGTTTCAGCATCCCCATTCAGAGAGGGGGCTTTTGTCTCTCTCTCAGTGGGAGCTGCCATTTTAATGGGGCCTCCAGCAGGGCCTGGTTTGATGATGTGAAGTAGGCCTGGAAGAATCGTGGAATTTTTTTTTTAATTTAGATTTTGGTTAATTTAACCATACTGGCTTTCAAATGAACTGAAATGTAAAAGTGAATCCACGGTAAATGTCCCTCAGAAGCTGCTACCAGATAATTTCAGCGATTTCTCATCTCTGAAGCTCTCTCATGTGAAAACCAATCCCTTGAAGTTCTAATAGGCATTACCGGCCGTCTACCCCCAACCCCCAATCTATTTGCAAAGATGAAAATCGGGAGAATTCATTCTTAAAAATATGCATACGCATACACAGACACAAACGTGCACTCCTAAATGCTAAATGAAAACATTGCTTTTAGCTGATTGGTGATGCCAAGCCAGGATTGGGATAGCTTTGTGGTAATTCTGGGGTTTCCCTTTTGCCTGAGTCATGAACACCACGGTACATGGAATGCTCCCCGACCCCAGAGCCTTGGGAGTGCCAAAGCTACTCCCCAAGCCCTCGCCCCAGAGGAGGATTCCAAAATCCCCCACAGCACACTTTCTAGATAAAACTGTTGCTCTCAGTAATGAGGCCACAGCCTGCAGAGCCAAACTGGCCCGCAGGCCGCTTTCTGCAGGCCTGGCGCCGGACCTGCTCTGCCCCCGCCCGCTCCGCAGCCCCCGCGGCCACACAGTGGCTGCGCCTGGCAGCTGCGCGCCCAGATGCCAACCGCTGGAATGTGTTTTATGTTCCCGCGTCTCTGCCTGGCTGGCCTCGGGGGAAGGCTCTTCCCTGGCCTCTCCGGCTCCGGCGCTGGGCTGCGGCAGCTGGGGAACCGATGTGCGATCATTTTACACATGAGCTAGCTGTTCACCCTTCCAGGAACTGTTTGCCTGCACTAATTCCGCGCAAGATGCACACACTGAGCCCCTTTGTAGGGCTGAAGGATGACAGTCTCTCCAGCCTAGATTGATTTAGTAAATGACTGACTGCATGGGCCTGAGTACCTGGGTATTCGTGTGTGTGTGTGTGTGTGTGTGTGTGTGTGTGTGTGTGTGTGTGTGTGTGTGTTGACTTAAAGGCGCTCCCTCTTTGCAGAAATAAATGAATTAATGAATTTTTAAAAAGAAGGTAGAACTAACGCATTTTCGAAAAAAGCAAACATCAGGGAATGTGCAGTTTGTTACAACATATCTATCCATGATTCCATTTTGGGGGAATTTATATGAAGATATCCCACAATCGGGCAATCGCCAAACAAGAAAGCATCCTTAATTGAGTTGAAACTGGGGGTAAGGGGACAGAAAAATCGCCCCCATAAAATAATTTCAAATTCAGCCTTGTGTTTCCCAGTAATTGGGCTGTCTGAGGATGAGACTGGGAGTGGAAAAATCCAAGTTAGTCTTAGAGCTGCACTTCTCAAAAGTGGCTGCAAAGGCTTTGAGGTGGTCAGTGATTTGTGTTTATTTACAACAATGCTTTAATTAATCATATTTAATAAGATTTGATATCACTTCATCGGTGGCTAAGCAAAATATTAATTATGATTTAGTTTGTTGACTTACCACTATCAAGAACTTGGATGATGATTTTTTTTAAATCATTTTATCTCTCTGTGCCTTTTCTATGCTTCAGAAGTGACAATGGCATGTTTAAGAGTCTAGGAAACATTTGAGCCTGGGATGAAAAGTCAGATACTGAAGACCCAGTTGTACACATAATGCATTTTTAGAGAAGATACATAAAAATGGACATCCAGCCAGGTGTAGTGGATCATGCCTGTAATCTTACCACTTTAGGAGGCCAAGACAGGAGGATTGCTTGAGGGCAGGAATTTTAGACCAGCCTGGGCAGTATAGCAAGACCCCATCTCTACAAAAAAAAAAAAAGAGAGAGAAAGAGAAAAAAAATGGACATCACTTACAAAGTACACTCTCAATAGCAGATATGCTCTATCTTTAAAAAAAGTTTTGAATTATTAATGTATCACCTTCTTGTTAAAGAAAACAATACCAAAATGTTTAAAATTAAAAGTAAAAATTACCTCCATTCCCACTCCCCTGGAATAATCACTTACAAATCCAACAAGTATCTTTCCAGTCTTTTTAAACACACAAACACATATACTGTATAATATATATGTGTATAAAATATATGTGTGTATTGCATATGCTTGTATACATGCAATATACATTTAATGTACCTATAGAGAGAGGATCGCTTCTTTTTAATGGGATCTTGTTAAACATATTGTTCTATAACTTCCTTTTTACTCAGAAATGTAATCATGAATAGCCTTTAATACCAGTATTATATTATTTGTAGTGGCTCCATAATATTCCAGAATATCAGTGTATGTTTTATTTAGTCCTTCCCATATTTATGGTCATTAAAGTTATCCCAAATTCTTCAGTAATATCAATAATGCTGCCATAAACATCCTTGCATATATATCATAAATTTTAAATATATATTTAAATGCAGCTGTTTTTGTTGTTGTTTTTTGTTTTTGTTTTTGTTTTTGTTTTTTGCCTCTGTGGAAACTGGAACTGTCAACTGAGAAGGGAAAGGCAGCACGAAATGAAGTATAAGTGTTGCATAAAGAATAAAGGCTCAAGTTGCAAAGCAGTGAGTTGGAGTTGGCTTATAGGAACAGAAAGCAGACTCATTAAAAATTGCATTTTGATGTATAATATATTTTTTTCAAAGTCATGAGGCTCTATGTTCTCACAATGTCTTCTTTCAGATAACATACCTGTAGGTGTGCACAACTCCGTCTCCAACTTTGTAACTGAACTGGGCATGGAGTTGGGTTCACTTTGTAACTTTGAAATCTTGATGAGCAGCACAGGAGCCATCATGGCTTCTCTGTAGCTAAGGAGACTGCAGTAGTTGCTACAACCAGTAGCTATATTTGGCTCTATTTCTCAAGCACTGAAATTGAAAATAAAGAAGTATTTTTCCTTCACTTTGATCTCCTTTCTATCTTGCTTTCTTTTATTGTATATTCTTTTTGAAAGTCACCTCATATTCTTACTGATTGGGTCTAGAGTCATTCCTTTATCCATTCACTTATTGATGTACATTGATACATGTACTGAAATACATCAAGTAGAGCTCATTTACCTTCATTATACCAGGAAAAAAAATCACCATTTACCATCTGGGGCCAATAAACCCTTTAAATTTTTTAAAATATTTTCAAAAATATTTTTAAGTCATTTTGCAAATAATTGATAGAAGTAAGAATAAGGGATAGTAAAAAAAAAAGTTAGAAATGTTAATAAGAATTTAAGCATAGCAAATTTAAATTTTCCATATTTTCCTGCTTTTGAAGGTATCTATACCCAAAATAGACGACGTCTTTAAAATTCAACTAACTGCCATACCTATCATGCAGGAGCCTGCAGCATATCCATAGTGTAAATATTGATTCCTGATTTCAAATAACTCTTTAATAGGTTTTAGCATATTCATGGTTCTGCTCTGTTTGGCCTTATCAAAATGTGACACATTTGAAATTTTTAACAAACCAGAATTGTGTTGGCATTGTCACAGGATTCTTAGGGTATTGCTTCGCCAGCCGGAAATCTCTGTGGCCGGTGGTGCCTTTGCCTAAGTTTTGCTTGGGCCTGCTGGGCCCACTCAGCCTGGCAGGCTGCACTCAACTCGTGCTACTGGCCTGGATCCCATGCCTGCCAAGGGTGAGCAGAGCGGTGAGGGGTGTGTGGGTAAGTGAGGTGTCCGGCCACTGCGCACAGCCAGGCATGCTGGCGGCAGTGGGGGCAGGGAACTCCAGGAGCCAGCACAGGTGTCGGCTCCCTGCAAGGCTGCAGCTGGACTAGCCTTGCATACTGCATACTGCAAGCAGCTTCCACGGCTGGCACCAAGGAATGCACTGGTGCCCAAAAACTTGGAGACAGCAGGAATTGCTGAGCCCCAAAGGAGGTGTCACAGCCCTGGCTTGGGGAGCTCCCAGGTCTGAGCTCCCCAAAGGGTCGCATTTCTTCTCTCCTTCTCTCTGCTGTCCTTCTTGTTGCCTACAATGTGGCGAGCAAGGGGCACATTTCAGCCCTGTGTTATAGCTCTGTTGACCCTGCCATTTGGTGGGTCCCGAGTTCTTGTCTTGCATCCAGGAAGAATGAGGTACATGGACAAAGGAGGGTGAGCAAGGCAAAGCAGGAGCTTTATTGAGTGATAAAACAGCTCAGAGGAGACCCACAGTGGATAGCTCCTCTCCACAGCCAGGGTGTCCTGATGAGTGTTCAGCTGTCAGCAGAGAGGAAACCCTAGGGTGGGTAGTTCCTCTCTGCAGCTGGTCATCCTGTCATCTTTTTTGAGTCTGGCTGAATCTGGGGGTTTTACGGACTTCAGAGGAGAGGAAGTATGTGCTGATTGGTCCATGGGTGACCCAGAAAAAGCACTGTAATCTCCTACCCTGGTCTGTGGGACTGGCAGCCAGGCCCCCAGGCTTCAGGCTTTCTCTGGCTTGAAGGTGAGCTTCCACTGGGGACCCGTCCCTTTCGGCCCAGGAGCCTGTCTGCCTCCTACTGCTGTTCATGGCGCCCAGACTGTTCATGCCGAGGGGCACCTGCAGGCCAATGCAGAGCTGTCCTCAGCACCCCCTTTGGCCTCCCTCTTGTGTTTGTTGGTGCCCAAGGTCTGGTGGGGGCCAAGGCAGCAGGGGGCTGGCATGTAAGCACTGCCCTGAGCTTGTGCACACCCAGCCAGGTTGCCATAGCGCCCAGGCTGGTCCTCAACTTTGCTGCAAGATCAGACCGGCTGCCAGCAGTGGGGAGAGGCCAGGGAGCAGGAGCCTGTGGGGGAAGAGGGGCTTCCTGGGACCCTGAAAGCACAGAGATGCCAAGATCTGCAGCCATGGCTTGGGCAGCTGCAGCAGCACCTGGGAGGGTGGGGATCCTGCCTGCTTCCAGCCCCCAAGGACACAGGGATGCCTGGGTCTGCAGCCCCAGCTGCACCTCCCCCACTGCAGCGGGCATCATGGCAGTGGCTGCTCCAGACAGGCCACCACTGCCATCAGCATGAAGACTGACATTTTCTTTGCTCCATAAGTGCCAAAAAATTTTATTTCTGGATTTATGAACACCAGTTAAAATAATCCAGTTAATTTTTTACTTCTATATCTTGTATTTTCTTCCAGTAACCTTTGTAAACACACCTGCCTTCAGAACTCATTTGCTAATAAACCACATGGAATAAATTTTGAAACAATTTGAAACAATAAAAGATACTCAACATCTTTTCAGCAAAACAGAATGGTTTAAGTTCTTATTGCAAAATATTTCCTGTTGAATGACTAACTGGATGAGAATACCATATTTTCTTTATTTATTTAGAAATGAATTGTTCATTCATTGATTCTTAAGTATGGGAGAAAAAATTATACCCAGAATATTGTCATCTGAGGACTCATACCTGAGATTTCACTTCTCTGACCAATTTACTATCATCATTATGGCCTAGGAAGCTGATACCTGTCTCTTTGCATTCTTTTTCTGTTCCATCGAATAATACTTTCCTCTATCAACTTATTTTTCTTTGCCATTATGGGAAGAAAATGGAAATTTTTAAATCCTCAACTGTGTTTAGTCTTTAAAAAGACTGCAAAAATGTATCTCCATACTTCTCTTATTCCCTACTTTTTAAAAATGCAATACTTTGCACAACCCAAAAAGAAAACTAAAGCTTGATGCCACCATGATGATTTATTTATTTCCTTCCAGGAGGTTTCATTATTCTTCCATTTTCTTATTATTTTAATCTTTTTAGAAAAGCAGAGTTGAAAACAATTAAATAGCAATGCTAAAATCATTCCTAGCAAGTTGAAATAGCAAAATGGAAAAAATAGGCTCATGAAGATTTCTACCATCCTATCTTGTAATTACCATGCAGCTCCATTGGACCCTGTATAAAGCTTTATACAGGCAAAACCCTGTCTCTACAAAATATTTCTTAAAAATTAGCCGGGCATGGTGGCACACACTTGTAGTCCCAGCTACTTGAGGGGCTGAAGTGGGAGATTCACTTGAGCCCTAGAGGCAGAGGTTGCAGTGAACCAAGACAGCCCACTGCACTCCAGCCTGGGTGACAGATTGAGACTCTGTTTCAAAAAAGAAAAATAAGTAAATTTTTCCTCAGTTCTTTGGAATAATAAAAGACATCAAATATCTTTAAAAATAGTTACAAATAAAAACTCAAAAATAAAACGAGATGCAAGAGGTCCTGATGATGTTCTGAAGGTTAAGGTAGGAGGTATTCTATGGATCACATCATAGCCTCTTTTCCAGGTCATGCAGATTCAAGGTGAGGCAACTGACTAATGAGGAAGGTACTGAACCAATGCTTCACTTCAGACTCTTAAAGAAGGAACACTAGCTAAAGATGGAAATAGTGATATTAACAATAGGTGCTCAGAAATAATTTTGAAATTTCATGTTGAATGTAATCTTCTGTATTTCAATAACCATTTAACACAAGAGAAACTGCTATGAAAGTTAAATAGCTTACCTAAGGTCAATTAAATGAAATATCCTGATCCTCAAAGCTAGGGACACTTATGGGTTCATTCAATAAACATTTACTGACTGTCTACAATATGAAAGAGACTGTTTCTGGATAGCATATGTAGATACCTTTCAAAATGGGTTAAATCTAAGTGAAAGTATTCCAAGAATGTCCTACTTGAGAACGATGTCAGTTTTCCAAACTTTAGGTCTCTAACTTTAAAAATGGCCTTTAGAAAATTCCTCACTCACCAAAATTTGTTAATTGAGCACAACTTTCACTTTTCTTGCTGATTTTACCCTTACCACCTTTTCTTTAGTCCTCACACAGTATAAGGTATAAATACATGCATTTCTCCCCTGGATTGGTAGACTTATAACTTGCTTTGCTCCATAAAGATTTCAGGGGTCATACAATAAATGCATTTATATAGCAACATAAATCAAACTAAAACAAAAAAGAAAAAGTGGTAAAGATTTGTGCAGAAACCTAACTTAAACCAACATAAGCAAAATAATAATAATAGGTGTTTTAATTTGGAGCAATCACATGACACATTGGAAAGGGCAGAGATTCACATCAGCCTTAAGGACAACTGTAACCAGGGCTTTAAGTAACCCCTGCATCTTGCTGCAGTCTCTGTTTTGCTCTGCTTGTCAGTTTCATTCTTGTTCACCCAGACTGATTCTTTCCACGTGGCAGGAAACACAGCTATTCACAGCAACCAGGTTTTTATATCGCATTGCTTCAGCTCAAGTCTCTGGGTTTCTATCTGCCTCTTCTAGGAAAGGCTCTAACTGTCCTAGCTTGAGTCAGTCAGTCACCAATCTCTGATGCAAATATTAACACCTGTAGTCTCAGTCAAAGCCAGAAAAAAAGAGACTATGACTCATCCAGTTTGGATTATGTACCTGCCCATGTAGTCAAGTGCTTATCCATGAACCAATTAAATATAGCCAAGGAGCAGGATCATGTTATACAAAATGGCCACTCCCACAAAAGCCAATCAAGAAGGGATTTACCAGATAAAGTGATTGTGCTAGGAACACAATTTTGAAGCTATCTACTATAATAAAGTAGGATAAATTAATGGTAACAATGCAATTAAAGCCAGGAGTTAAGGTGGGGCACTTGCTTCACACACACAACATTTCACTAATTCAACCTGCTGTTCAAAGTGGGGATAGGGAAGAAAATTAATACAGAGAAGACTCACCTCTATGCTTCTTTCAACTCCTCCATGGTGGTTATGACACTAGCACTGTTGAAGGCAGAACTTCAGGACAGGCCTTCAATTGGCCTCATGTAAAACTGAGAAAAGTCAGTAATATCCACATCACTATAGAGCCAATAGATGAGCTGCCTCAGCAAAATAGATGAGTTGAATCTCTCTAACTCATACTGACCCCAAGCACTCTAAATCAGTCACTCAGCCTATGAGGCCAGCAGAGGGCTGGGATCCTTGCCCAGGTCCCATCAGCTTTCCCCAGGAAGAGTTCTCTACAGTCACATCTGAAGCCCAAAGAAAGATCAAGGAACCTGCTTTAGCCCCTCTGTCACTCAGCCTTGCCTATGGCTATCTCTAGACTATGATAGTTTTTGTAGTCGACTAAATTTGCTCCTAAAACATGAGTATTAAGGGTGATAAACCCACATTTGGTCAAAATCCAAACAACCAGAAAGTTCAGATAATCAGAATTGGTCTTATTGATTGTCTAAAAATGATTGACATCGCAAATTAATCTTTATTTGAAATTATCTAAGTAATATATTTTAAGAACATTAAATATTATGTGTAATTTTATATATTATAATTACTTTTATATTGAATCTATATTATTTCTTCATATATGTTGCATATATTTATATATCTTTATATATATATATGTTTTTAACTTTTAGGTTCAGGGGTACATGTGCAGGTTATATAGATAAACTAGTGTCATGAGGGTTTATTGTATAGATTATTTTGTCACCCCAGCACTAAGCCTAATACCCAATATTTATTTTTTCTGCTCTTCTCCTTCCTCTCACCCTCTACCCTCCACCCTCAAGTAGGCCCCAGTGTCTGTTGTTCCTCTCTTTGTATCCACGTGTTCTCATTATTTAACTCCCACTTATAAGTGCAAACATGTGGTATATGCTTTTCTGATCCTGCATTAGTTTGCTAAGGATACTGGCCTCCAGCTCCATCCATGTTCCTGTAAAGGACATGATCTAATCCTTTTTTATGGCTGCATATTATTCCATGGTATATATATACACCACATTTTCATTATCCAGACTACCATTGATGGGCAATTAGGTTGATTCCATGACTTTGCTATCACAAATAGTGCTGCAATGAGCATATACATGCATGTGTCTTTATGATAGAGCAATTTATATTCCCTTGGGTATATACCCAGTAATGGGATTGGTGGGTTGAACGGTAGTTCTTTTTTTAGCTCTTTGAGGGATTGCCACACTGCTTTCCACAATTATTGTAAATAAATACTCCCACCAAAAGTGTATAAGCATTCCCTTTTCTCTGCAACCTCGCCAGCATCTGTTATTGACTTTTTAGTAATAGCCATTCTGACTGGTGTGAGATGGTATCTCATTGTGGTTTTGATTTGCATTTCTCTAATGATCAGTGATATTGAGCTTTTTTTCATGTGCTTGTTGGCTGCATGTATGTTGTCTTTTGAAAAGTATCTGTTCATGTCCTCTGCCCACTTTTTAATGGTTTTTTAAGTTCCTTACAGATGCTGGATATTAGACTTTTGTCAGATCATACTTTGCAAAAATTTCCTCCCATTCTGTAGGTTGTCTGTTTACTCTGTTGATAGATGCTTTTACTCTACAGAAGCTCTTTAGTTTTCTTAGAACCTTCTTACCAATTTTTGCTTTTGTTACGATTGCTCTTGGCATCTTCGTCATGAAATCTTTGCCCATTCCTATGTCCAGAATGATGTTGCTTATGTTGTCTTCCAGGGATTTTACAGTTTTGGGTTTTACATTTAAGTCTTTAGCCCATCTTGAGATGATTTTTGTATATGGTGTAAGGAAGGGGTCTAGTTTCCAGCTTCAGTCTTCTGGATATGGCTAGCCAGTTATCCCAGCACCATTTTTTGAACAGTGAATCCTTTCCCCATTGCTTGTTTTTGTCAGCTTTGTCAAAGATCAGATGGTTGTAGGTTTGTGGCCTTATTTCTGGGCTCTCTATTCTGTTCCATCGGTCTATGTGTCTGTTTTTTTTTTTTTTTTTACCAGTACCATGCTGGTTTTGGTCACTGTAGCCCTATAGCATAGTTTGAAGTTGGGTAGCATGATCCCTCCTGCTTTTTCCTTAGGATTGCTTAGAATTTCCTTGACTATTTGGGCTCTTTCCATATGAATTTTAAAATAGTTTTTTCTGGTTCTGTGAAAAATGTCATTGGGAGTTTGATAGGAATAGCATTGAATCTGTAAATTGCTTTGGGCAGTATGGTTATTTTAATGATATTGATTCTTCCTATCCATGAGCATGGAATGTTTTTCCATTTGTTTGTGTAATCTCTGATTTCTTTGAGCAGTGTTTCATAATTCTCATTGTAGAGATCTTTCAGCTCCCTGGTTAGCTGTATTCCTAGGTATTTTATTCTTTTTGTGGCAATTGTGAATGGGAAAACATTCCTGATTTGGCTTTTGTCTTGTCTGTTGTTGGTATATAAGAATGCTAGTGATTTCTGTACTTGATTCTGTATCCTGAGACCTTGCTGAAGTTGTTTTATCAGCTGAAGGAGGTTTTAGGCTAAGACTCTGGGATTTTCTAGATATAAAAATCCTGTCATCAGCAAACAAAAATAGTTTGACTTCCTCTCTTCCTATTTGGATGCCCTTTATTTCTTTCTCTTGCCTGATTGCCCTGGCCAAAACTTCTATGTTGAAGAGGAGTGGTGAAAGAGGGCATCATTGTCTTCTGCCAGTTTTCAAAGTGATTGCTTCCTGCTTTTGCTCATTCAGTGTGATATTGGCTAAGGGTTTGTCATAGATGGCTCTTATTATTTTGAGGTATGTTATTTTAATACCTAGTTTATTGAGAGTTTTTAACATGAGATTTTACTTTTGTTGAAAGCCTTTTCTGCATCTATTGAAATGACCATGTGGTGTTTTTATTTCTGTTTATGTGATGAATCATGTTTACTGATTTCCATATGTTGAATCAACCTTGCATCCCAGGGATAAAGCCTACTTGATCATGATGGATTATCTTTTTGATGTGCTGCTGGATTCAGTTTGCAAGTAGTTTGTTGAGGATTTTTGCTTCAGTGTTCATAAAGGATATTGGCCTGAAGTTTTTTTTGTTGTTGTTGTTGTGTCTCTACCAGGTTTTGGTATCAGAATAATGCCTCATAGAATGAGCTGGGGAGGAGTTTCTCCTCAGTTTTCTGGAATAGTTTCAGTAGGAATCGTACCAATATTTCTTCGTACATCTGGTAGAATTTGACTGTGAATTCACCTGGTCCTGAGCCTTTTTTGTTAGTAAGCTACTTACTACTGTTTCAATTTCAGTATTGGTCTGTTCAGGGATTCAATTTCTTCCTGGTTCAGCCTTGGGAGAGTGTATGTGTCCAGGAATTTATCTATTTCTTCTAGATTTTCTAGCTTATGTGCATAGAGGTGTTCATAGTGGTCTCTGATGATTATTTGTATTTCTGTGGAGTCAGTGGTAATAGTCCCTTTGTTATTTCTAAGTATGTTTATTTGGATCTTCTCTTTTTCTTCATTAGTCCAGCTAGTAGTCTATCTTATTAATTTTAAAAAAAACAGCTTCTGGATTCATTGATCTTTTGAATTTTTTTTGTGTCTCAATCTCATTCAGTTCAGCTCTGATTTTGGTTATTTCTTGTCTTCTGCTAGTTTGGGGTTGGTTAGCTCTTGCTTCTCTAGTTCTTTTAGTTGTAATGTTAGGTTATTAATTTAAGATATTTCTAACTTTTGATGTGGGCATTTAGTACTATAAGTTTTCTTCTTAACACTGCCTTAGCTGTGTCCTGGATATTCTAGTATGTTGTATCTTTGGTCTCATTAATTTCAAAAAAACTTCTTGATTTTTGCCTTAATTTCATTATTTATCCAAAAGTCATTCAGGAGCAGGTTGTTAAATTTCCATGTAATTGTATAGTCTTGAGCAATTTTCTTATTCTTAATTTCTAGTTTTATTGTGCCATTGTCCAAGAGGGTAGTTAGCATAATTTCAGTTCCTTTGCATTTGCTGAGGACTGTTTTATGTCCAATTGTGTGGTCAATTTTAGAGTATGTGCCACGTGGCAAGGAGAAGAATGTATATTCTCTTGTTTTTTGAGTACAGAGTTCTGTAGATTTCTATCAAATCTGTTTGGTCCAGTGTTGAGTTCAGGTCCTGAATATCTTTGGTAATTTTCTGCTTCTATGATCTAATACTGTCAGTAGGGTATTGAAGTCTCCCACTATTATTGTGTGGGAATCTAAGTCTCTTTGAAGGTCTCTAAGAATTTGCTTTATGAATCTGGGTGCTCCTGTGTTGGGTGCAGATATATTTAGGATAGTTAGCTTTTCTTGTTGGATTTAACCCTTTACCATTATACAATGATCTTCTTTGTCTTTTTTAAAAACTTTTTTTTGGTTTTAAATCCATATTTTTTCTAAAATTAAGATTGCAACCCCTGCTTTTTTCTGTTTTCCATTTGCTTTGTAGATTTTTCTTCATCCCTTGATTTTGAGCCTATGGATGTCACTGCATATGAGATAGGTCTCTTGAAGACAACATACCATTGGGTCTTGCTTCTTTATCCAGTTTACCATGCTGTGCCTTTTAATTGGGGCATTTAGCCTGATTACATTCAGGGTTAATATTGATATGTGTGAATTTGATTCTGTCACCATGGTGTTAGGTGGTTATCATGCCAACTTGTTTGTGTGGTTGCTTTAAAATGTCACTGGTCTGTGTAGTTAAGTGTGTTTTGGTAGTGCCTGGTAATAGTCTTTCCTTTCCATATTAGTGCTTCTTTGAGAAGCTCTTGTAAGGAAGATCTGGTAGTAACAAATTCCCTCAGCATTTGCTTGTCTGAAAAGGATCTTATTTCTCCTTTGCTTATGAAGCTTAGTTTAGCCAGATATGAAATTCTTGGTTGGAATGTGGATCATGAGGTCAGGAGATCAAGACCATCCTGGCTAACACGGTGAAACCCCATCTCTACTAAAAATACAAAAAATTAGCCAGGTGTGGTGGTGGGCACCTGTAGTTCCAGCTACTCAGGAGGCTGAGGCAGGAGAATGGCGTGAACCCAGGAGGCAGAGCTTGCAGTGAGCCAAGATCGTGCCACTGCACTCCAGCCTGGGTGACAGAGCGAGACTCCATCTCAAAAAAAAAAAAAAAAAAAAAAAAAAAAAAAAAAAAAAGAATCTTGAATAAAGGCCCTCAATTTCTTCTGGCTTGTAAGATTTCTGCTGAGAGGTCCATTGTTAGTCTGATGGGCATCCCTTCATAAGTGACCTGCCCTTTCTCTCTAGCTGTCTTTAGCATTTTTTTCTTTCATGTGACAGTGGAGAACCTGATGATTATGTGTCTTGGGGATGCTTCTTGTGAAGTATTTTGCAGCAACAGTTCTCTGCATTTTCTGAATTTAAATGTTGGCCTCTCAAGCTAGGTTGGAGAAGTTCTCATAAATGATATCCTAAAATATATTTTTCAAGTTGCTTCCATTTTCTGCATCTCTTTCAGGAACACCAATGAGTCATAGATTTGGTCTCTTTACATAATCCCACATTTCTCAGAGGTTTTGTTCATTCCTTTTCATTCTTTTTTATTTTATCTTGTCTGTTTTATTTCAGAAAGCCATTCTTCAAGTTCTGAGATTCCTTCCTCAGCTTGGTCTGTACTGCTGTTAATACTTGCAATTGCATTATGAAATTCTTGCAGTGTGTTTTTCAGCTCCATCAGGTCATTTACATTCTTTTCTATACTGACTATTTTGTCTGTCAGCTCCTGTATCATTTTATTGAGATTCTTATCTTCCTTAGAATGGGTTTAAATGTTTTCCTTTATCTCAATTATCTTCATTCCTTACCATATTCTAAATTCTATTTCTGTCATTTCAGCCATCTCAACCTGGTTAAAAACCCTTGCTGAAGAATTAATGTGGTCATTAGAAGGAAGCAAGACACTCTGGCTTTTTGAGTTGTCAGAATTCTTGTGCTGGTTATTTCTCATATTTGTGGGCTCACGTTTCTTCAATCTTTGAAGTTGCTGACCTTTAGATGGTTTTTTTAATTTTCTTTTATTTGATGACCTTGAGGATTTGATTGTAGGTTCAGTTGACTGGCTTCATTTCTGGAAGATTTTAGGTGGGCAAGGCTCAGCAGGTGACTCCTGGACTATGTGCTCTAATTCTGGGGGACTTATATAGAGCCCTGGCTTTGTTCTCTGGCTCCTGGAGATTAGAAGCCTGCTGTACTGGAGGGCCTGAGGTATTGACAGACCACTGGGCACAACACTGCAATGAGTGGTGTCAGCTAAAGCACTTTGTAGGGCAGTGGCAGTGGGATTTGTCCTCGTTTGTAAATAACAGCAGCAGTGGCAATGGCAGTGTGGTGGGGTACACATATATCAGCTGCAGCAGGGTGCTGGCAGGCACTGGGGTGCCAGCCTCTTTGCAGGTGTTCACAGCAACAGTGGAAGCAGTACAGCTTGGGGGGACAGGGCATCCCTTCTGGCAACTGTGCACACTTTTGCGCTGGTTGTGGTGTTAGCAGGGGGGCAGGGTGCTGGTGGGAATAGGACTGTGTGTGCCCTCTGTGCATTCATGCTGGTGGTGATGGATACTCAGGTTGGGGGCAAGTCTGCTGTTTTTGTGCCTAGTTTCATGCCAGGAGCAGTGTCAGTGCAGGGGTGGGGCACTGGTGGGGCTGGCAGGCTCTGTGTCTGTCAATGCTCCAGTGACAATGGCAGGAAGGTGGTATGTTAGTCAGGGTTCTCTAAAGAGAGACAGACAGACAGACAGACAGACAGAGAGGAGTTTATTAAGTATTAACTCACATGATCACAAGGTCCCACAATAGGCCATCTGCAGGCTGAGAAGCAAGGAGAGCCAGTCTGAGTGCCAAACCTGAAGAGCTTGCAGTTCAGTGTTCAAGGGCAGGAAGCATCCAGCATGGGAGAAAGATGTAGGTTGGGAGGCTAGGCCAGTCCCTCTTTTCACATTTTTCTGCGTACTTATGTTCTAGCCATGCTGGTAGCTGATAAGATGGTGCCCACCCAGATTGTGGGTGGGTCTGCCTTTCCCAGCCCACTGACTCAAATGTTAATTTCCTTTGGCAACACCCTCACAGACACACCCAGGATCAATACTTTCTATCCTTCAATCCAATCAAGTTGACACTCAGTATTAACCATCCCAGGTGGGTTGAATGGGAACAGGGCACACTCACACCAGCAGCAGTGACACAGCAGGGTGTACATGGACATGTACTGGCAGAGAAAGAAGGCAAGGTCCACCCAGGCATGCATGTGCCGGCAAAGCAATGGGCGTGGCTGGCCGTGGGTGAACGTGTTCAGGCAAAGCACCATGGGGAAGTGCGGTGGGGGGTGGGCACAGGTGGGCTGATGTGTGTCCAGTGGGTGCAGCTCTGCTGGAGTACTCTGCCGGTCATGGGTGGTCCTCCAGTGCAACAGCTATGACACGGGCCCCCAGGGGGTGCCTGGGGGCTCCAATTCAAGCAGACACAGCCAAGCTTCTGGGCCCCGGAGAGGCCAGCAGGCCAAGGGGTGCTCAGGTGGGACTGGCCCCATCTCATGGGCAAGACCACTCTGCAGAATTCAGGTCCAACAGTTATCCTAAGGGCTAAAGTCTCCTTTGGGAGCCAGTAGAACTGAGGGGCATGGGCATCCCTGGCTGTGCTCCACTATAGACACTCCCACACCAAACCCTCTGGGCTCTGCACTGGCTGGAGTTCTGGCCCTACCACTTTTCAAAGCAGCTCTCCCCACCACCCCCTGTGGTCATCAAGAGGTCTCCTCCTGCCGGGATTCCAGAGGCCTGTGGAGAGGGTGGGTTGCTCCTTGCCTGTTCAACTCACCCTTTTGGCAGGAATCACTGGGGGCCAGGAATGACAACCAATGTATGATAGCCCCGTGCAGCATTTCCAGCTTCCTCCTGCTTCAGCCCAGCATTTGCGTCTTCCCTCTGTCCACTCTCGATGCCTTCCCTCTGAAGATCTGCTAGGAGTGTGCCAGTCTTCCCAATGTTCTGGTCCCTCTGCGGGAGATGTTCCTCCTGGCTGCACCTAGTTGGCCATCTTAGAGCAGGAACGAGCCTTTCTTTTAACCTAATATATATATATAATATATATATAATAAAAATATATATTATATATATTATTAAATATATATATATATATATATTTTTTTTTTAGAGATGGAGTTTTGCTCTTGTCACCCAGGCTGGAGTGCAGTGGCGCGATCTCAGCTTACTGCAAACTCTACCTCCTGGGTTCAAGCAATTCTCTGCCTCAGCCTCCCGAGTAGCTGGGTTACAGGCACCCGCCATCACGCCCAGCTAATTTTTGTATTTTTAGTAGAGATGGGGTTTCACCATGTTGGCCAGGCTGGTCTTGAACTTCTGACCCCATGATCCACCTGCCTCAACCTCCCAAAGTGCTGGGATGACAAGCGTGAGCCACCACGCCCAGCCGACTTAATATATGTTTTTACTACATGTTCACTTATTATAAGATTTCTGTTCTCTGATAGACTCCTTGAGGATAGAAACTATGTTTATCTTACTGATTCCTTTAGGGTAAGCTTCTAGCAAAGTGCCTGGCACATAGTAGGTGCTCAATAAGTATTAATATTAGTTTGACAGATAATTCCTTTGCAAAACCAATCATAGAATTAGTGTGTAACCAAATGTGGTCAAAGTCCACAGACATAGGCAATAAATTTTAAATTCATTATTAATTAATTTTTAAATTGTCTGAATTTTTGCTGAAGTGTGTATTAATTATATTTATATAATAGAAACATTTTTTAAACTTTTTACCATTCTCTGTGTTATAAAAGTAGTTAAAAAATGAGAGTACAATAAATCCTTGGTTGTATTAGGGCACTGCTTTAAAAATGTGCTCTGCTAGATATGTTAAGGTACAAAGTGACTATTTAGAAAACTTGATTATTAGAAACAATTTCTAATTGAAAGCAAAGAGATAATGCTTCTTTGCAATATAAAAACATATGCTTTCTGCCCTTTCACTCCAGATTCGTAATGATATACAGAGTCTCTCTCCTCCTGGTGGGTCTGCTTTCAGAAAGAGCTTGAACTCTCTTCTTCATAAGCCACCTTGGTGCACCTGAAGGGCTGGGAACATCTTAAATCAGAATTCAAAAGGCTGGAGGAATTGCACGATAAATGTACAAACAAAACCCGGTGGGCCTAGATTTGTTACAGTCTCCCCATTTCCTCCACCCCACGTAAAATTTTGTGGTTCTTGTAAACGAGCTGCCTCACCTCAACTCATTTTGTTCTTAAGCCTCCCTTATCTATCCCCCCTCCCTTTACCTACCCACACCCACATAGACACACACACTCGCACAACTTCTGATTCCCAGACATATCAGAAACTGTTCTGCTTTGTAAGTGATTCTTTAATGCCTGGTTCCAGCCTCATGAATAGAACTAATAGCTAAATTTCCTAAATCTTTCTACCAGGAGCCAGATCCCTTTCTAGAGACTCAGTCCCTGAAACCTCCTCCAAGAGGCAACCCCCACCAATTCCAGCTTTAGAATTGCCGCATGTACAGGACATGAGCCCTCTCATTATGGAATTGTGCTTAGAAGGCTTTCAACCTATATATTTCCTTAGATTTTCTGACCTAAATTACAGAGAAGAAATAATTTCTTTTCTTAAACTCCTGAGTGACAAGATACATTTTGTATTAGGAGATTAATCAATATTCATTTAAGAATTAATTAGCCTATAACAGCTAACATTTCTTAAAAGCTTACTATGTACTGAATGGCTTATAGAAATTGTCATATATAACCCCCACTACATGCCTGTGTATTACTATTATCCCTATTTAGCACATTATTATTTAACAAACCTTGGCATAGGGTGATTGAGTAACTTGCCCAAGGTCACACAGCTAGGAATTGGCAAAGTTGGGATTCAAACCGAGACCTTTGGACTCGGGCCCATGACCCTAACCACATCCAAAAGAATGAATGAAAAGTACATTTAGCCACACTGTCCCATACCTGGATCCTCACTTCTATGACATCCTGGATTGACCTCCCACCCTCCAGAAAGATCACCTCAACTCAGCAAAGAAGTCTTTTGTGATGGAGAGTACATCCCCACGTTTCTAATCCAAGGTCTAGAACTTATATCAAAGGTGAAACTGGCCTCTCACATTGTTTTCTGCGTTGGACAGAAGTGGAAAATAACAGATGATTGTCAGCACATACTTGAAAGCAAATGCCATATACTTCCAGGACACATCCAAAAATCTTACAATGTTTAGTTGTTTTCGTCTGTGTGTGAGTCTGAATACACAGTATTATATTTCAGTGAGCCTCTTGCTATAGGATGTACCTGATCTCTAATGCCCACTCTCTTCCCAGCATAACCAGTCCTGATACCATCCTAATAGCATTCCTAGTATAAAAGTCCATGGGCCCTGTGGGAGCCTACAATAGGCAGGTAACCAGGTCCTGAAGACCCAGGCATGAGTGTCCCTCATTCATGTGGGACTTTCTCATGGGAATCCATCTCTTACTCTTCTCTGCTGCACCAAAGCCTGATTATTCTTCCCTTTCCCTGTTGCCCTTTGCCCACCCTTCTTCTCCTTTTTTTCTTGCAATCTAAGGGTCAGATTATTACGAGGTTTTGTAGTTTTGTCATAAAAATGTGATTCAAATTTGCTTCAAGAGCTGGCTAATTGTTTTCATAAAATAACTTAATCCACATCCTTTTCAGATTCTAAATCAGAAAATAAATCATAAGCCATTTTCAGATAAAAGGCAAAATCTAAGCTGCCAGGACTGTCACCCATAGAGATTTGTGTGTCGCCACTTGGTTTAGTGGAAAAAGCTCAGGGCTAGAAATTCAAATGCTGGTTCTTCTGCCTGCCAGTAAATGACATTAACCTAAGCCTCAGTTTCCTCTGAGTAAAATGAGCATAAAAGCCACATCACAGAGTGATGTCGAGGATTAAATGGGACTGAAAGAAAAAAATCTCTTTAAGTGCTCCTATCACACAGTGCCACATAAGCACCACAGGAGAAGGAGCTGTTAGTACTTATGTGTTCTAAATCCTTTAAAAAAATTATCAGATTTGGAGAATAGTTAAACTACATATTGTACAAGATTTAGTAGCCCTTCAAAAGTTTCAAAGATTTTGTTTAATTTATAAGAAAAGTTTGTTTTTATATAATCTCTTTTTAGGATTTCATTTTAGGTGAAATGTGGTAGTCTCATGCAAAGCACCTAGTAAAGGTTTAAATAATTTTGTAAGCTTTTTGTAATTATATTAGCTTTTTGTATTTTCTAACTTATTAATAGAGGGAAATAGAAGTACATTCTTTTGATTGCTGAAGAAGAGAAACTTTTTCAATAAAATTATCAAGAAAATAGCCAATTTCCTCTTTTCTAGGATATCCATTTTTATTGAATGATCCCAGTGCTTAGTCAAGCCATAAATGGATATTTTACTGAATTTGAGCCTCAGCTGCTTTAGGGAGCCAGTCTGCAATCTCGAATCTCAACCAAGAGGTCATTTGATCTTAGAGCTGCTTGTGTGTGATTATTTTCAACCTATTAGAATGCTCTTTTACTTAGAAATTAAATTATCTTTTTTTATGTTTTAATCCATATTCACCATCATTCCTCCCAATCTCCTAGTTCCCCTAAAACTCTCTTATCCCCCATTCCTACCAAACTATAAAATGGAATGTAGTAATTTGTGAACATGAAGATGCCTAACGTTTACTTTCCCATCCTACACGGTTGCCAGTATTTAACATTCCACTATTAGCCTTTTTTTAATTTGTAAGATTCAAAGTTCCGTGAGTGCAGAGACAATATCAGCTTCTAATGCTACCGTACATATACGGCATGCTTACCACAGTGCTTCACACTCAGTAGGTGCTCAATGAAGGTTTGCTGAATGAAGGGAAAGCTTTTAGCCTTCTTTCATTTAATCACGCAGATACCTTCAGAAACACAGAGTCTGCAGATCCATCAAATGTACCTTAACTGACTCAAAGTATTTAAATGCCACCATGTACCACAACCGTGCTATCTCCTTCCCATAATGCACTTAGCAGCTACGATGAAATTTGTTTTTCTGATGCTTTTCTGATAGCAGGTTTCACATGCAGGGAGGGAGAGGATGTGTGTGGGACATGGGACATCTTGGGAGGGAGAACCATACAAGGGAAAACCAAGAATAAGAACAGCTTTCTTTTACCAAGTCTTAACTAGGTGGCAGAACTATCTCATTTGACATTCATGCCAGCATTTTGAGGTTATTTCCATTTGTCAGATAAGGAAACTAAGGCTTATGGATGTTAAGGAACCCTCAAGGTCATACAGCTAATAGGTGGCAAGGCTATACTTTGAAATGGTTTTCTGACCCCAGATCCTTGTCTCCGGCCACAGTGCTTCTGGTGTTTACTTCCCCCAAGGGACAGAGGGCTCCCTAGACAAGGTGAAATGGGGGTAGAAGCACGGAAGAGTGTGAACTGCTGGTGCCATGAGACCAGAACCTCATCCACCGCATAACGCTGTTCAGAGCAGGCTCTGTTCAGGCAGAGAGGTAATTAATAGTCACAGAGTTTAATTATCCAGTTTCACTCTTTCTAACTAAAAGTCATTTGGGATCTACTGAGGATATTAGACAACATGTTCACTCTTAGGGGCTCATAACTATACTGTGGAATTCATGCAGGAAATAGCACAGGTCCTGAGATTTAGAACTATTTTGGCAAATACATATTAGCTATAATATGAGAACTACGTGACCCCCACCTTTGAGGTTAACTCCGCTGCTTACTTCAGTGGTTTCCTAGTTTTCTAAGAAAGCAACGGACAAATGCTGGAACGCTATCTGTGTGTAGGGTAGCACTCACAAGATGTCCCACGCTGTCCACATAGGTGCTGAGGCTTTAAACCAGGCCAAAAAATGACTGCATTAAGAAGTGGACGCCAGAAGCAGAGAGGCCTTTCTGCCTAGTGAGATGCAGACATACTGAGACGTGAAGCCAGCTAGGCTTCTGGGTCTGGTGGGGACTTGGAGAACTTTTCTGTCTAGCTAGAGGATTGTAAACACACCAATCAGCACTCTGTGTCTAGCTAAAGGTTTGTAAATGCACCAATCAGCACTCTGTAAAAACGCACCAATCAGTGCTCTGTGTCTAGCTAAAGGTTTGTAAATGCGCCAATCAGCACTCTAAAAATGCACCAACCAGTGCTCTGTGTCTAGCTAAAGGTTTGTAAATGCACCAATCACCACTCTGTAAAAACGCACCAATCAGTGCTCTGTGTCTAGCTAAAGGTTTGTAAATGCACCAATCAGCACTCTGTAAAAATGCACCAACCAGTGCTCTGTGTCTAGCTAAAGGTTTGTAAACACACCAATCAGCACTTTGTAAAAACGGACCAATCAGCACTCTGTAAAATGGACCAATCAGCACTCTGTAAAATGGGCCAATCATCAGGATGTGGGTGGGGCCAAATAAGGGAATAAACACTGGCCACCCAAGTCAGCTGCGGAAACCCACTTGGGTCCCATTCTACCTGTGGAAGCTTTGTTCTTTTGCTCTTCACAATAAATCTTGCTGCTGCTCATTCTTTGGGTACGCACAACCTTTATGAGCTGTAAAACTCACCGCGAGGGTCTGAGGCTTCATTCCTGAAGTCAGCGAGACCACAAACCCACCGGGAGGAACAAACAAGTCTGGACATGCCACCTTTAAGAGCTGTAACACTCACTGCGAAGGTCTGCGGCTTCACTCCTGAAATCAGCGAGACCACGAACCCACTGGAAGGAAGAAACTCCAGACATGTCTGAACATCTGAAGGAACAAACTCTGGACACACCATCTTTAAGAACTGTAACACACACTTCAAGGGTCCATGGCTTTATTCTTGAAGTCAGCGAGACCAGGAACCCACCGGAAGGAATAAATTTCAGACACAATACCAGGCATGGTTAATGCACCAGTGGAGCTCATCCCAGGAGTTGGTTTGCATGAAAGTTTGAGTCTGAAGAACCAGAAAAAGGGAGTAGGCTTTTAGAGGAAGAGAAATAGACAGAATAACGTGGTATGTGCCGTGGGTTCTAGTTCCTCATCTCAGCCCCATGGATTCATTTCTGGCTCTGTAGAGAAAGGCAGAAAGAAAGTGTTTTCCTGAGGAACTCTGTGAGACAGAAGCCACACTGTTTGGGGCCTAGAGACAAAGTGTGACAGCTGGGAGGAAGAACTGGTCTCCCCGTGTCCGGTTGGACACAGCGGCATTCTCACTTTGAGGGCTCTAGGGAAAGCCTCTCTGCCCTCACACCCTGATGACTGGCTGCTTGAAGGGCCTCGAGGGGGCTCCATCCCAGGCAAGGGCATCAGTGCCCACAGGTGGGGAGTGGCATTGGGATGATGGTACTATTCAATGCCCTCAAAGGTGGCTGAAATAAACAGAGAAGCTGTAACAAAATCATATGAGGATATAGGGCGCGGAGTGAGCTCCCTTTAGATGCCTTTAAGACCCTCTGCAAATAAATAGGTGAGACTCCAGTGTTACTACAGATCCTGTGTTTGGAGGTAGTTGAAAGTGTTAGACACCTTGAATGATTACTCAAAATGTGACTCACAAAGGCTTGTATTGTCAGGAAAAAGAAATTTTATGCTACCAAAAATGAAATTTAAGAACCATGAACCCATTCATGACAAATAGTCTAGACTCTATTGCTTCTTTTTCACCTCTCT
The DNA here is from genome assembly GCF_000001405.40 of Homo sapiens. Taxonomy (NCBI): domain Eukaryota; kingdom Metazoa; phylum Chordata; class Mammalia; order Primates; family Hominidae; genus Homo; species Homo sapiens. The sequence continues at coordinate 93,021,812 of NC_000007.14, read as the reverse complement.
TATCAGTTCCCACTGGTTTTGTGTGGGCCTTTCTCCTTCTCTTTTTCCTGACTATCCACACTTCAGCTTTCCTTTATGATTGATGTATTGGACTTCTGCTGGTTTGACCTTTCCCTTTCTAACACAGTTGACCCTGCAGTAGCCCACCCCATCTCAGGGTAAGCACCTCTCAGAAGTAGCCTCATTGCTCCACCCAGCTTTACCTGCCTCTCAACACGTGGAGCCAGAGAGAGGAAAGCTCTTCTTGCACACAGAGGTTTAGTGAAAGCAGACAGTGAGTAACTAGACCCTCCACATAAATATAAAAAATAGACATCTGTAGTTTACATGATACATACTTCTAGGTTAAAGGACAGTATATTATAAACATAAATGGCATTTTTAGAGCAGCATATTGAAAATATTGTAATTCCTAACATTGTAAAACAAGACTGTTCGAAGTCTCCTAAAGGGAGAACTATCTGTGGGCTTATGACATGAAGCAGATAGAACAGCATCTGAGAAGGGCTTAAAAGTTTTTCTTCCTGATATTGCCATCAGTTCAATCATCACTTGAATAGTCTAAGAAGAGAAGGGTGTTTTCAAATCCTAAGGTGACACAGCATTTAGGAGGCACCATAGAAATGATGGGGTCCCTCAGAATTCACTCCAGTGACTGATGGTCAGTTATGTTCCAGGCATGTACATCATCTCATGGGTTGTCACATGTAACTTTATATCCCACTCAGGGTACAGTGGTTACGAGAACCAAGGTTTTTCCCTCCTACTTTCTTCCTGATGTCACTATTCCCATTACTGTTCAATACAATATTGTTTTAAAGTATTTGTGTAGTCTTCAAATGGAAAGAAATAAAATAAGCAAATAATCTCGCCCTTTTATCAAAAGAAACTTCAGCTCTGTAAAACTTAGATTGTGTGTTTTAAAGCACAACAGCCCAATGGAACAGAACAGAGCCCTCAGAAATAATACTACACATCTACAACCATCTGATCTTTGACAAACCAGACAAAAACAAAAAATGGGGAAACGATTCCCTATTTAATAAATGGTGCTGGGAAAACTGGCTAGCCATACTTAGAAAGCTGAAACTGGATCCCTTTCTTACAACTTATACAAAAATTAATTCAAGGTGAATTAAAGACTTAAATGTTAGACCTAAAACCATAAAAACCCTAGAAGAAAACCTAGGCAATACCATTCGGGACATAGGCATGGGCAAGTACTTCATGACTAAAACACCAAAAGCAATGGCAACAAAAGCCAAAATTGACAAATGGGATCTAATTAAACTAAAGAGCTTCTGCACAGCAAAAGAAACTATCACCAGAGGGAACAGGCAACCTACAGAATGGGAGAACATTTCTATAATCTACCCATCTGACAAAGGGCTAATATCTAGAATCTACAAAGAACTTAAACAAATCTACAAGAAAAAAATCAAACAACCCCAACCAAAAGTGGGTGAAGGATATGAACAGACCCTTCTCAAAAGAAGACATTTATGCAGCCAACAGACACATGAAAAAATGCTCATCATCACTGGCCATCAGAGAAATGCAAATCAAAACCACAATGAGATACCATCTCACACCAGTTAGAATGGCGATCATTAAAAAGTCAGGAAACAACAGGTGCTGGAGAGGATGTGGAGAAATGGGAACACTTTTACACTGTTGTTGGGACTATAAACTAGTTCAATCATTGTGGAAGACAGTGTGGCGATTCCTCAAGGATCTAGAACTAGAAATACCATTTGACCCAGCCATCCCATTACTGGGTATATACCCAAAGGATTATAAATCATGCTGCTATAAAGACACATGCACACGTATGTTTATTGTGGCACTATTCACAATAGCAAAGACTTGGAACCAACCCAAATGTCCATCAATGATAGACTGGATTAAGAAAATGTGGCACATATACACCATGGAATACTATGCAGCCATAAAAAAGAATGAGTTCACGTCATTTGTTGGGACATGGATGAAGCTGGAAACCATCATTCTGAGCAAACTATCGCAAGGACAGAAAACCAAACACCGCGTGTTCTCACTCATAGGTGGGAATTGAACAATGAGAACACTTGGGCACAGGTTGGGGAACATCACACACCGGGGCCTGTCGTGGGGTGGGGGGAGGAGGGAGGGATAGCATTAGGAGATATACCTAATGTAAATGACCAGTTAATGGGTGCAGTGCACCAACATGGCACATGTATACATGTGTAACAAACCTGCACGTTGTGCACATGTTACCTTAGAACTTAAAGTATTAAAAAAAAAAAAAAAAAGCACAATACCTACTAACAGCAGCATGGGCCCCTGAATGAGTCCAGAGGTGCGTTGGTATTTGCATTTTAACACACTCCACAAGTGATTCTTAACACACTGAAATTCAAGAACTGCCCCCAGAATATTCTAATTTACTATTAAAATATGAGAAAATGCTCCACAAACACTATTATTATGTTCCTTGTATAATCTTGGAGGTTGAAATGAACAAATCAGGGCATTTGTTTTTTGTTTCTGGGGTTTTGTTTTTTTGTTTTACCTTGTTTTTGAAAAAGAGTGAAAGATATGTAAATAATTCAAGAAGAAATCACGTATGATAAAGATCTAAAGAAATGAGTTATACATTTTTTTCCCAATCGGGGATTAATATGATAGGGCTCACACATTTTCACAACTGGATTAGGCCTATTCTGTGGCATCATCCAATTAAAATTTGTGAGGGAAAGGATTACTTTGTTGGAAAATCAAACCAAAACAGCTTCCAAATATACGTACTTGCCGTCAGACATAATGCATAAAACACTATTTAGGCAAATTCACCAATGGACACTGTGTACTATAACTTTTTTTTCAGTAAAGCCTCTTTGGACTAGATCAGCTCATAGCAGTTTGAAATGGAATGCCCAAACATTGGAACAGCTGTGCTATAAGTAAAATATCTTGTTACATTTTTGTTAACCAACCAACTATTCAGAATGTCTTGTCAGTGTGTCACACAAACATATAAAGTCCTGTAAAACTACTCAGAATCTACTAAAATCCAATAAACAGAAGTGGATACTTCCTTAAAGATGGTTCCCATTCAATCCTGAAGCACTTCCTAACATCCTTTGCTCAGTTTTGCAGAGTAAATCAGCTCTTTGTATATTTTTTGTTTTAACACTGGGCTACAGCTAGCCTCAGAAGCCTCTTGAAGCCCCCTGTGATGGCCTGGACTGTCCCTGAGTCCCACCAGATCTCAGACCTTTCAGTTTTCCTCTAGAAAACAGTCTTATTACCCCATTTCAAGTCCAAAAGATTTAGGTTGCTCTCTTAGAAGGCTCCTAGGAAGACGTATGACTACCCAGGTAACTCAGTCTAGTCGTGAGACTTCCTGGGTAAAAGACCCTGAATGCACAGTCTATTAGTCAAGCCAGATCTAGTCCCTTCTTTTCAGTCTTGAGGTAACTGTAACCCAGTGCAGAAATCCCTAACAAGGGCTTTGCAGACAGGCTTCACTGATTCCATAACATGCTTGAGATTATGTGTGAAGACTTCATATGGAAGTGTATATATGCATTTCCCTAAGGAGGTTTCTACAACTTTCTACAGTTTCTCAAAAGGGCCTTTGACATTTAAGATTATGACATTCTCATTGAAGGGGTGAATGCAATAGATTTAGAATTTCTCCCTTGTATTTATTGGCCTCCTTCATACTTTGAACATTCACTTCTTTGTGTCATGTGTACTACCTGTGTACTGAGAAAAAAGTAAGCAGCTTCCCTTTTGTAGCAGGAATTGGCTTCTCCTGCTAGTAACAGAGACCGTGTCACAGTGGCTCAAACAAATGAGGAATTTATTCTTTCTTGTAAAAGAAATCTGAGAAAAGACAATTCAGTCGTTATGTGGCCAAGAAGATACCATTAGAGATACAGGCTTCTATCTTTTCTGCTCCAACATCCTTAGCACTTAGCTTTGTGTCTTATGATGACAAGAGAGCTGCCATCTGTCTGTTTTTCTTAAAAGGAAATTTCCTAGACTTTCCACCAAATAAATTTGACTTTACATCCTATTCGCCAGAACTTAACAGCAAGGAAGGTTGAGAAATAAAAACTTTAGATGGGCAACTTATGTCCCCCACCTCACCCTCCAAAAAATCAGGCTTTTTTTTACTAAAGAAGAAAGAGAAAATATATTCAGTAGGCAACTAGGAATCTTGTATTTTTTAGATGGAAACAGACGTCAATGAAGCAATTTTCTGCTTAGAATTTTTTGGGCATTCTATCTGTTGCCACACACCACTCAGTGAAGAAGGGAGGACTTCCTTCCTGCCACTGTTCTGTTTTTCTCAGTCCTTGGGGGGAATATGATCTAAGACCCTGTCTGTCATCAAAGAATTCCTTTGCTTTTCTTCCCTCACTGTGGCTACACTCAGTCCTTCCTTGGATTTACCTTGAGCCTTCCTGGTAAGCTGAGTTCATTTTATTGAAGCTCAGCTCAGCCTCAGCTCATAGCATGGGTGGGAATCCTGAACTCCGTATGTCTTTCCATATTCTGTCTCACTTAGTATGATTTACATGGTGTACCAGAGGGCTGCTTTCCTGTCTTTTGTGAGAAAAACACCCAGAACCCCATTTGTTTTTCTTCCCCTTGAAGGATTCTGATTTATTACCCAGAATGAGTTCTCAAGATGACATCAGCCTGTCCTTGAGAGCACGGTGCATGTGTGCTCCAGTAGTCAGTTGGGGCAGGACTGTTCTAAAGCCAAATACCTCTGTATCCTCGAGCAAATCATCCTGTTCACTAAGCCACCGTTTTCCCATAAGTAAAATGACAGTGATGGTATCTACTCTAACGATAGAGAGGTGAAGCTTTTGCACCTGAAAGGTAGTATTTTCTCCTAGCAGTTAATCCTTATAACTCCTTTAGCATGAAGACAGCATTCCCATTTGAGTGCAGGCAGCCTGTTGCTGTGATATTTGCACCAGAGAGTTTGACTTGCAGTGTCTAGAAGAGAGGGAGGCTTTGGGTTTCGCAGGAGAAAATGGGAAAAGGCCAGGCCCCAATCCACTGGGTGAAGGACAGCATTCTGACTTCCGCGGATGGTCCATTGTGTCCCCCCAGACAAGAAGCTGATGTCTGAAGGATGCACCCTGAGGCTATATGAGAGGTACAGTCAGGGGAGGAAATGGTACCCCTGGGAATCGATGTGAACATCCTCATGACAAACTGGGGAATGGCTTCCATCCAGAACAGTTTCCCTATTTGGTTTTCTGCCTTGAGAACTATATGTATAAAAGTCATCAACAATGCATGGAAGAGGGCTCTTTAAAAAACAATCAGGCTGAAAGTCCCTAGATGCTGCGGGCCTAACAGGCTCTCTCTTCTGCCTGCCAGAGAACACAAGCCCTGTCTGACTTCCTGTGAAGCTAGTCAGGGCAGAACATCTTTTCTCCGGATCCTCTTCTCAGCAGCAGCCACAGCAGTAAATCTTCAGAGAGGCCTCATTAAGCAAGCTCCTTTTTGAACTCCCCCCACCCTCCAGACCTCTTGCAACCACCACTGCCATCCTAGCATGTTATTATTTTTCCCTCCTAAGCTAGCATTTTCCTCACACCCAGCACCCAGGCCTCCCCACACAGCTCTCGCTTTCCTTAACAGACTCTTCAGCTGGAATCTCTCCAAAGGGTGTGTTCGTGCAATCAAAAACTTCCCTTTTTGTTTTATCACATCATTAAACATATCAGATAAGGCCCAGCAAAGGGAAGGGGGAGGGAGGGAGAGAAGAAAGGAAAAACGAAGGGAGAGAAAGCCCTTTTGGGGTTGGTTGATGGAGGATGGGGGGGTAGGTAAAGGGGGCACAGGAAGGAGGAAGAAGAAATCTTCACATCAGCATTTAGGACCATGCAGGCTCAGCAAACACAGACATACAGGTATCTGGTGCAGCCTCTCCCCATCTATCCCTAGCCCCTTCTCAGGAAGCTGCACAGCATTCAGGCCTATAGCAAATGACTGTCCCCAAGTAGAAAAGAACATATAAAAGAAATCAGACACAAGATACAGTGAGACACAGGACACCAGGACATTAAATAGTTAATTTTTAGCAAAACCAGATTGCATTTCCATCATGTGCAAGCAGTCAGCTGCTATTGTAGGTCACCAAGATACAACGCATTATTTCTACAGTTTGTGGAAAACATTAGGCAGCTGTAATAAAGTCAATGGTATTTCCTTCCTTACTGAAACATGACTTCAGTAAATCCCCCATTTAAATTGTTTTCCCTTTCTAAACATTTCTCTCCATCTGCACAATAAGTCAATAAAAGAAATCAAAAGTTAAAATGCCTAATGAAATTTTATCAGGCATGAAATGGTATTTAAACCAGAGTTGCCACCCGGGCTTAGATGGGTGAAAACTGACCCGAACTTGAGGGGATATAAAAAGCAGGGGGAGGGTAACAGCAAATTTCAGTGGCCTTTATGTATTGCAGCCACTGGGAAAAAAAAAATCATTCCAAGGAGGCATTCCATAAAACCAAGACTCTCTGAGCAGTTAAGATTTTTACAGGAGGTACATCATTTCTGTAAACCTCTGCATTCTTTTAGGCCACCATTCTTTTTTCTTTCTTTACTTCTTTGCACTGACATGCTTATTTTGAGATCAGCCTTCATCTGTGTACCTTTGTCATGATCCCAGGAAAAGTGGCAGGAAGAAAGCCTGAGAACATTTTTAAGAAGAAGAAACAGATGGGAAAGGCAGGGGACTTAATTCTTAATCTCTCTTAGAGAAAAGCATTGGATATTCCATGCAGACTCAGACAGAGTTTTAAATCAATGGGCGTGGAGAGAAAGCAATCTAGTATAAAATTGCTTATTTTAATAATTATTTTCTGCACCATCTTTGAGTCATAATAGACATATCATTTTTATAGGAGTCTGAAAAGGAGCCATTCAACATGTATGTGGATATTTTCCAGCCTTATCAATTTAAAATGTTAAACTTCTTTAGAAAAAAGTCCCAGAGTCCTCCCTCACACAGGCCATCCATGGAAATAAAGAAGCATTATGTCTAAGAAGGGACATCAGAGTCAGATCCTCTAATTGGGGGACATATTCAGCACTTCCAGAAAACTTCCTGGTTCTGTTTGTAACCAGACGAGTGTGTTTCAAAGTGATTGGGCTTACTGATTGTCTTGCCAAGAAGGAAGTTGTTGTCAAGCCTGCTAAGCAGGAAGAAGGCCTCTGTCATATACTGGATCTTGTTCATTTCTAATGGCTCTGGAAATCAGCATGGGAGGGTGGTTTTCCCACAGTATGTTCTACTCCACTGTTCATTAAAAAGTCAGCTATGGGAGTGCAGATTGCAGAAGAAAGGCCTTGCCTCCATTCAGAAACTGGCCAACAAGTATACAGGAAAGTATGTTTTTAAGTTGTGGCCAGCATCAGGGAACTACAATTGCAAACAGATCTTACTAGTGCCCACCCAACCTGATGATGTTAAAATTCCCTCAATCAGTCAAAGTGATACAATTTGCAAACATTTGCACAGCTATCAGGGCCTCTCTAGGCATTTTTACATCACTAAAGAAAACTGGGTCTGCAAATCTAGGAAACGACATGTTTACTTTTATTTTTTTTAATATGACTTTCTGTAAAACAAAACAATGGGCACTAACTTTTCCAACTTTTGCCTCTTCCCATCATAGCCCCAGAAATCTCCTAGTGTTAGAGATTCTATGACACTCAAACAGACAATGTGCTTCCAACAATGTATTTGTTGATAATATTTGGGGGGACAGATGACTGGAAAGAAAAATATGTGTAAATATTTGAAACAGGCACACACAACTCCAGGGATGAGACGCATTTGAGATTTGCAGATACACACCAGTCTCCCATGTTTAACAGCCCATCCACAAAACCCTAAGCAAGGCTAACCATGTCCTATCTGCACCAGACCAGATGTGTGCAGAATACCCGAGCAATGACTGACTGCTATGTGATTGAAGGAAGGATTGAAAACTTAAACTGAAATTCAAGAGGGGGATAGACAAGCCTGGCATAGGGAAATTCTGATGTAGGGAAATAGTTTTTGGACAGATGTGTCATGCAAACTGTAAGTCAACACAGTAGAGTCAGAAACAAAACCAAGCTGGATAACCATTGGAAACAAAAGGATAATGTTTAGATGTGTGCCTCTTAGAAAAGACTGCTGCTCACAAACCAGCTATTTTGATCACACATAGAAACCCCACTGGATACAGCTGGACAGAGCCAGGTCTTGTGGGCTGGATACTTACATAACATTAAGGCCCTTTTTAAGAAAACATTTTAAAAAATACAAATACAAAACTATGTGCCATATGCCTATAGTTCCAGCTACTCCAGGGGCTAAAGTAGGAAGACCACTTGAGCCTAGGACTCCAAGTTCAGCCTGGGTGACATAGATAGCAAGACCCTTATGTCTTAAAAAAACTTATGTATAGATGTGAAGATTTATTTAGAAGGGGCCTGTGCAAGTGAAGCACCCTGAGGTTTAAGCTTCATTAGTTTCCCAATACATTCACCACTGGTGATAATACTTTTTCCTATAAAATGAACGCTGCATGAATACAGTTTGGGTCAGTTGTGCAATGCTTAGAAAAGCTATAGCTCTACAGTGAGAAGGCTTGTTACAGTTTTACAAAGATTCATGTCACATTAGCATTTCCATATCATAAGGTTAACTCTTCATCGTGTCTTTCCAACCTGCAGGGTGGACACTTAATCTTGAGTTTGAGCCCCAACAGATGTCATAATCTCAGGATTATCTTGATTAGAAGGGCATGTAGATTTGTGCTATTGAGTGCCAGATCAGATCCTCTGAGCATACAAAGAGATAGTCAGAAGTTTTGCACAGAGGCTTTCACAAGATTCTGTTATTCTTCTGTGTTCTCCCTACCTCTAATCTTTATATTGGGATTTATAGTATGATCTAAGTATTCACGTGCTACTGGTACAACTTGCTGTCAATGAGTAACGTAAGTTGGTTCAAAATCAACTTCAAACAATTTGGAGAACTGGTCATTTTAAGCATTAAGGTATATTACAATTATTTTTAAAAGAATGTGAATGCAAAAACCAGTCTAATAATTATTAAAAATGATAAATTTACAGATACCATTAGAAGTAACTGATCCTTTATTGATGTAGACCTCCAACATGATTAAAGAGGATGAAAAAATTTTTGAAGCAAAGCTTTGTCAAAGCAAATATCTTACCTCATGGTAGATATAGTCCAGTGTTATTAGTCCTAATTTTTAAATTTATCTCAGATGAGATCTTCGGGATTTGGATCCAATATTCCTTTCTCTATTCTCAGATGTGCTGTGTTTTACTGATTGATTCCAGGAAGGAAATATAGTTAATTGCTCTTAAGCCATTAAATTCCCCTTTATCTTTGTGACTGTCAATAGCATTAGCAGCAAAAGAATGTACTCCCTCTTAATCCGATAGAAGTATGAAAATCTTGATATTGCAACTGCCTTTTGATATCAATATTCTACATGGCATTTTATTAAGTGGAAAGTGGCAAATATGCTCTTTTTTTTTTTTTTTTTGAGAAAATTAGACTAAAGGTGTTCCAGTCCCAGAGGGGCTTTGAGCTGAGTGGACACAGAAACAGTGAATCACCCTTCTGCATAAAGCTGGCTGCCTGGAAGTTTAACCCCCAAAACAAGTGTGGATGGTAGTCATAACAATGCTATCAGAATACCTTTCTCTTCCAAAAGGAATTGGGGCATTGTTCCAGGGTGGACATTACACATTTCCCACATGGCAGCAGGAATTCTAAAATTGTTGAAGTTGCTATGGTGGTCACCAATCAAGAAATACAAAATATATACAGTTTTTAATTAATTCAAACATTTATTGAAAGTTTATATAGATACAGGCATATAGAAATGCTCTTGTGGAACTTAAAATTTATATTATGTGTATATATTCATGTATTTACTTCTCACATACTTAGCACGTAGACACCACACCGGACACACACACATGCATACACGATTGGTCATTTCCAGCAACTTTGACAATCTACTACAAAGCCAAGAACTTCTGAGTCATGTAGAAGGCAAACCATGTCAGAATGTTTAATGAGAAAAAATCATGAGCTCATAGAAGAAGCCTTTGGGCCTCACACAAAACTCATGTGCTCTTACTTTTCTCACAATTCCAGCAAGCTTCGATTATCTCATATCTAACAGAGCTGTTGAATAATCTCATTAGCTCATCGCAAAATAAAAGGCGTACCAACAGCAGGGGAGGGGAGTTATTAAGTGAATACAGTAAGTAAAAAGCACAATAATTAGGGACTATTTAATGCAGGGGCAAACAACAGTATACCCTCAGTAGTCCCTGAGTTACTAGGTGAGATTAAATTATGTTCAGCATTATCCATCACCAAGACAAGGAAGTGTTAATTCGTTTTGTTAAAAAGGTTGAATTTTTAAGCTGATACTTTGTTCTATTCCTTCAATAATATTGATAACAAATGAGCTGTTATTATGCAAAGATACTTGTTACTCACCATTAAACTCATATTTATCACATTTTGCCCTTTTCTAGTTTGGGGAGAGAAAATGATAGATTGGACAATATAGACTGGTAAGTGTGATATAAGGCACACTTCTTCCAATTTGAAAATACCCTAGCAAATGAACTGTTTCTGTCCAAAATATTCCTTTGGTGATAGAAAGGAGGGTCCCTGCATCCAAAAAACAAGGATAAAGCTCTGTCTTCAGCAGAAATCTCCTTGATTTGTGACTTTATAGTTTGCATGACTAACGTTCTTGATTTCTCATTTTTATAGATTGAATTGGTGAAAGTGATTTTATGTTCCCTGGAATTCCCAACACTTAAAAAGTAAGCTTTTTGCATTTCAAATGCAACCTATACAAACTGTTTTGTTTACAAAGCCTCTGAGGTGAGAAGCCAGAGTTCCAAGCATCAGGAAACCATGGGTGAGCAAGATAATTTGACAGTCAGAAAAGTCGAGCTGTTCAATAATGCTACCACTTGCCTTCCATGGAGATCTGGGATTAGTGACTTCCATGACGAATTACACACATCATGGACGTGAAGTGATCTGTTTAAGGGGTTCATTTGCAAGAGCACATGAAAGCAAGAACTTATAATGAACTCTTGGAATACTTAAAGCTTAGTAGTAACAGATATAAATTACTGCAGGAAGCAAAGGATGCTTCCAGAATATGTACAAGTGTTCAGAGTCCTTTTCTGGGAAAAAGAAATATCCCCTCCTAGTATTTCCAAATTTGAACACTCTAGGAGAGTATACTAAACGTTAGAGGTTTTTCACCATTCGATTTTAAGATTTAGTAAAAAGCTACACTAATTAAGTCAATGTGGTGTTTGCATAAGGACAAACATAGAAGAGAATCAAAAATAGACCCACACAGCCGTTTGATTTTCAACAATGATGTCAAGGTTATTAAATGGGGAATAGAGTTGTTTCAATAAATGGTATTGGACAAATGGGTATACATATGAAAAAAATGTGAACCTTTGCCACCATATTTAAAAAATTAACTCCATATGGCTCACAGAATTAAGCATAAGTGCTAAAATGATAAAATATGTAGAAAAAAGGAAAAGGAGAAAATCTTGGTTACCTTGAGTTAGTCAAAGATTTCTTAGGACACTGAAATCATGAATCAAAAAGAAAAAAATGGTAAATTAGACTTCATTAAATTAAAAGCTTCTGCACTTTCAAAGATCTGAAAGACAATGTTAAGAAAATTAAAAAGCAAGACACAAGGTGGGAAAAATATTTACAAATCACATATCTGATGAAGGGCTTGTATCCAGGATATATAAAAGAACTCTCAAAACTCATAAGAAAGCAAACCACACAATTTTTAAAAAATAGGCAAAAGGTTTGAATAGATAACTTACAAAAGAAGATACACAGATGGCAAATAAGCACAAGAAAAGATGCTCAATGTCATTACTTATTAGAGAAATGCAAGTTGAAGCCATCATATGATACACGCATCAGAGTGGCTAATTTATTACACCTATCAGAGTGGCTAATTTAAAAGAATGACAATAGCAAATGTTGATTGGGATGCAGAGCACCTGAAATTCTCATACACTGCTGGTGGAAATGTAAAATGGTACTATCACATTGAGAAAAAGTTTAGCAGCTAGTTACACATTAAACAAAAAATTACCATACAATGTAGCAATTCCATTTCTAAGTATTTACCCACAAAAAATAAAAACATATGTCTGCACAAAAACCTATATGAAATTTTTATCTTTTATTTCTACAGTTCTATTCACAGTCACCAAAAGCTGGAAACAACCTAAATGGTCAAAAAGGATGAATAGATAAACTGTGGTACATTCATACAATAGAATACTACCCAGTAACAAAAAGTAACAAACTAATGATATGCACAACTGTGGGTTAATTTCAAGAGTATTATGCTGAAAGAAAAGAGCCTTACTCAAAAGGCTTCCTAAAATGATTTCATGCTCCTCATCTTTGCCATTTTAACCCAATTATAATTGCAGCATAACACTAAGGCATATTGTAGAATACAACGCTTTTGTGTGTATTTTCTATTTGATTAATCTCACAGGGTTTTTTTTTTCTACTTAACTGAACTACTTATCAATAGAAGTTAAAGAGTTTCTCTTGAAAGTCAGCCAGAAGCTTTTTACCAACAGATGTTCAGTGCTTGAAAGATAGTTCTCAGTGACAATTGGCCAGTTCAAACAGCCTCTCCACACTTTGAAAATGCCCTGAATTCGACTTTATTACTGAGTCTAATCCCATTGAGGAAGGAGTCTAGGGACAACAGACTGGTTTGGAAGAAAAGAATTTGAGAATTGATAGCTAGTGGCAGATTGGAAATTCATAATTAAGAGCAGAAAATCTGGTATGTTATCGGTACTTTGTCACCCCACCAAATCATCAGTGAACTAACCATGTCTAGTTAACGTGTTGTGGAATTTAACTCGTTTCTGTAATGCATCTATGTAGTCTTTCCTTGAAATGAGAGAAGAGAAAAAATAAAGGTTGCCTTCAAGAATTGCCATGCATTGATTTCAAGGATAGTAGAACTTGCTTCTCTGAATTATTTTGAGGATTAAATAATGTATTAAACTATCCTGTACAATACTGACCATTTAATATATGTTCAGCAAATGTTGATTTCTCCTCACTTCTTTTATACAAAGGAGAATATTTTTAGAATTGGAAAGACCTCAGAGGTTACCTGGTCTAGTGTTTTAATTTTACAAATGAGAAAACTAGGTTCGATGAGATTAAGGGGTTGCTCAAACTCACTCAGAGTTAGAAGTCCAACTTCCAGTTCACATGAATCCTTTCCCTAAAGCACCTGCTTTCAACTGTGGTGTCTCAAGCAGCAGAGCTGGAGGGAGAACTGAGGGACCAAATAATTTTATCCTAAATAAACCATATTTAGGGATCACGGACTCTTGCTTCTGGGCTTCTTGCTCTGTGTTTATTTTGGCTATTTTCAATTATTTTTTGCTTCCAAGAATGGGAGATAATGGGAAGCCTTTCTCTTTAAGGACTAGGATTGCTAAATTTAGCAAATAAATTACAAAGTGCACAATTAGATTTGAACCTCAGATAAAAAACACTTAATTTTTTAGTTTCATGAAGTATTTGGAATATACCTATGCTGACAACTTCTCTGTGTTCTCTGTTAGGGAACAATCAAATATGTGGTTCTCAACCATGACTTTTTTTTTTTTTTTTTTTTGCTCTAAAGCAAATAAGCAGTAGCAAAATGGTCACTACCTCCATGCATGAGTCTTGGCTGCCTGACAGTTTCTGCCCATGACCATTTTCCCTCACCTGGGATCTGGATAACTGTAATGGACAGCCTCTGTGGCGAAGTCTGTGCCTCATGGAGATGGTGATGGGGCAGGGCAAAGTGGATGATGTACCTAAGTGGCATTGGGAGGACATGTTTTGCCAAACAGGAAGTAGACAATTCTACCATCCAGCAGACCACGGTTCAAATCCCTTTCCCTCTTTCTAGCTGTATGGCTGTATGACTTTCAGCAAGTTGCTTAAACTACCCCCAACCACCCACTCATCCTCAGACTCTGCTTTTTCCTTCATAAAATAGGTCTTTATTTCCTTCACAAACCTTAAGTTTTTGTGAAGATTGAATATAATGAGAAGAAAGTGCTGGTCATTGTACCTAGAATATAACTAGAGTCTTATAAATTATCATTTCTAAAATTGTACACACGTTTTACATACTTGTCTGTGTATTTGCTGTAGTTCACACTAAAAACTGTTTAAACAAAAGAGCGTGGGCAAACTTGCAAGGGTCTTGAATGGCAGAACGTGGAGTTTGAAGACTAAATTTTATCCTCCAGTTATGAGGGAACTGTTGGTATCTGCACAATGTTTGAGACCCAGAGTCAGACAACTTCCTCCCAAGTTTCCCCTAAAAACTATCTGGGAAATTTTGTAGAACATCATTTCCTGAAGGATCACGAACACATTCACCAACACAGGATGAACTGACCTGCCTTCTCCAGGTTTCTTCCGCTAGAACCTTGACAGAGTAGGCAAGAAGTTATGACTCTTCCCACCCATCTACTTTGTGCTGTATGAGAAATGGATAAACATTGGACATAACCAGGTAGTAATTCCTGCTCCATCACTAAGTCATTAGTAGAATGGCCTTGTACAAATTAATCAATTTTTCTGAGACTTTATACAGTAGGGATAATACCACTAAGCCAGCAGATTCTTAGAATTAGAAGAGTCTAATGCAGTGCCTGGTTATAGGAGCTGCTCAATAATCTGTGTGTTTATTTCCTACCTCTTTGGAACACTACACTGAAGTTTTATGAATCATAGGTCCCTAGGGTGCTCTTTTTCACACATATGAGAAAACTGAGTTCCAGTTGTTCTGATCAGCTTTGTTTAGAAAGTGGCTTACTGAAATATCTTAGACAGTTGACACCTGAATGCCTCAGATTCTTATTCAACCTTCCCCTTAGTGCTCTGTATGCACGTCCTAGCTTCACCAGTCGCCTTGCTTATGGCTTTAGAACTTGCAGATGTGTGTTATCTGCTCCTGCTGTTTGGTCAACTTCAAGTGCTTCTAATCTTTTTATAACTAGTTCTGTTGGCTGTTATCTAGATTCCTTGTTGCGCCTTGTCTATTGTAAAGTTTTAACAGATCTCCACCCACTTCCCTGGCAATTAGAAGGGTAATACAATTATTTAACAATGTGCTAGAACCTTCTATTGGGTATGCTTCTTAATCAGACCTTTTCGCACTTTGCCTTGTGTGTATGTGAAAAATATTACCTGAAGGTTTTTCTTAAAGTTGGATTATTATACTATTTCTTGAACCAAATACCAAGTAAGGGCCCAGTGCACTCTTCTGCCACTAACCCATCCCTCCCCAGCCTTAGGAGATAGCTATTGTTTCCTTTAATCTAGAAAGACGAATCTGACCTATTACTTTAGTTTTGTAAGTCTGTTTTTGTCATTTTCTCATATAATTTTACCACTCTTTCTATTCTGGTCCTTATCTGTGTGGCTCTATAGTCACCGAAATCACCAGCTCTGTATTTAATCACAGGATAATGTGGGGTATTAGAAAAAGCAATGGACTTTGAATCAAGAGAGGTCAGTTTTCATCTAGGCCCTGCCACTAACCAGCTATATGACCTTGTCAAGACAGTTCACTTCTCTGGGCTTCAGGTTCCTCACCTGCAAAATATCTAGAGAACACACTTCCCCCTTTGGTTTTGTGATCTGAGCACCTCCACCTCTGAAACACCTGTCCTTATGTCTATGGGCTTCCCATACATTCCTGACCACCTAGCAAAGAACAGCTTTTACTTTCTCTCAATATTTCACTCTTAGTTTTTGTCAAATGTCCTCTCATATGCTTTCTCACTAGCCCCAAGCAATTCAGCTTAATCCCAGCATAAAGAAACCAATCATTACTGAATATTAGATATAGGTCCACTAATCTAACTAGAGTTAGACCCAGTAACTATTGTCTATGTAATTTAAAAAATGTTAGTCATGTAATTTTTTCTTAAACCATAAAAATATAATTTATAATTTAAAAATGAAATTGTACATTTCTTGGCCAACTTGTGAAGTTGTCTGGAATTTTTTTTTCTTCAGAACCCAATTCATAAAAAAGTGGGATGCAGCTACTCAGGAGGCTGAGGCAGGAGAATCACTTGAACCCGGGAGGCGGAGGTTGCAGTGAGCCAAGATCATGCCATTGCACTGCAGCCTGGGCAATAGGGCAAGACTCTATCTCAAAAAAAATAAATAAATAAAAAGTGGGCTTATGAGGAGGGTAATGAAGGTGGTAAGCTATAACCCATATTTATTAGCCTCATTCTATGCAGAACATATTAAAAGGTCAATAACCAGATGTATTGCATTCTTAGAAAGGCGAAAATAAATTCCAAATGAGAACTTAAAGAATCACTCAATCTTTCTTGAGACTTGCAAAGTTCTTTTCTCCTCAGAGCCCAAGACTCTCCCTGGTTGCCACTTAGAGTAGAGCCAATTCCCTATAGCAACAGAGCTCAGGGTTTCCAGGAAACTCCCTTAGGGTCTGAGCAGGAGCCTTAAGATAGGAGCTACCTACAACTTGGGTCCAAATCCTTGTATTATCAGACACCTACAGCCAGGGTGAGGACCAGTTAACCATCGTGACATGCAGAAAGCAGCCCAGAGAATTTTACTGACCACATGCTACACCCAGCTCTGGACTAACAGTCTCCTTCCTACAGTTATGCAGTAGGAACAAAAAAACACCTTCACTTGAGGATGAACCTATGTTAAAACTGAAGAGGCTAAGTGTGTCTTTTGCGGTGTTTTCCTTTGAATGTAAACTCTGTAAACTGAGGGGGTGGTGCTGTAGACACTGCTTGTTGCACATTTGCTCTCCTCTCCAGCCCCACTTTCTTGGCTGGCTTCAAGTTCCGCATCTCACTAGACCACCCCATAGTTCTTGAGTGGCCATCCTATCTTCAGCCTCACTCTACCTGCTGTCCACCTTCCATATCATGGTCAGATTACTCTTGCCAAAACTCTATTCTGACTGGGATTTCCCTATAGAAAGCCTTTCAGTCACTCCTGATCATCCTCAAGATACAGTCAAAGTTCTTCACCATTTCCTGCCCAATGTCCTCCATAATCTTGACTCTTCTTGTTTACTTTTGTTAAAAGGAAAACTTCGGCCAAATTACATTCAAAGGAGTTTAATTGAGCAATGAACAATTGGCAAATCGGGCAGACCCCAGAATCACAGCAGATTCAGAGACTCCAGGGATGCCTCGTGGTGAGAACAAATTTATAGATGAAAAAAAGCAAGTGACGTACTGGATTGGTTACAGGCTGACGTTTGCCTTGTTTGAGCACAGTTTGAACACTCAGCAGTCTATAAGTGGTTGAAGTATGGCCGCTGGGATCCGCCAAGACTCAGCTATTGTTACAGGCACATACTTCTAAGTTAGGTTTTAAATCTGGTCTGTGTATTAAGGTAGGATACAGTTTGTCCACAAGGACTCAAATATAGAAGTATGGAGTCCTTCTCAGGCCATGTTTAGTTTGCTTTAACACCTTGCTTCACTCTACACTCTTCTCCTTCTTCTTTCATTGTAAACTCCAGCAGTGCCGAACTTTTCACATATCTCTGAGCACAATGTGCTACCTCAAGCCTCTAGAGTACCCTTCTCTTAGACCCTTACCCGTTTGTCCCCTAAGTTAATTCACACTCAACCCATCCAATAGATACATGGGTAGATAAAACTCTTATGCCACCTTCAGAACCCAATTCATAAAAAGTTAACAGGAAAAGTAGTATTTTTTTGTCATTTGTACTTGCCACATTTTATTACTAATGATATCCAAGATTTTTATTTGAATAACTTAACCTTTAGCTATTTTTAATTTTTATATAATTTTAAATAATCAATACATAAGATGTTTGCCTAAGAAGAATCATTTGTTTGTCATATATGGAGCAAAACTTTTTCTTCAGACTTACTGTCTTTTAATACCCTGTTTCAGTGAATAGACTTCCACTTCACTGGGAAGAATTTGCCTGTAGTTAAATTCTACCAAAGTTCTATTGTTGATTTTGGATGCTTTCAATTATTGATTAAGATAGTAATTAAGAATTATTTTCTACTTTTGAATAAATTTATATTCATTCATTTAACAAGAACAACAATAACAAAACCAAATTGATAAGTCACAGCCCGGAATTTAGAGCGGGTGCTCAATAAAACATTTCCAAGTGGAATGTTGTGCACCAGAATCCAGGTGATGAAGTTACAATCTTTCTATTTTCCTTTAAGTTTCTTCCTTCTGACTTTAATGGTTTCAGAGGCCTCAGATACTAGATGCAAGAAAAAACAAAAAAAAGCTAAGCAGGTAGCATTTTATCATCATTCTTAGTTTCTTTCAGAAGGTGCCTGTCCCATCATAAAGTGACCCAAGAAAACCAACCAAACCCCAAGTCTTCTCCATTCCAGAAGGACACAAGAAAGAACTACTTGGAACCTTTCCTGAGCTGGCCAGGCAAATGACAGGAACAGTTTACTTGTTCTCTTGAGTGCACTTGGTCCAGAACTCCTAAAGCATTGCCTACTAACACCTGTTCCCACACCTGCTGTGATAGATCTGGCCTCTTGAGCATATACCGGGTTAGTCTTAGGCTAATTTAGCCAGATTTTTTAGGGCCATTTCCATCCCAAGCACTACCAAGACCTTGGTCCTGCATTGGTTCATGACTGGTGCCCAGACTGGTGTGGAGAGAAGTAAAATACTGGCCACTGGCTTCGGTTTTCTGAGAGGTAATCCATATACCCTGTAATTTACCCATGTAAAGTATATAATTCAGCAGTTTTTAGTATATTTACAGAAAGATACAACTATCACCATCAATTTTATCAACCTCACTATTTCTCCATCCTCCCTTTGCTACTCACCCAAAGCCCAAGCAAATATCAATTCATTTTCTATTTCTATAGATTTCTCCATCATGGACTTTCATATAAATGGAATCATACAATATGTAGTCTTTTGTGAATTGCTTTCATTTAGTATGTTTTTGAGGTTCATCTATGTTGTATTACAAATATGTTCTATTACGTATGAAGGAATGAATGTTCTTCATTCCTTCTTATGGCTGAATAGTATTCATTGTATGTTAATATCATAAATATCAGTTGATGAATATTTGAGTTGTTTCTACTTTTTGGCCATTATGAATATGCTGCTATGAAAATCCAGGTACAATATTTCTTGCTTTTAGCATAGATACTTTTTCTAGCAAAGCAGATTGCTTCTTCTGCTAAACAAAAAATCAATTTGAGATATACACTATGGGAGAGAATTATTTTGAAATATCTTTGGTGGCTATTAAATCAGACAACAAATATTTGTTAGTTGTTATCATGTGTCAAGTAGTGTTCTAGCAGGGGAGAGAACCAGATGCAGTTCCTATACTTAGGGAATTTATAGGCTTATGTGGGAACAGATAAAAAATGTGATTATGAAAGTGTAGAGTGATAATGCTTGGGACAGTACGGTAGTACAGAGAAGGAATACTTAGCAGGGGCAACAGATGTAAAATTGGAGAGGCAGAGAAATTAAAAGGTACTTTAATGGAATATGAGGTTTAAGTGGAGTCTTCACAGACTTGGGGAGAAAGGGAAGAAGGACATTACTAGCAGAGGTAGTCATTTATGCAAACAATTAGAAGTAAGAGAGAACAAGAATATATAAGGGAACTCCAAGAGGATCAATAACGCCAAAGAAATTTTTAGTAGGAAGTTAGTGTGGTAAGTAGATAGAGGCTGGATCATGGAATGCCTTGCATGCAATGCTGACAAATTTATATTTTATTCTGAAGACCATTTTTAATGGCCATTAAAAATGAAAAAAAAGGAACAGAACAAGATTTCAGTTTTCAAAATTCACCCTTGTGACCGTTGGAACAGATTAGAAGAGGTGAAACTGGATGCCAGAAGACTATTACAGTAGCACAAGCAAGGACTTACCAAAGCCAAAACCAAGGCAATGACAATAAGGATGGAGAGAAAAACAAATATTTCACAAACACTTAGAAAACACAACTCCAAAAATTGGGAGTGCAATTAAATGCGGAGTAAGCATAAGGAATAAAGATGGTGAGTAGGCAGGTAGAGATAACTGAAGATGCCACCATTTCTGGCTTCAGAAACTGAATGGTGGAGCCATTAAACCCCGAGATGGGAAATAAAGGAAGAAGAGATAGTTTGAGAGAGTGAAAAAATCATGTATGCAGAAGCCAAACTTGAGATGTCAGTGCATCAGCCAGAGATGTCTTATCAGCCACTGAATATAGCATTTTTAATCCACAATTTTTTTCCAGGTTGAAGATACATATTAAGGATTAATAGTTATATACATGGGAAGTTGGAGTCATAAATGAAAATGCACGTATCCATGAAAATTTATCAAGATTGGTAATAGGAGGGAGGAAGTTTGAGGACAGAATTTAGTAGAACATATAGCTTCTCGGCCTTTTGGCTAAGATCAAGTGAAGAGTTTAATAGAACACCAACACTGACATGGTACAAGGAGAAAGGAGACTTCAAGAAGGAGACTGAGAAAGAGTGTCTATCCAGAGAGGTAGGAGAGGAAAGAGTGTCAAGAAAGGCAAATGGTCAATAGTATCACACACAGCAGACAAGGTAATGGGATAAATAGGTTGGACATCCATTTTCCTTGGCATTTTAGAGTTGACTGAACTAGAAAACAGTCTCCACGGTGAGTTGGAGGGTGATGTCAGATAACAGTACACTAAGGAGTGAGGGAGAGAAAGTACAGGTTTTACTTTAAGAAGGTTGGCTGAGCAGGTGCAGAGGAAAGAGGGAAGAGAGATAAAGAGTGAAATTACACCAAAGGACAGTGTCTTATTTATATATAATTTTATTGCTTATTTTTATAGCTTTGTATGATTACAAAATTAATACATGGCAACTGGGAAAATGTTCGAGAGATTCAGAAAGCTATAGTAAAGATAGTAAAGAAAAGCCTCCTAGAATGCAGAACAAAGGAGATAACTATCATTAACAGTAGGAAGATAAGGTATTAGGTAATTGTTTTAAATATTAGTCAATGTGTTTTTCATTTCTAGGAATTCCATTTTACATTCTATGTCCACCTCTGCTCTTTCCCTATTTAAACTAGCTAAGTGTCATCCATTGTTCCAAAGGAGGGCAGTTACAGCAAAAATTCTGAGCGAAAGAAAAAGCCCACTCTCAATTTTGAGATTCAAAAATCTCAAAATCCTGAGCAGATACAAATCTTGAAATTTGGATAAATTTGGAGTCCTGAACAGAGGTAAATCTTTGAGAAAAAAGTTCTGAGTCTTAGGAGTTGAGGTTCTAAAAGACCCTAAATCTGAAGTTTGTGGTTTAGTGCACTTTTTCCTACATAAACATGTATCTGGAGCTGGGGCAAAGGCTCAGAAGCAGAAGGAAGCCAGAGTGATAGAGGCGGTAAATGTCCTGAGAAGGGATTGAGAACCCTTAGCCATCCTGAGCTGAGCTGTCCAGGAAAG
This sequence comes from Homo sapiens, assembly GCF_000001405.40. Classification (NCBI taxonomy): domain Eukaryota; kingdom Metazoa; phylum Chordata; class Mammalia; order Primates; family Hominidae; genus Homo; species Homo sapiens. Next base: position 93,000,162 of record NC_000007.14, on the reverse strand, counting down.
GGATAAGGAGCAACAGAGGTTCCCACCACCATCATGACTCCCCACTTTATCTCCAAACTATTTTGCTCTCATTCTCTGCTTTGTTCACTCTGCTTGGGCCAAACGGATCTCTTTGCTCTTACTCAAGCAGGTCAAGCATGCTTCATGCTTGAATAAGAGAGCAAATGTAGCTCTTTCCTCTACCTGGAATCCTCTTCCCCCACACATCTATGGCTGCTGCCCTCACCTCCTTCTGCTCTCTGCTCAAAGGTCGCCTGATCAGGATGAGTTTCCCTGATCAGCCTTGTTAAAGCAGCAACATCCCTTGCCCTAGCCTCCCTGTCCCCTTTTCTTAATTTGTATCCAAAACACTTACCCAATATACTACATACTTTACTTATTATTTTATTGTATGTCTGTACCCAACAGAAATTAAGCTTTATGAAGTCAGGATGTTCTTGCTGCTTCTGCTGTGATTTTACTGCTTTGTTCATTGCTGTATTTCTAGAAACTTAGAACAATGATTGACATATGATACACAATCAAAAATTGTTGATTGACTATGTGAATGAATGAACAGGCTGGCAACTGAGTATTGATATCCCCTTTCCTGGAAACAACATAAGCTCCCCTAAAAACCAGTTGCTTCTCTGCAGAGAAAGGAAAGGAGACAAGATTTATATTAACTGAGAATACTCTGAATTAGTTAAATTTAACCTGAATTGACTCAGAATAGGTTTATGTCACTAGGCAGAAAGGACATGTAAGAAATTAGGTTTAGCTATAGAAAAATAAAGAAAAAATACATTTGATTTACACATAACTTTGTGGCATGTGAGATTTGCCTGCTAAAAAGACACTAGCATTTGTATGTGTGTATTTAATTAAAGTTTATAAAAATTGAATCTGTATATGTCCCTCAACTGGCCCCTTTTGCCTAAAAGTGTGTCTCTTTCTATGTCAGTGGATACAGAGATTAATCCTATTCTTTTTTTACTGGACCTGTAGCATTCTGTTTGTATGAAGGCATACAAATATATTTATATTTAACAAAATCTATTTAACCAAACCTCTATTGACAGACATTTAGGTTGTTTCTTATGTTTTATTCTGTCTAGAAATACTTGAACATCTTAGAGAACATCTTAGTTTCCATGCAATAAACGCAAGATAGAACTCGTCAATGAGGAATGCAAATTTAAAATATTAAACAATATTGATACATTGTAGAAAAGGGAGATTTTTCCAAGGCAAGATTTGAGCATAGTTCTATGCTCAGGAGAAAGAGGTAACAGAGATAAAGAAGATAAAGATAAGCAGGAAGGAATCAAAGGTAAACAGGAAGGAATTAAAGACAGAGCAAGTCCATGTAAACAGGGAGGGACCAGGATCCAAGTTGTCAGTAGAGGAGCCAAACTCTTGCACAGGAGGACAGGGAGGCAGTTGCTTTAAGATTGAAGAGGAGAAAAAGACCAAGCAGAATCAGATAAGTCTGTAGGCAGAGAATTCCATATGATAGCTTCTTTTCCCTTTGAATAAGGAGATATGGCCAGGTTGAAATTTGAATCATGAATTTTTGCTGTGTGACTTTTTTGCAAAAATACTCCATAGTCAGATGAAAGACAGTGAAAAGGCAAATGGCTGGATTTATCCAGGGTTGAGTATTATTAGGGTAAGAGAAGCAAAAGACATTGGAAATGAAATGAAGTCATTGACCAGTGAGGGAGTCACTGAAAAATTGTATGATGAAATCCAGGTTAATTAAAGAAAGAAGTGAAGTGGGCATGGTGGCTCACGCTTGTAATCCCAACACTTTGGGAGGCCGAGGCGGGCAGATCGCTTGAGCCCATGAGTTTGAGAACAGCTTGGGCAACATGGCAAAACCGCTTCTCTAAAAAAAAAAAAGAAAGAAAGAAAAACACAAAACAAAACAAACAAATTAGCCGGGCATGGTGTCGGTACCTGTGGTCCCAGCTGCTTGGGAGACTGAGATGGGAGAATCACCTGAGCTCTAGAGGTCGAGGCTGCAGTGAGCCGTTCCTGTACCACTGCACTCAAGCCTGGGTGGCAAAGCAAGACCCTGTGAAAAAGAAAGAAAGGAAGGAAGGAAGGAAGGAAGGAAGGAAGGAAGGAAAGAAAGAAGGAAGAAAAAGAGAGAGAGAGAAGGAGGAAGGCAAGGAGGGAAGGAGGGAAGGAGGGAAGGGAGGAAGGAGGGAGGGAGGGAAGGAAGGAAGGAAGAAAGAAAAAGAGAGAAGGAGGAAGGCAAGGAGGGATGCAAGGAGGCAAGGAGTGAAGGAGGGAAGGAGGAAGGGAGGGAAGGAAGGAATGAAGGAAGGAAGGAAGGAAGGAAGGAATGAGGGAAGGAAAGGGGAAAAGAGAAAAAGAAAGGGAGTGAATCCAAAAAGGAGCCATAAGATTGAGAGGGAAGAAAGGCACAAGGAAATGGAGGACTTGAGATAGAATGGAGTGAGAAAGCATGGGAGTTGGAAAATGGGGAGTTCGAGTTAGAGGGTGGGATACTGCTGATGAAACTTTCAGATGAGGAGTGGTCCCGGACAAAGGTCAGTCCCGGGGTGTAACATTGCTGTGCCTGCCCTGCTTGGAGTCTAGTCCCACTATCTAGAAACCCACAGAGCAAAAACTTTCCTCCAAGTCCCCATTGCTCTGCCTCAGATGGAAGTCTTCCTCTTCCTTGGGTAACTGAGGGTAAGAAGATCCATTCCTTTCAAGGGAAGCTCCACCCATATCACAGGAGTGTGGAGTGGCCCTTTGTCTCTAGGACAAAATCAGAAAACAACAGTCCAGCATGATTGTATTTCCCAGATTCTGTGTTAATCAGCTTAAAATAAACACCAGATGCCGTACACAGTTTATGTAATGGAAAAGCTCAAGTGGAGCTTCAGCAGTCCTTGGCTGACTCCTTTGTTGATCTCTCCACCATCGTGCCCTGAAGATGAAAATCCATATTTTATCTACCATGTCCTGCATTTTCATTCCCAATCTTCAGTGAGCAACTGAGGTTGTGCATGCACACACACACACAAGCACACACACACCCTTCCACAAGAACAAACAACGGTTTTCAAACACAGCATGGTCTAAACCAGGGATCAGCAAACTTTTTCTGTCAAGGGTCAGATAGTAAGTATTTTTAACTTTGTGGGCCACATGTCTCCATTAAAACTCTGCAATTCTGTCCTTATACAAAAGCAGCCACAGACAATATGTCAGTGAATGTGCATGGCTGTGTTCCAATACAATTTTATTTATGAACACTAAATTGAATTTCACATAGTTTTCACATGGCATGACATATTCTTCTTTTTTTTCCAACCATTAAAAAATATAATAAACCATGCTTAGTTTGCAGGCAGTGCAAAAACAGGTGCTAGGCCAGATTTGCCCTATGCGTAGTTTGCACTGGTCTAAATTTATACGGTCATGCACCGCATAAAGAGCTTTCGATCAACAAAGGATTGCATATATGATGGTGGCTGCATAAGATTAAAATGGAGCTGAAAAATTCCTATTGCCCAGTGATATTGTAGCCATTGTAACATCATAATGCACACATCACTCACATGTTTGTGGTGATGGGTGATGCTGGGGTAAACAAACCTGCACTGTCAGTTGTATGAAAGTATAGCACATACAACTAGGTACAATACATAATACCTGATAATAAACAACTGTTACTTGTTTATGTCCTTAATATATTATACTTTTTGTTGTTTTACAGTATATTCCTTCTACTTATTTAAAAAAAATCAAATGCAAAACAACCTCAGGCAAGTCCTTCAGGAAGCATTCCCGAAGGCATTGTTATCACAGGAGACGACAGTTCTATGCATGTTATTGGCCCTGAGACTTTCCAGTGGGACAAGGTGTGGAGGTGGAAGACAGTGATAATCATAATCCTCAGCCTGTATAAGCCTAGGTTAATGTGTCTGTGTCTTAGTTTTTAACAAAAAAAGTTTAAAAAGCAAAAAAAAAAAAAAAAAAGTTAAATAGAATAAAGCTTAAGGATATTAAGGAATAAAATGTTTTTGTACAGCTACACAATGTATTTGCATTTTAAGCTAAGTGTTGTTACACAAAAAAGTGTTATTACAAAGGAAAGTAAAATATTTTTATAAATTTAGTGTAACCTAAGTGTACAGTATTTATAAAGTCTACAGTGGTGTGCAATAATGTCCCAGGCCTTCACATTCACTCACCACTCACTGATTCACCCAGAGCAACTTCCAGTCCTGCAAGCTCCATTCATGGTAAGTGTCCTATACAGGGGTAGTTTTTATCTTTTACACTATATTTCTACTGTACTTTTTCTACATTTAGATCTGTTTAAATATACAAATACCATTTTGTTACAGTTGTCTACAGTATTCAGTGCAGTTACCTGCTGTACAGCTTCACAGCATGGGAGCAGTAGGCTATATCATCTAGCATAGGTGTGCAGTAGTCTGTACCATCTAGGTTTGTGTAAGAACACTCTATGATGTTTGCATGATGATAAAATAGCCTGACGACATATTTTTCAGAGGTATCTTCATCGTTAAGTGACTTATGACTATACTTAGAAAAGAAAAGTGGCTGGGTGCTCTGGCTCACACCTGTAATCCTAGCACTTTGGGAGGCTGAGGCAGGAGGATCACTTGAGCCCAGGAGTTTGAGACCAGCCTGGGCAACATGGTGAAACCCAGTCGCTACAAAAATCACAAAAATTAGCCTGGTGTGGTCGTGCATGCCTATAGTTCCAGCTACTTGGGAGGCTGAGGTGGGAGGATCACCTGAGCCTGGGAAGTCAATGCTGCTGTGAGCCGGGATCATGCCACTGCACTCCAGCCTGGGTGACAGAGTGAGACTCTGCAAGAAAGAAAAGAAAAGAGAGAAGAGAAGAGAAAGAGAGAGAGAGAAAGAGAGGGAAGGGAAGGGATTTCAGTCTAAAGGAAACACTTTCTGTAGAGATGCAATGGTTTCCTAAATAGAGAAAAGTTTCATTACCTAGTTCATTCTATCTCCTTGGAGCCAAATTGTGTCAAACTTCCTCATTTTAAAGATTGCCTTTGCACTAGTTGGGAGAGGTTTCTCCAGAATAAAGTGACACTGTGCTTAAAAGATAAAACTTAAGTCTCCACCTCTTAAGATATAGAAAACTGTTTGCAGTTTACAAACGGATACTTTTTTTTCATTTCTTCACACAAAGGTACAAAAAGTAGTGGAGTCTGGTCTTAGTCAAGGTCACTTATCACATAGAAAGAACTTTACATTGTGGGAATGCCGGTGACACAGGCTGCTCCCTGAATGGAACTCAGATCTGATTTTATGTTCTTACTGCAAGAGCCATTTAGAATCCATTTTGCACTAGAAGGAGGGCTTAGCTAAATAAAATCTGAGGTCCCTTGCCACTCTAAGAGACTAATAATACCCTGGTATAGAAGTAAGTCTTCTACAACATCCATCTTTTAAAAATACAAGTTTAGAACAAGTTCACGTCATTGAATTTTTAAATTTATGACTCTGTCATTCTAAGGAATAATTGAATTTTGGTGACCAAAGAGACCTTATAGATGATCTTACCTGATGTTCCCCTAAACTGGCTATGCATCAGTACTTTAGAATAATATAGATCCCTGGGTCCCAACCCAGAACCAGATTCCAAGGAATTTCCGTTATTTAATAATGTCTTAGTATATTCTGGTTGCTATAACAAACCACCCTAGACTGGGTGGCTTATAAACAACAGAAATGTATTTCTTCCAGTTCTGGAGGGTGGGAAGTCCAGGTTCAAGGTGCTAATAGATTTGGCGTCTGCTGAGGGCCTACTTTCTCATAGATGGCCCCTTCTTATGGTGTCCTCTCAGTGAAAGGGCAGATCAGTCTCCCTGGGGCCTCCTTTATAAGGGCACTCATGCCATTCATGAGGGGTCCACCCTCATGACTTAATCACTTCCCAATGGTTCCACTTTCTGGAACCATCACATTAGAGGTTAAGATTTCAACATATTAATTTTAGTGGAACACAAACATTCGGATCATAGCATTTAATAACTAGACAAAATGTACCAGTTAAGGTCCAGTCAGGAAAACAGAAACTACATTAAGCCTTTTAGCAGACAAAATTTAATACTGATAACTGGTTACATACATGTTGGAAAATCAAAAGAGTAAAAAAAGAACACGGAAGGAGCCCAGAGATGACACTTGCAGGAAGCAGTTGCCAGGGAATTAAAGGGAAGGAGCTGGAGCTACCAGGACCTGGAAGCTCCAAGGAGGTTCCCCAGTGAGTTGATGCTCAGTCCCCTGAGAAAGAGGTACTGCTTAGCTGCTACAGAGGGGTGTGAAGTAGCGGGTTCCGAAAATGCCTAGAAGTAAGCAACTCATCCCAAATTCCGGGTAACACCCTCTCCCTCCATTTTCATCAGATAGCCCAGGCTCTGTTTCAACACCAATTGTACCAGTTCGCATCATAGTCCATCTTATAAATGACCACAAATCTTTTTAAAACTGGGCAGGAAAATATATCCTGCAAAACATTTTTATGCTTCACCATGCATCATATTTTTCAAGGTCCTTTGCCAAAAAGATATTTTTGAATTTCAGAATCAATCAGAGGTTACCTCTTTTCTATTCATGTTTTAAGACCTAAACCTTGCCTTCACATTTGGGCTATTGGGTTACTGGGGTATTTTCTTTTTCTTTCCTTTCTTCCTTCTTTTCCTCCCTTCCCCTCCCTTTCTTCTTGTTCTCCTTTTATTTATGGATTTTCCTTTTTGTTTTTAAATCAAAACCGTGTGTGTGTGTGTGTGTGTGTGTGTGTGTGTGTGTTGGAAATAGGAAGGGGTACGCTCTGTAAGGGGGTTTTAAGTATAAACTTTATTAAAAAAAACTTTAAAGTTTTTCTCTTTTAATGAAAGCCAAATGTTAGAAATAGTAATTAAAATGTTTACATTAAAGTGGATTGCTAGATCTACACTGTAGCCAAGCCTGGCAGCTTTTGATAAATTAAAATGAGCCATACAGGCTGATCTTTTTTTGCTAAAATTCCACAGTGTCCAGAAAGCAAATCTGCTCCACACACCACTCTTGTTTCAGATCTTAGGATAAACTAAGCAAACAAAATGCCTTCCAACCTAGCAAAATGCCCAGTGGATCTCAAGAAACTGGAAGTTATTATCACTGGGAAAGGATGGCTTTGGAGAGCAGGAATGTCAGAATTTTTATGTAAAGTTTGACCTGCGGCCTCCTTCATTATGGAAAACATTACTCTGTGCCATTCAGGTGAGGATTATGACACCTTGATCAGTCCCAGGCATCATGAATACATTTCAGAAAGTAAAAATGAAGGGGCGGGGAGGAAGCTTTCCTAATTTTCTCTAAATAGCCTTGTTTAAAAAGTTCTCACAGACCCCAAAAAGCACTTGTTTCATACCATCCCAAATGCATAAACCTTCTCTAGTCTGGAAACGTATCATTTGGAAAGTTTCCAGACCCTCTGGTGCCACAGATGTCTGGCAAAATATCTTTGGAGTCTGCATAGAATCCCTCCATGCAGTAATGTAGAGTAATGCCTTCTAAATGAAATAAAGGAATTGTCGGTGAGCAAATCTTGCTGTTGTTCTCCTCTATTTAAATCAGACTTTCTGACCAAAGAATAAGTCATTCCATGGTAACCCCAGAATTTGCAATATGTTTGGAAATACAAAGATTACCTGGGGAGCTTTGAAAAACACTGATGGCTCCAATCCATACCTAGAGAACTGCAAGGGGGCTGAGCATCAGTATTCATTGAGAGCATTCACATGCACTCCCTCCCAGTAATTCTAATGGACAGAGGGTTAAGAATTGCTGGCTGTTGAGGGATGTCTGGTTTTTAGACTCTGTATTTTAATTATTAAGGGATTTTCTTTATTGTAGTCCACTGACTTTAGCATCTCACTTGGCCAAATAGCCTTCCCTTTGTACAGCAGAGTCGGATGCTTGGGATTGTCGTTGTTAGGTGATCTGTAGGCCTACATGTCACTGCTGTGTCTATGGAGTGTTCTGAGATTCTCTAAGGGTAGCCAGGATTCTTCAAAAGAAAAGGTATTTAACTTGATTGCTTTGAAAATATTCAGTAAGTCTAGGTCTTAACGTACAAATAGTTCTCAAGGCCGTGTTGAGCACCTTAAAAATCTATCCTCGATGTATAACAAACAAAAATAGCCAAAGACTCGTTTTCAGATATTAGAGGATTACAGAGCTTTTTGCTCTTAGAGAAATTCAAGAATAGCACAGTTTCTAGTCTGGCGTGTGTGTGTGTGTGTGTGTGTGTGTGTGTGTGTGTGTGTGTGTGTGTGTGTGTGTGATTTACATTCTTTAAAAATAAAAATGAAAAAAATTGTATCAGCAATATCCATACCTTTATAAACATGAAAGAATAAATAGCCTTATGAAGGCTTACATACATATGGTATGTAAGATTCACACAAAAATAATCTGTGTTAATGCTTCTTCTGCAGGATTTGTGGCAGATTAGCTTTAAAAAAAAGCCTGCCAATATATTAATACTTAAACTGGGAAACAATTCTCTTCTGTCCACTCCACAGCGAAAAAAAAAAAAAACACAATCTTTTCAAATTCTACTTAAAAAGCTGTAAGAGAACAAAAACCCTAAGGAAAGTTGAGAGAAATAAAAAAAGCAATTTTTAAAATGAAACAAAAATGTTTTTTTTGTAAGACTACTACTAAACAAGAAACCCAGTCAAGTTCTTACCCCCTTGTCTGTGCATGTTTATTCCTGTGCACTAAATAAACTGGATTGTGCAATTGCAGGATAGAAAATCTTTCAACATTAAGTGACTTTTTTTCCAGGTGAGAATTGGGTTACATAATGAACAATTTTACAATAAATGTATATATTCTCTCTTATTCTGATTCTGTTTACTGTCTCCTACTTGTCCAAATGCAGAAGAGCTCTGGAATTGAACATAATATGGGGCGAAATCACCTTGTAAGTACCGTAATAATAGTCCAGGAGGAGTTATTTTCACTGATTTACTAAGAAATCAGCAATGTGTTCCTACCAACACATTAGCCCTCAGTTACCCTGTACTAAGAGAAAAAACAAAGCATGAGTGACGTGAAGCACATTGAAGTGAAGCAGTGCCAGAGGTAGAAAAGGAAAGGCAACAGTTGGCCAAGCACTTGGGAAGTTTTCTCTACGATTAGCTTTAATTTTTAATACTCAAATGTGACTGTATCTGTTTGCCATAACAGCTGTGCTTTACCCCCATAACAGGAAGAACAGCCAACACAAAACATCAACATCCACAGTAAATCTTATAATTCATATTGAAACTCAAGTCCAGTGTTGTACCTCATCATGAGGTTAATAGAAAATTGTTTTCACTGTATAATGAAGACGGCTATAGGTCAATATTTAATTATGGTGAAAAAGAACAAATTCTGGAGCCAGAAGGATATGGGTTCAATTTTGTTTTCACAAGTAACTATCTATTTTGCTCAAGTGACTTTAAGCAAATCATTTTACCCTCATGGCCCCACTTTCCTTCCCCGTAAAATGGGGACAATGATACCCATCTTGTAGAAATAAAATGCCCTTTGAAGGATTAGGGATAATATATGTAAACATATTTATTTGCTACTGCCTAGCACATAGTAGGTGCTCAATAAATACTAGGTGCTCAGTGAATAGTGGCTACTATTTTTTATTACTCCTGTGAAGAAATGTAGTCTGGTGCATGGCATATGAAAGGTACTCAATAAAATTAGTTGCTTCTAAAATACCTTTGTCTAAAATATCTACTTACATCTTTTTTGGTCTAACATTTAGACCTAAGTTAAACTCACAATTAACTGACAGTATAAACCAGATTAAAAGAAATACAAAATCATATAAATGTAAAAAATATACAATGAGACACGTTTAAGAGAACATTAAGTCTGATGAAACTGAGTTTATCTGGCAGGCCGACCTTGAAGACCAGCAAAGTAGAAGCAGATTTCCTGGGCTCTGTTTTCTCTTCCCAGCTGTTCCACTTGGTCTTGACATGAGACTAGGCAAAGGCAATCACCAAAACCAACATGCAGAGAAAAACTTCAATCTGGATCTAAAAGAGCCACATGAGGGAAATGCCAAAGGCTCAGTCAAGGGGTGGCCAAGAGCTGAGAACCAGGGAGAGTAATCACAGTGATTAGAAAGATGGAGAGGTTGAGATGGGAGGGCAGAGGAGGGGGCGAACAGAAAGAAATAGGGAGGAGGGGGACTGACTGAGGCTGCTGAAAGGCACCTTCTCATCCTGAAGGCCGTTTTGGGTTTTTTTTTGGAGATGGAGTTTTCGCTCTTGTTGCCCAGGCTGGAGTGCAGTGGTGCGATCTCGGCTCCCTGCAACCTCCCCTCCCGGATTCAAGCGATTCTCCTGCCTCAACCTCCCGAGTAGCTGGGACTACAGGCACGTTCCACCATGCCCAGCTAATTTTTGTATTTTTGGTAGAGACAGGGTTTCACCATGTTGGCCAGGCTGGTCTTGAACTCCTGACCTCAGCTGATCCGCCCACCTCGGCCTCCCAAAGTACTGGGATTACAAGCGTGAGCCACTGCGGCTGGCCATCCTGGAGGCCTTTTTAAAAAAAACTTGTCATGGTAAAATAAAACAAAAAACCCACACAAATTCATACCTTAATTAGTTATAAGGTGAACACCCAATAACTGCCACCCAGGTCAATAAATAAAAGTTTGTCAGCATCCCTGAAGCACCTCCATTAGCCTCATTCCAATCTCAGTGCCCTCCCTCTTCCCAGAAATAACCACAACCTAACTAGCACGGTAATCACTTCCTTCTGTTTCTTCACAGTATTATCACACACAGAGGCATCTTAGACACTCTGGTTAAGACTTGCCCTTAAAAAAAAGAAAAAAAGGACATGTCTCTTAAGTCACCTTTATTCTAGAGACTTCTCTATCCATGTCTTTTCTTTGCAATATATGTGTTGAAGAACTCAGGGCATTTGACCTGTAGAATTTCCCTCAGTCTGGATTTTGCTGAATGCACACTCATGCTACATTTCAACATTTCCTCTGTCTTTCGCAAATTGGCAACTGGATCCAGGGAATTGATCAGACTCAAATTCAACACCTTTGGCAAGTTCATAGGTGGTGGTATGTTCTTTCATTGGGAGGTACGAGATGTACCTCTTTATGTGATGTCAGTAGCCTTTGATGCTTGATGCCTAGATCCATTAATTGATTAGGGATTGAAGAATAATTATATTCTAATTCTATCATTTCTTTTACATTTACTGCCTAGAATACTTTTAAAAAGAAATACTCCTTTCCTTTACTTTAGATTACCCCCATACTATAATTCACACAGAAAAGACAGGATAATTGCTTTGTCTTTCCCTTTATTTTCCAGTTTTCAAAATAATGAATTGTTTCTCTATCATCCTCTGAAGATAACCGATCAGTTTATTTTTCCATATTACTATGAACTCATTAATGTAAACATAGTTGATGGCTCTGGCTGCTTTTATCAGACTGCTCCTGTGTGCACTGAGCTACTCCTCCAGTGTTTTAAGGACAATGACTGATAGCCGATGTCAGATAAGTACTTATTTCTTACCCCTTTGTTCATGGGTACCAATAGAAAGTTGGAGTTGGATAGAGTTGCTAATTCCTGATAATACTGCCTTGATAAAACAGTTTTATGAACCTGGCCTTTACATTTGTACTAAATAAAATGGCAACACTTCCAGATACTGGAAAACATAGAATATTGCAAATTCATTCTAAGTTGATTACTCTCCAAAAATATGCATAATTTCCAAGTTTACTGAAAACAAGTAAATAAACCTTACAGCCTGGGAGTCATGGAAAAATAAATACAAGGCATCCAACCAGCAGAGGGAGTGCAAGTTAACTGACAAATCCCATCTCCCAAGCTCTGTTTTCCTATTGGTGAGTCACTGATAATGTTTTGGAGAGAAGAAAGATACCAGGAACAAGACAGGACATATCTGTGCTACTTTGTTGTCTGTTAGAGGCAAACTACACTGAAAGAAAAATACAACAGTAAGGGAAAAGGTATTCTTTTGAATCTCATGGGAGCCTTCTTTGCTCAGAATTCAACACATTGTTGTCCACAACCTGACTGATAATCATCTTGGAAAATCAGGAAGGAAGAAAATATAATTATCTCACTTTTTACAAATTTGAAACAGAGACATCAAGCAGTGACATGAATTCCCTAAAGTCACATCAGTTGAAGGGCAGAGACTCCACTTAATGTTAAACCTCCGAATCCCATCCTGGTTTTCCACATAGGACCTTAGTCAATGACAACTTTTCAAAAGGGAGAAGAACTTACTAATGCACTTTGTAGCTTTTCTACTTGTCTTTACTTATAATGATCCAGTCAAGGCAAAAGCAAGAGCTTAGGAATTCAGAGCATCTGAGCACATCCTGATTTCTTTGCAAATTTTCCTCTGGGGTTGGTGCTTTAATTTTCAATCAGTCTGAGTCAATAACGTATGGTTGTCAGTGCCATTGTTGACTCTCACAATTTCTTGTCTCAACCTCACAGCTCCTAGAGCTTGGGGCCCGGGGTCAGTGGCAGGGGTTTTGATTTGGGGCTTTCTATGTTAGCATAATAGGGCAGGTCAATCTCTTGTGTATCAGTGAATTCTGGACTAAACTGATCTATCAAGTGTTATAGACAAATGAAGACCTTGAAGGATGGAAAGAGGCTCTCTGGAAGTCTCTCCTGCTTTTCCATTTCATTGAATCCACAGTCTGTTACTTGCTCCCCACAGAGATCCAAATACAGCTGAATAAGAAAGAAAAGTCACATGAGAAGAATGGAATGCTCTTATGATATTTTCAGGCTTCAGTGTATACTGAATTCCATTCACACAGTTCTGCAGGAGGTTTGGCCCATCTTCACAGAGCATGCCACAACTCTTGCTTATTGCAACAGATGTGTACATTTAAGGGCTGACAATAATTACAAGAAAAAAAACTGAGAGCTCTTTGCATAGGATCCTTGAAGTAGGCTTTCCCTTTTTCTTTTGTTGATACTGGTTTTAGAAAAATGATGATAAACCAGTGTTAGAAAGTTCAAATCTTTCCCAATTTGATGAACTTTTAATTGTGCACCTAATTCAAACCAATTTTAGAGATCATAGGGCTACTTCTAACTTTCCAAGAAGCTAATAAAAAGACTGAGAAAAGTTTTCAAACAATCCACCATTATTTTTAAAGAAATAAAATGAATATGGAGATAAATTTTTTATGAAAATAACAACCTTCCCTGGAGACACAGGCTAAAAAAATGAGAGCTTCCTGGTGGTGGCCAGAAATGAATGAGCTCTGTTCTTGCTTTCATTGAGTTTATAAAGAGTACAGTTGATCACTTGCATGTTCATTTGCCCTCATTCTGTGAACCTAATCTGTCTATCCCACAACAGACAGCAAGGCCTTCTAAAGCTTGTTCTTTCCAGGCCAGGAGGCTTCAACCCAGAGGCAAGTTTTCCAAAACATTCAGATCTACTAGGCTTATTTAGCTGAGTGGAGTACAGAGTTAATGAAGTCAAGGTCATTAATTCCATCTTAATCCAATCCAGCTAATCTTGTCCTCCTGTGTGTTCACTGAATATATCCCCACCAAATGGATCCCCACTGTCATTGTAAATCCATTAGTCACTAGGAGGAAAGGGTAGGTGGATATGGATGGAGACTGACTGACTGTCCTAAAATCCTGTCTCAACCATTTCATAGCTATGTAGATTTTAGTAGATTACTAAATTTTCTTGGTGCTGCCATTGTCTCACCATAAAATAGGGATAATTATAGCAACTACCTCATAGGGTTCATGTAAAGATTTAATGAAATTACCCATACAAAATGTCTAACACAATGGTAGACACATAGCAAAAATGAATTGTCAATTTTTACTTCAATTTGTTGTTGGTATTATTGCTGTTATTGTTATTCTTGCTATCGAATGACATCTCAAAGCACATGCCATCCATGGTGCTAATTTTATGTAAGTCTGTGTTGTAGCTAGGATTCCTTTAGCATTGGTACATATTGGCTGTAAAACTCATATCCACAGGTGCATAGATTCAAGAGCAGTCACTACATCTTCCTGAACATGCAGCAGAGCCAGAAAACCTATCTCAAAGCCACTTCACACATCACACACTTATATCAGTCATATGAGCAGCAAATAATTAATTGGTGCTCTGCTGTGACTTTTCATCTGCTGAGGATATCTTCTCTTCTAGTGATGAAGCCTAAACAGATATAATAACAGAGTAGGCCAGGCGTGGTGGCTCACACCTGTAATCCCAGCACTTTGGGAGGCCGAGGCAGGTGGATCATAAGGTCCAGAGATTGGGACCATCCAACTTGGTGAAACCCCATCTCTCCTAAAAGTACAAAAATTAGCTGGGCATGGTGGTATGTGCCTGTAGTCCCAGCTACTCGGGAGGCTGAAGCAGGGGAATTGCTTGAACCTGGAAGGCGGAGGTTGGAGTGAGCCGAGATCATGCCACTACACTCCAGCCTGGAGACAGAGTGAGATTCCATCTCTAAATAAACAAATAAATAAATAAATAAATAATAACAGAGGAGCATGGTACAATTCAAGACGTGAAAAATGTGGTCTCTTTTAATAAGTCCATAGTATAGCTATTTATTGATCTTTGCCTTTTGGGAGAAGAAGAGAGTTGGACTAGAAAAGTTTTGTTTTGTTTTGTTTTGTTTTTAAAATAAAACATGTTCCTGGCTTTACACTGCAGAAGTAAAAAAAGGTGATAAATGGTAGTTTAAAGAAATAACAATATGGGCCGGGCACGGTGGCTCACGCCTGTAATTCCGGCACTTTGGGAGGCCAAGGCAGGTGGATCACTTTAGGTCCAGAGTTCAAAACCAGACTGGCTAACATGGTGAAACCCCGTCTCTACTGAAAATACAAAAATTAGCCGGGTGTGTTGGCACACACCTGTAATCCCAGGTACTCGGGAGGCTGAGGTGGGAGAATCACTTGAACTCGGGAAGGGGAGGTTGCAGTGAGCTGAGATCACACCACTGCACTCCAGCCTGGGTGACAGAGCAAGACTCCGTCAAAAAAAAAAAAAAATAGAAGAAGAAGAAGTATCAATATGTATTTCAGATAATCCCCATACCAAATTTCAAGTGTTTATCTATACAATCTAAATGCAATCAATAATTATTTAGCCCTCTTTAGCTTGGATATGGAACCTAGCTAAGAAGTATATCTTAATATGAACAGAAAAAAGATTCCAATTACTTCTTTACATTTTAGGAAAAGCAATAACTAAAATGGAGCAGTAATTAATCTTATTTAAACCCCTGATCTCTGGACAACTCCTCTAATGATTCTGATTCAATAAGAATGAAGTAGGGCCCAGAAATCTCAGTTTTAACACTCATTCTGATGATTCTTATGATCTAATACATCAGAGACATTGGTCATCTTGTTTTTGCTTTTCCACCATCTCTTCCCTCTTCTAGTAAGAATACCTCAGTTTTCCTTTGAGAAACCACTTTTTCCCAACTCTCAGTCCCTGCGGGTGGGTCTGGCTGATTCTACCACCAGCTTCATGAGGAGCTGCTATGATCTGAATGTTTGTGTCCTCCCAAATTCATATGTGGCCACCTAATCTCCAGTGCAATAGTGTTAAAAGCTGGGAACCTCATGAGGTGGTTAGGTCATAAGGGCTCCACCTTCATGAATAGGATTAGTGCCCTTATAAAAGAAGCCTGAGGGAGCATGTTTGTCCCTTCTTCTGCTCAAGAACACAGCAAGAAAGAGCCATCTATGAAGCAGAGAGTAAGACCTCACCAGACACTGAGTCTGCAGGTGCCTAGATCTTGATCTTCCCAGCCTCCAAGATTGTGAGCAATTTCTGTTGCTTATAAGTTTCCCAGTCTGAGGTATTTTGTTATAGCAGCCCAAATGGACTAAGACCTATTGGGGGTCTTGATGCTAGATCTGTCCAGTCATTATAATCAAGCAGTCAGTATCTCTGGTCACATCGATTGATTCAGAGGTAAAAGCAAATCTCAATCCTGAGATGATTTGAAACCATCACAAAGAGGAGCTCTCTTTCCTCTGGGTTTGGAAAAATGTGTCCACCTGGAAAAAAAAAAAAAAAAAGACAATACAGAGGGGGAAACAAATGGAGAAACGTGAAAGAGAAAAAGCAGGAAAGGATCTATGTGACCTCGTTTGGAGTCTTAGATTCAAATGATTTTTTGTTTGTTTTCAGTAAAAACACAATTCCATGGTGTCAGCAATCGAAGAAACAAAATGGAAACACAACTCAAGGTTCACAAATTCAGATGGAAATGTAAAAGACTTAAGTTATATAACCCCTTAATGACTATTTTCTATGAGTTTATTAAATTGGCATAGGAAACTATGGTACTCAGATTATACAACATAAGAATAAATAGCCCAGCTTTTAGAGTTAACGGACTTGAACTTTAAAATTACTGTAATATATATTGAAAAAACAGATAACAAGATGAAGAACTTCACCATAGAACTAGAACTAATAGAAAAAATAGCACATGGAAATTACAGATTGAAAAGGTACAAAAATTGAAATCAAGGACACAATAGATTTAACTGCAAATTTAGTACAGCAGAAAAGAGGACTAGCGAACTGGAAGATAATCAGAAAATGTCTAGATCACAGGGATTTAAATAAGGAAAATACAGAAAATTGTGTATGAAATAAGCTGAAAAGATATAATGTATATATAATTAAAGAAGAAAAATAAAAAAGAAAGAGTATGAAGCAGAAGCAATATTTTAAGATAATGGCTAAATATTTTCTAAAACTGACAGGAAACATTAAGCCACAGATTCAAGAAGCACTGTAAATCCCAAGGAGGAGCAATACAAAGAAACCACACTTAAACACCTAATAGTTAAACTGATGAAAACCATAAAAACTGAGAAAATATTAAAAGCAGCTAGAGGAAAAGGACACACTACCTCCAAAGGAACAACATAAAATAATTGACTTCTCACAGAAATTATGGAGGTCAGGAGACAATGGAAAAATGATGCCAACAAATATAAATAAAGCGTAATAAATGAAGAGGGGCATCAACAAGAATGGTGCAGTAATGACCTATGAAAATATGCCCTTCCATAAAAGTAATAAAAACATTGGCAAAGTATCCAAATCAACTTTTAAGGACTCTAGAAATTAATCAAAGTCTTGCAATAATCCAATGAGGGCTTATCCAAGGAAAAATCGTTGAATCTTTTTAAGAACAGCAGTATCTGTGGCATTTTAATTTGCTTAATCCCATGCCCCTCTCCCTGATTCCACAATATCCTTAAAAACCAAAATCCCCACAATTATAGTGAAACCAGAAGCCTAGCAGCCATTGATGGTAGCAGAATAGAATCTGATCTCTCCAAAAGCACCATACTCAGAGAATTGTCATTATCTATGTTGGTCTGTTAGTTTCCTGGAAACTCCATTAGGAGGTCTTGTCTTTATTTGACCTGAAACCTCACTTAATGTGAGCATCCTTTTCCACAACATATTTGTCAAACAATTCAGCAACAATCATTTAACATTGCAGCTGCCTGAGGCAGTGCTAACAGTTGTGGCAAAAAAAAAAAAAAAAAAAAAAAAAAAAAAAAAAAAAAGAAAAGAAAAAAAAGCAGCAGCTGAGAAGGAAGATAAATATATGGCAAATAAACACTTGAAAAGATACTTAACATCATTTTATTGGGAAATTCTGTATTAAAACAATAAAATGCCACTACTTATTATATTAGAATAGCTAAAATTCAATAAACTGACAATACCAAATGTTAATGAGGTTGCAGAGCAACAGGAATGCTCATTCATTGCTGCTGGGAATGCAAAAAGATGTAGCTACTTTGGAAGACAGTTTGGAAGTTTCTTACATCTTACCATATGATCCAATAATAGCACTCCTAGGTATTTACCCAATGATATGAAGAATTATGTCCACACTAGAACCTGCACGTGAACGTTTACATCAGCTTTATTTATAATCACAAAACACTGGAAACAACCAAGATGAATAGATAAGTGAATGGATAACCATACAATAGAATGTTATTCAGCAATAAAAAAGAAATAAGCTATCACCCATGAGAAGACGTGCATATTCCTAAGTGAAAGAAACCAGTCTGAAATGTCTACGTTTGTATGATTCCAATTATATAACATTCTGGAAAAGACTTAAACATAAAGACAGTTTTAAAAGTCATGGTTTCCAGGGATTTGGGGGTGGGGTGGTAAGGGATGAATAGATTAAACACAGAGAAATTTTAGGATGGGAAAACTATTCTGTATAATACTGTAATGGTGGATACATGACATTATGCATTTGTCAAATCCCAAGTGACTTTACAGTACAAAGAATGAGCCTTAATATATACAAATTATTTTAAAAAATCATTTAGGAGATTGGGGGAATTCCAGGAAAAAATACAAACTGTGAATAGAGAATCTAACTGTATTACAAATGCATGACATAACCTCACTGAAATGAGCATGCAAAAAAGGTGCTCGCCTAAGTAGCTTCAGAGTCTACACAACTGAAGGTAAAAGGAACTGCACATAAGCACTGTAGTCAATTAATTACAATAAAAAATGAAAGAAAAAATAAGAAAGAAAAAAGAGATAGAACTGGAGAAGGAGATGGCCATTGGGTGTTTAGAAAAGCTCTGACATATTTCTGGTAATCCAGAAGGCCACACACCTGCATAGGGTTTTGTGCATGCCCAGGAAAGAACTGAGAAGGCCTGAAGCTCTTACATCTAGCTAGCCTTGAGGTTTTACACAAGCAGAAAGTGAGGCTACAGCAGAGTTGTAGACTTCCTGCCAACATACATGCACAGAGACCCTTGAAAAAGGATTGGAAATGAATTGATTCCAATCATTTAAGAAAATGTCTATCCAATTATTATTTGATCACTAAGTGAACTAAGCAGAGACTTCAGTGATCACATAACAAAGTATCTACACGTTAAAGATTTTTTTCAGGAAAGTCACTAGACAACAAATTGTGATGATAACAACAAACTCTAGGGCAGGGGAAATCTGATTTCCAGAGTTGTCTAATTGCATTATGTAAAGTGCTTGGTTTCCCAAAAAAAAAAAAAAAAAAAAAACAAATAAACCAGGAGACATACAAAGGAAAAGGCAGCTATAGTTTATACACAGGTAAAGAAGCAGCCAACAAAAACTGTCCCTAAAGAATGTTGGGACATGATGTTGAGACAGCTGTTGGACTAATTAAAGATTTAAAATCAGGTATTTTGAATACATTCAAAGAATGAGAGGAAACCACACCTAAAGAATTAAAGGAAAGTATGCGAATTACATTGCACAGAATAGAGAATATCAGTAAATACCAGCATATGAATAACGGGATTACAAGAAGGAGGAGAGAGAGAGAGAAAAAATATTTGAAGAAATAATAGCCCAAGCTTTTTGACTTCCCAACTTTGATGAAAAACATTAATCAACATGTCTAAGAAACCTGGCAAACTCCAAGTAGGATAAACTCAAAGATAGCCACACCTAGACACAACCAACTGTTGAAATCAGCAAATAAGAAGTGACTCATCACATACAAGGGGTCCTCAATAATATCTGCCACCAATTTCTCATCAGAAACCATGGAGGCCAGAATGCAGTTGGATGAAGTATACAAATTATTAAAAGAAAAAGGACATCAAAAAATAATTCTATATCTAGCAAATCTATCCTTTATAAGTAAAGAACAAATTAAGATATTCTCACATAAACTAAAAGAGAGAACTCATCACTAGCAAACATGTCTTTCAAGAAATACTGTGAAATATGGGATTACAAGAAGTACTGTGAGTCCTTCAGGTTAAAATTAAAGGACATTAGACAGTAACTCAAATCCATTTGAAGAAATAAAGAGCATTGATAAAGGTAATTATATCAATAGTGTTATGGACTAAATTGTAGCACCCCAAAATTTATGTGTTGAAGTCCTAACACCCAGTACACCTCAGAATGTAACTATATTTGAAGATAGGGCCTTTAAAGAAGTCATTAAGATTAAATGATCCAATCATTATGGATGAGGGGTCGCCCTCATAGCTGGTGCCCTTATAAGAAGAGAGAGAGAGACACCAGGGATGTACACACATGAAGAAAAGGCCATATGAGGACATGGAAAGAAGGTAGCCATCTGCAAGCCAAAGGGGCCTCAGGAGAAACCAAACCTGCTGACACTCTGATCTTGGATTTTAGCCTCCAGAAATATGAGAAAATAATGCCTGTTGTTTAAACCACCTAGTCTGGAGTATTTTGTTATGGCAGCCTAGCAAATAATACAGTGGATAAATATAAAAGACAGTTTAAATGTATTTTTTTCATTTTTAACTCTGTTTTCTATCTGATTTAAAAGAAAACTGTATAAAATGATAATTATAAATCTGCATAAATGGACATATAATATATAAAGAGGTCATTTGTATGACAATAATAGCACCAAAGAAAAAGGAGAGAACAGAGCTATATAGAAGCCAAGTTTTTGTATACTACTGAGATTAAGTTGATATTAATATGTACTAGATTAATTATTTAAGATGTTATTTGTAATCCCCAGGGCAACCACTAAGGAATAACTCCAAAAGACAGTGAAATAAAGGACAAGAGAATTAAAATGATACACTAGAAAATATCTATTTAATGCAAAATAAGGTGTTAATAGAGAAATATGAAAACAAAAAAATGGTATATAGAAAGCAAGAGTAAACAGCAGACACAAATACTGACATTAGAAATATATTAAATTTAATAGATTAAGCACTCCAATCAAAAAGCAGAGATTGACAGGCAGGATTTTTAAAAGACATGATCCAGCTATATATTGTCTACAAGAGCTTTGGATCCAAAATCACAAATAAGTTGAAAGCAAAAGGATGGGGGAAAATATATCATACAGTTTAACCAAAAAAAGAGCTGCAGTGACTATACTAATATCAGACAAACTACAATTTAACCCAAAATTTATTATTAGAAATAAAGAAGGACATTTTATAATGATAAATTGGTCAATCCATCAAGAGGGCAATGATAAACCTATATGTACATGAATTGCACCTAATAACAGGCTTTAAAAAAACATGAAACAAAACCAGACAGAACTGCAGAGAGAAATGGACAATTCAGTAATTGGAGAGTTCACTGTCCCACTTCAATGATATATAGAACTAAATAGATGAACAAGAAAATAGAACACTTAAATAATACCATAAACTAACTAGACCTAACAGAACATTTCACACAACAGAATACACATTCTTCTCAAGTGTACATGGAACATTCTCCAGGATAGGTCACGTGCTAGGCCATTAAAAAGGATTGAAATAATACAAAATATGATCTCTGACCACAATGGATTGAAATTAGAAATCAGTAAAAGAAGGATATTTGAGAATTTCACAAATAAGTGGAAATTAAACAACATACTCTTAAATAATGAATGCGTCAAAGAAGACACCAAAAAGACAATTGGAAAATACTTTGAGGGCCAGGCCTGATGACTCATACCTGTAATCCCAGCACTTTGGGAGGGTGAGACAGGAGAATCACTTGAGCCCAAGAGGTTGAGACCAGCCTGGGTCACATAAGGAGATCCCATCTCTACAAAAAAAAAAAAAAAAAAAAAAAAAAAAAAAAATTAGCTGGGCATGGTGGTACATGCCTAGAGTCCCAGCTATTCGAAAGGCTGAGGTAGGAGGATCACTTGAGCCTGGGAAAAGGTTGAGGCTTCAGTGAGCTGTGATCATACCACTGAGGTCCAATCTGGGTGACAGAGCAAGACCCTATCTCAAAAAAATAAAAACAAAATACTTTTAGATGAATTAAAATGAAAACACAACATACCAAAACTTATGAAATGCAGCTAAAGCAATGCTTAGGGAGAAATATATAGCAGTAAATGCCTATCTTTAAAAAGCAGAAAAATCTCAAACCAATAACCTAACTTTCCACTCTAAGAAACTAGAAAAAGAGAAAACCAAGCCTAAAGAAAGCAGAAAGAAGGAAATAATTATTACAGCAAAAATAAATGAAACAGTGAATAAAAAATAGATAAAACCAAAGAAAGTTGATTCTTTGAAGACAACATTAGAACTGGCAAACCTCTAGCCAAGAAAAAAGACAGAAGGCTCAAATTACTAAAATGAAGAATGAAAAGAATGGCATTACTACTGATCTTACAGAAATAAAAAAGCATATAAGGGAATACTAGGAATTATTGTATGTCAACAAATTAGATAACCTGGTTAAGATGAACAAATGCCTGGAAGGACACAAACTACCAAAACTGACTCAAGAAGAAATAGAAAATTTGAATAGGTCTATAACAAGTAAGAGATTGAACTAGTAAGCAAAAAATGTCTTATAAAGAAAAGTCCAGTCCAATTGCTTTCACTGGTGAATTTTACCAAACTTGAAGAATTTTTTTTTTTTCTTTTGAGATGGAGTCTTGCTCTATGGTCCAGGCTAGAGTGCAGTGGCACGATCTCGGCTCGCTGCAAGCTCCACCTCCCAGGTTCACGCCATTTTCCCGCCTCAGCCTGGTGAGTAGCTGGGACTACAGGTGCCCACCACCAAGCCTGGCTAATTTTTTGTATTTTTTGTAGAGACAGGGTTTCACCGTGTTAGCCAGGATGGTCTCAATCTCCTGACCTCATGATCCACCCGCCTCGGCCTCCCAAAGTGCTGGGATTACAGGCGTGAGCCACCGCGCCCGGCCCCCAAACTTGAAGAATTAACACCAAAATTGCATGAAATCTTCCAAAAATAAAACAGAGGGAAGACTTCTCAGGTCATTCTATGAGGCCAGTATTATTCTGCTACCAAAACCAGACAAAGACATTACAAGAGAACAAAAATCCTCAGCGAAATACCAGCAAACCAAATCTAACAACATATAAAAAGAATCATATCATCACTAAGTGCAATTTATCCAAGGAATGCAAGGATGGTTCAACATATGAAAATCAATGAAAATAATACACCATAATAGTGGAATAAAGGACAAAACCACATGATCATTACAACTGATACAGAAAAAGTATTTGTCAAAATTCAGCACACTTTCACTATAAAATTCTACAAACTAGGAATAGTAGAAAATTTCCTCAACCTAATAAAAGGGTCTATGAAAAATCCATATCATATTTAATAGTGAAATAATTTTGCAGGACTTTTCTCATAGAATATATTTTAAAGGCTTCAAGCCCTAGAGTTTTTAAGGTCATGACTCTGGATTTTATTCTGATTCTGATGAGAAGTCATTAGAGAAGTTATTAAAGGAATTAGAGGGTCATGATTTGATATTTTTTAAAAAGCACCCTGGCTACCACATATCCATTCCATTGGAATTCCATTTGGACTAGGGAGTGGGGTGGGGAATAGGAGGGAACCCTGGTATAGTTAGAAGGTTGTGAAAATAGTCCGGGGTAGAGACTATGGCAGCTTGAACTAAAAGGGCAATGATAGGAACTGGAAAAGGTAAGTTTCAAAACACTTCTAGAGGAAGAGTCAGCAAGACTTACCAAGGGTTTAGAGGTGAGAGTAAATGAAGAAAGCAGAGGAATCAAGGTTGACTCCTAGAATTTTGGCTTCAGCAATGGGTGGATGGTGTTCCCATATACTGAGGAAAAGACCAAGCAGGATTGGAGTCAAGGGTGACAAATAAAAGTTCTATTTTGAGCACAATACAATTGAGATAGCTACTTAATATTCATGTGGAGCTGTCAAGGAGATCTAAATATAAAATTTAGAGCTCAGAAGAGAGATCAGAGCAAACATATGATTTGGAAACTTTAAGGATACAAATACTATTTAAAGTCACGGGACTGAATGAAGCTCACTGGAAAAACTGTGTAGACAGAGAAAAGAAAGGAGACCAGGACCTGGGTTGCTCCTACCTTTAGCATTCAGGCAGAGGAGGAGAAGTGCCCACGATGAAGAATAAGCAGCAGCAGCCAATGAAATAGAAGGAAACCAAAAGACTGTGGTACCATGGTTTCCAAGAAAAGTAACTATCAGCAGGAAGTGGTGATCAACTTTGTTAAATGCTGCTGAGAGAGCAAGTAAGAGAGAAATAATGGAATGGCCGTTAGTGCTAAGAATAGGGACATTGTTAATTTTGACCAGGGCAAAGTCAATGAAGTTATCACAGTTCTGGAGGCTGTAAGTTGGTTTCTGGTGAGGCCTCTCTTCCTAAATTGCAGATGGCTGCCTTCTCATTGCATCCTCGCACAACCTGTTCTGTGTGTGTGTGTGTGTGGATAGAGAGATCATCGGGTGTTTCTTCTGCTTCTCAGAAGGACACTGGTCCTGTCAGTTTAGGGCCCCATCCTTATAAGGTAAAATCCATCATTTTACCTTAATTGTCTCCATAAATGTCCTATCTCCAAATACAGCCACATTGGAGGTTAGAGCTTCAACCTATAAATTTTGGAGGAATATAATTCAGTCCATAACAGCAAGCAACTCTAGATAACTCTTTGAAGACAGTTATTATGAAGGGAAAGAGAAAAATGGGATAGAAATTCAAAAGACATGTGGACATGAGACAGAGGGGATAACTATAGAAACAAAGTCCCTGGAAAGGATTTATAATCTATAGAGGCCTTTGACCAGGTTGTCTTTTGACCTTGGCCAAGCACATCAACCACAGAAATGAGAAGGAAGTCAAAAAAGAGGAATAATTACGTGGGCAGGGTGGTGGCTTTCACAGAGAAATATGAAGGAGTTCCTGTCTAAATGCTCCTGCTTTCCTGATGCATGTAACACAAGCTTATAGTGAGCATGAGCATGGCAGAGAGGTTGGGTAATGTAGGAGGTTCACACAGAAGGCATGACATGGTCATCAGGACGTGTAAGCTGATGAAAATATTATGAAAGTTTAGTAAGATTCTGGAGATGTTGAGTGTCCACCTGAGATTTATGTCTGTAGAACTTAAAGAGAGACCAAGCAACACTGGGGGGATGGGTGTGTGTGTGTGTGTGTGTGTGTGTGTGTCTGTGTGTGTGTTTGTGTTTGTGTGTGTGTAGGTATTTTTTCCAGCCATTTTAACTGCTCAGACATGGGAATAGGATAAGCAGACAGTTAGGTTTAACCTGGATCATGACTCTGGAGCGAAGTCCAGTCAAGAAAAGAAATAGAGAATTAAAAATTTACACAAGACAATGCTTAAATGAGAAGAGATATAGATTATAGCTCAGTAAAAAGAAAATAAGTGAGAAGAGACAAAAACATCGAAAATGACAACTCCAAAAATAAATTTCCTCTCTGTCTCTTCTGTGATATAAAGTTTCTTAAGAAAGATAAGCTAGATACTCTTTGGCCATGTTTGCAATGGAGTATATACAATTTTGGACTCATTACCACATTAATATCAAATAATGCCACTATGATTAATAGTACATTACTTTTAAATAATGATTTATGTATTCCATGTACATTTTGCATGGAAAACTCAGATAAACTTGAGATCTGGGTAGGCAAAAATCAGGTGAGTACATATTTAAGAAACTCTTTCAGAATAAAACTTAATGGTAACTATCTTTCCTCACTCATTAGATTTTTCATTTAATTTTTTATTCCTAATACTTTTATCTTCAGAGCTTAGTATGTTTGATCTCAGACTGGTATTAATATGCATAAAAAGAAGTAGGATTTTACAGATGAACTTTTGTCTTGGAAATTAAACTATGTTCAGTCTTTCTTCCTGTCCAAATTTTGAGCTAAAATTCTGAATATGAAAACCATTTCTAGACTCCATGAATGCCCTAATCCTAAATTCTTCCTGAGTTGTGAAGTGGAAAATTAATCGTTTTTGTTGGAAAACTCCCTGTTCAATGGGTCCAGATCAGCACTCAGATGATGTCAGCAAATGTTACATTTTTTTCCAATTATGAAATGAATTATGGGGCGCTAGCTAACCACAGTTAGTCATTAAATAAAAGTATTTTGGCTGATACATTGTTGTTCTGCCAGGAAACACAGGTGTTTTGTTTTTAAAGAATTTTTTAAAACATTGCTTTAAGAAAAGATTGCATTGACAATCCTTCAGCACAAGCAATATAGAAGCATTAACAAGAAGGTGTTATTCATAGAGAATTTGTGTGGCAGGAGTAGAGATTGTATTTTCTCATATGAAATAAAGAATTGCTTTATGTCTAAAGAACTGAAATATTTGGGCTATGATATATGAAGACAGTGATATATGACTGCATATTTAAACACATTTATACGTGAAGTCTTAAGAGTTGAATGAAAGGCATCTTATAAACACGAAATTTTATTATTATCAAGAACAAACTTTCTTGGACTGGGATTTTTCAGAGAATGCTAGTTCATTCTTTCTATGATGATCACCAAAGATTGCAAATGCATAGTCTCAAAATGATGGCATTTACATCTTTTAACATCAAACAAGCTCTATTTGTTAACAGTAGAGCTAGTGCCATACTTTCATTTGTAGGTGGCTTCTTGAAAGATGAATGAGCATAAAATGTTTTAATTGGCCTAACAGTCATAGTGGCAATTTTTAATCATTTTTCACTTTCAGTAATAAACTTACACTTATCTTTTTTCCTTTTCAATCTACTGTCCTCAATTTATGTATCTCTAAATCACTCCTGAATGAAGCAGCTGCTTTCAACAGATTTATCTGAGGAATTTGATTATCTCATCCAAACTGTGACATCTTGAATCATGTATTAATGGCATGCTTATGGAATGAAGCAGTTTTCTGTTTCAAAATGACTTTTTTTCTGTGTGTATAAATGTCACATGTCTATAATCCTCCATACTCAAAAATTCTTACCTAGGATACAACTATGTTTAAAAAAGAACAATAACCTATTGACTAGAGTACCTTAATAAACTGTTGTTGGAATATTATATATTCCAAGAATAATAAACATATTTTAGGGCTTAAATATTGAAAGTGACATTTTTAATGTATCCCAGATATCATTCCCAAGACCTGGATTGCCTAGATCTTATTTCAGAGTCCCTAAATGCTTTTGTTGAAGACTGCACTCAGAAGTATATTTCTTTAGAAAATTTCTTCCCTTCTGGCCCGGCACGGTGGCTCATGCCTGTAATCCCAGCACTTTGGGAGGCTGAGGAGGCAGGCGGATCACAAGGTCAAGAGATCGAGACAATCCTGGCCAACATGGTGAAACCCGATCTCAACTAAAAATATAAAAATTAGCTGGGCGTGGTGGTGTGCACCTGTAGTCCCAGATACTCGGGAGACTGAGGCAGGAGAATCACTTGAACCTGGGAGGTAGAGGTTGCAGTGAACTGAGATCACACCACTACACTCCAGCCTGGTGACAAAGTGAGACTCTGACTCAAAAAAAAAAAAAAGAAAGAAAGAAAATTCCTTCCCTACCAAAAATAAATATGGATATTTCATTTTTGAATGCTGATGTACACCAGGGTCATTCTTCAGATTCTCAAGAGTGTCTGAAAAACATGTTTTAACCAACAGCATATTTAGAATTTCACTATTTATTCACAAATACATGGAATCCACTTGTGGCACAAAAACTTTTTTTAAATACCGAAAAGACTTAAATTATTTATGAAATAACTACTGCTAATATAGTTTGTATGTTTGTCCCCAGTAAAATCGTATGTTGAATTATAAGCCCCAGTGCTGGAGGTGCAGCCTGGTGGGAGGTGTTTTGATCACGGGGGTGGATCCCTCAGAGCTTGATTCTGTCTTTGCAATAGTGAGTTCTTGTGAGATCTGGTCATTTAAAAGGGTGTGGTTCCTCCCTCCGCCACCCCCAACCTCCACCCACACCCCTAGTCTCTCCTTGCTCCTGCTTTTGCTATTTGATGTGCCTGCTACTCCTTTGCCTTCTGCCATGATTGGAAGCTTCCTGAGGCCTCCCCAGAAGCAGATGCTATGCTTCCTGCACAGCCTGCAGAACCATGAGCCAATTAAACCTCTTTTATTATAAATTACCCAGTCTCAGGTATTTCTTTATAGCAGTGCAAGAATGGCCAAATACAACTGCCTATACAAAAGTAAATGATTCTGCAATAATCAGAGTGAAATATGAATTAGCTATAGTTCAGCTAAATGTTAGGGACAATTTGTGAAATGAGAGGACTCAGACCAGTGACCAGATTTTCTACTATGTTGAAAGAAAATAGAAAAGTATTTCTATGTAAAAGAAAATAGATCATGAACATATAATTCTTCCATATCCTTTCATTCTTCCACAATTAAATGTGGCCAATCCTATTGTCAAACATGGTCAGGGAATGTGTTGTTCTGCTCAAAGGTTTGGGTTAAATGATTAGTTTAACAAAAAATTGTATAGATATATAGTAGATATGTAACATACATATGTAACATATATACATACATATATGATAACTTTCAAAGACCTTGAATGCCCAAGTGATCCTACTAAAACTTGTTTAACCACAAATGCGTTAAATTCCACCATCATAGCATTCTAGCACTTAGTCTCCATGTATAACAATGTTTCTAAGTAGGGTTGAGGGAAGCATATGTAATTCTCACCTGTAATGCCTAAAACTTTGTTCCCAGATGGAGAATTCTCCTGACTCCCTGTTCCACTCACCATCCCTGGCCCTAGGCAAGCAAGAGGAACTGGATTTTCATGGTTTCCACCCAACGATGGTAGTCTCTATGGCCTGACCAGTTGAGGAGGTGCAAGGAGGCTGAGGGTAAAATCCAGAAGGCTGAAGAACTATGATGGAGTGACCAGACGTCCCTCTCAAAACTCAAGGGAAATCTAGTGGGGCATGGTGGCACATGCCTGTAGTCCCAGCTACTCGGTGGGCTTAGGCATGAGGATCGCTTGAGCCCAGGAGTTCTGAGCTGTAGTGAGCTATGACCATCAGATGTCTGCATTAAGTTCAGCATCAATATGGTGACCTCCCGGGAGTGGGGACCACCAGGTTGCCTAAGGAAGGGTGAACAGGCCCAGGTCTGAAACGGAACAGGTCAAAACTCCCATGCTAATCAGTAGTGGGACCGTGCCTGTGAATAGCCACTGCACTTCAGCCTGGGCAACATGGCCAGACCTCATCTCAAAACAACAACAACAACAACAACAAAAAAAAAAAAAACCCTCTAGGGAAATCTAGGTGAGAGGAATGCAGAATATTTAAGAAAAGTACCTGAAGATCTGATTTGCAAACTGATACATTCAAGGATAAGATTGTTTACATAGCAGAGGGATTACAATGGGTCCTAGGGACACGAACAAACACATTTTCAAGGATTTGCTTATAACTTTTTAAATAATAAAAAAAGAAATGAAAAGCTAAAATGTTATAAGCCGCTGGATGATTTTCAAACATGGAAGTTTCCATTCCTATTTATTTTTAATGTTCATGTCACTGGATAAGAACGGATCAGGCTGTAAGATACAATCCCAGCGTCCTGACCAAGCAGGACATAGGACTACCTCAGTCTCACCAATCTCTCTGCTTCATGGCCCAGCCCCCACCCTCCTGCCAAATCCCACCTTACTCAAACAGCACCCAGTCATTGTCTTTTTCACACAAGCAGAATATCAAAATGAAAGCCTCACAGGACAAATGCCCCTCATACTCTTGGGGACAGTAAGGAAGGTACATCTTTCAGCATGTATTTATGCGGGAGAACCCTCCTGACTCTTCATCACCTTTGACTCTCACCTTCTCAGGGGAGGGTTTTCTCCTTTGCTCTAACCCCACATGTCTCACCCTGCACTTGCTTTCTTTTTTTGCAAAAAGAAAAAAGGTCACCACTGATTAGACAAAGGAGCAAGAAATCATCTGCATTTCACAGAAAAACTTACATTCAGCAACTCTCTTTTTCTGATCAGGACATCTTTGATGATCATTTCCTGCAGAACTGTGCTAGGAAAGGCCCTGGGAATTTATTGTCCTTGTCTTTGACCTTGTTTTATTAAAGGACTGCTAGAGGTGGAGCAATAAAGGTAAGGGAACTCCTGAGGCTATATAAAACATATTTATAAGTAGGCATTTCTAGGCAGCATATCACAAGCTGGCAGGCTGAAGCTGGTGTAAGTCTTTCTTTTCAGCACATTCACCATTCCACGTAAAATCCCTGAAAAGTATTTGCTAACATGTTGCTATCAAAAAGATGCTATGTACCTCAATTAGACTAATGTTTTCTAAAAATATTTGCACCAAATGAATTCCTTCGTGTGGGCAAGAATCTTTTAGAAGGGCATTTATTGGGTTTTTGTCTGCTTGTGAAAGTAACAGAAGCTCAATTTTAGAAAAGCCCCAAAACCATGAGAAGGAAAATAAAAATCATATGTTATTCCACCTAACAGACACAACCAACGTTAACATTTTGGGGTATTTCCTTTCAGCAGTGGGAGAGAAGAGAGAGTTACCACATTTGGGATCATATTATATTATATATGTATTTTTTATATCTTGTTTTCATTTAACACTACATCATTGATTTAACTTTCAACAAATATTAATGAGCTATTATAAATCAGAACCAAGCCTGTCTCTAAATATTATGAGCATTTTCCAATGATACAACATAGGCTCCAAAACATGATTTTTAAAAGATATACAAAGTTCAAAAAGTGTGCTGTTGTATAACATAATAAAATCATGTTCCAGTTCTTGAACATACAAGTTATTTCTTTTTTGTGATAGTTTTATTAAAGTATAATAAACTGCACCTATTAAAAGTGTGCAGTTTCGTAGGTTTTGACCTATGAATGTAGCTGTGAAACCATCATCACAATCAAGATAATGAACACACGCATCACCCCCAGGAGTTTCCTTGTGCTTATTGGTAATCCCCCTCTCAGCCCTGCCCTGCCCTGACCCCCATCTCTAGGCGTCTGATCTGTTTTCTGTTGCTGTGGATTAGTTTGAATTTTGTAGACAATTTAACAAATGGAATAATACACTACATATTCTCTTTTGTCTGGCTTGTTTCACTCACCATAATTATTTTGAGATTCATCATGCTGCTGTGCAATCAATACTTTATTCCTTTTTATTGTTAATTAGTATTCCATTGTATGGATATACCACAATTTGTTTATCCATTCATCTGTTGATGTATGTTGTTTCAATTTTTTATTATTATAAATAAAAGTGCTATGAACATCGTGTCTTTGTATACTCATATTTCTTTTTCTCTTGGGTAAAGACTTACACACAAATGTTTATGGCATCTGAAGATAAAATGACTGGGTTATACAGCATGCATGTGTGTGCATGTGTGTGTGTGTGTGTGTATTTCCGAGAAATTGTCAAACTGTTTTCCAAGATGGTTGAAACATTTTCTTCCCCATCAGCAGTGTATGAAGGTTCCAGGTGCCCCACATCCTTGCCAATACCTGATATGTTTCAGTCTTACTCATTTTAGACTTTCTAATAAATACTTGGTCATGTCTTATTGTGGTTTCATTTTGCATATCCCCAATGACTAATAATGTTGAGCATCTTTTCATGTCCTTAGTCTGTTGGGAAGATTTCTCAAATTCTCAATCAGGTTTAACTTAAAGGGACAGCCTTCAGTCACAGAAGAGTCCTTCAAAATGTAAATTCTTAGGCATTCTTTCTTTAATGATACACTTCTGCCATTTTGTCTCATTTTTATCCAAGGCACTGAAAGTTGCAATAGAAATAAAAGATTGATCTTATTAATAGATTAACAGATCATGATCATGATGATGACGACGACAATGGCAGTGATTTAAAAGGCTTACCTAATCAACAGTTGGACAACTCTAAAACAAATATATTTAAAGAGGAACACCATCATTGTAAGGACCCACCACCACTTTTTAAAGAACCAAAGACCTCATGATCATGACAATTATGATATTACTTTATGCCTTTCCTCAGAAATCTCCCCACTTCTTCATGGTCAGTCCTGATTAGCAATTCTGACGTGGGTCTCTAATCATTTCTCGTTCATTTCCCCCAATCCATTTTTTCTGCAAACCTCTTACTCCATTCTATTTAACCCCATGCCCACTCTCCCTTCTCTCAGCAAATTATCTGCATTTTATATCATCCAGAAAATAATCTATCAGGTGTGATTTCTATTCTGTTTTTTCCCACCTTTCACAAACATATCTGCTTCTTCATTCATGGTTTCCCTCACTGCCATGTGTGAGAGAAATACATATTCCTCCCCTATCTAAGGAGGAGTAGTACAGACTCTGGACTCCTCTTCCAAATCTGTAGGCAGCTGGTATGTAGTACCTGACTCTTTCCTGTATCGTCAATCTTTACCTGGCCATTGATTCCTTTTTTTCAGCATCCAAGCCTGTTTAAGACTTTTGGAGCTTATGATTAAACTCTCCCTCCATTTTGTGTTCTTTCTCCAAAGCTTCCCTTCCCTTCAGAGCCACATTTCCAGAAAGCAGAGATTACTCCTTTCTTCCTCACTTTTCATTCATACCTAAATCAACACAGTGTAGTCCCACTAAACACCTTGACCTGTTTTGCTAAGAATCTCCTAATGGTCAAAACTACTGGACACTCCTCAGCCCTGATCTTATTTGACATCACAGCTGTTTTGAACTTAAGTAACTGTCCCTTTATTTGATTTCTGTTCCACATTTCTTCTCTGGTTCTCCTTCTACCACTGTAGCCACTCAGTCTCATTTGTATGGTCCTATTGTGCCTCACACCTCTTTACATTAGTCATCTCCAGAGTTGTTCTGCCATGAATCTTCATTTGTCCTTCTACTTGCTTTCTCCAGGAAATTTCATCCACATGTGTGGCTTTTTCTTTTTTTGAGACAAGGTCTCACTCTGTTGCCCAGGTTAGGGCACAGTGGCTTGATCTCAGCTCACTGCAGCCTCAACCTCCTGGGCTCAAGTTACCCCCTCACCTCAGCCTCCTGAGTAGCTGGGACTATAGGCATGAGCCACCGTACCCGGTTAATTTCTTTTTTTTTTTTTTTTTTTTTTGTAGAGACAGATTTTGCCATGTTGCCCAGGCTGGTCTCAAACTCCTGGCGTCAGGGGATTCACCTGCCTTGGCCTGCCAAAGTGCTGGGATTACAAACAAGAGCCACCACGCCCAGCCACATGCATGGCTTTTAAGTGTCACATATAACTTCTTAACTTATATTTATTTTTTTATTTAATTTTAAAAAAATAGAGACAGGATCTATGTTGCCCAAGCTAGTCTCAAACTCCTGGGTTCAAGCAGTCCTCCCACCTCAGCCTTCCAAGGTGCTGGGATTACAAACATGAGCCACCATCCCCAGCCTTAATCTATATTTTTACTCAGGACTTTCTCTGGAGCTTCAAACCAAAACCCAAAGTGTTCATTAGACATGTCAACCTAGTATCCCCTCTATCACTTCAAATTCTATAAAACTAAACTCTTCAACATTTCCCATTTTCAATTCTTCACTCCTGCCCTCAAAATCTGCTCTTCCTCCAACATAATTTTTATCAAGTCTAGGTTAAATCAGAACATTGGAAATCATCCTTTATCTCACTCCTATTTCCTAATGGTCTTATGGTTTTGCCTTACAAAGACTGACTGAATTGTACCATCATCACTATGGCACCCTCCTGACTACCCTACTTCAGGCCTTCCACATCAGTTTCCTAGACTTCTGCAATAGATACCACAGCAGATGAGATAGATCGGTGGGCTCAGCATCCATCTCTCTTCTTAGTGTTCGTTCCTGAACAATAGCAGATTAAAAAAACTAAAGAATTTATTTCCCCAAATTCCTTGCAGTTAGAGTTCTGGAAGTGATTTAGATTGCTCCAATCAGATACACTCTTCCAAGATTTGATTTTGCTATTGAATTAAAGGGAGAGAAGGGCCAGGCACTATGACTCCATTTTGCTAAAAAGAATCTAACAGGTGCAGCTTGGTTCTGAGTTGGCTTGCTTATTTTATACACAGATCATGGCTAAGGTGTGTGTTCCTGAGGCCAAGAAGCAGATAGGTCCTGAAGTGTCAATTTAAGAATCATTTCTGGAGGGCCCACCGGAAGCCTGCTGTTCCACCCCTTCCCACAGGTTTATAAGCACCATATGCCTATATTAAAACTGCTCAAAATTGCTCAAGTGGTTTCTATTATCTGCACCTGAACTCTGAGTAATCCAGCCTCTTTCTACATTTTATGCTCCTTGCACTGCCTCCACATGCCATGCAGTCTCACACCTCCTCTCTCTGGTTCATGGTGTCACTTCTACCTGGAATGCCTTTCCCTCCTTATGTGCCCATGTGACTTGAATGAGATGGAAAACATTGAACAGAGGGAAGGTGCTGTCAAGGAACAATTTTATATATATATGACAATCTCTGGGTTTGTAAAGCTAAAGATTTCTTCTGCAACATTTCTCCTTTCTCCTGTTCCCAAGGCAATTTTTAAATATATCACCTCAAAATCAGTTCATTATACATTCACAAAACTATGGCTGATTTCTGATAGTTAACTACCATCTATTACTATCTCCTCCTTTTAAAAAAAAATTTACATTTTTAGATTCTATTCTTATTTTTGGTCTCAAATATCTAGAAACAAACCAAAAATAAAAGTCTCTGAGAAAATGCACCTATTCTTATTCCCCAGGAATTCATTTTCTATGGTATTCATGGAAATGTTACATGGTCTAAGGAGAAACAGGAATGACTATAGCTTGTTCAAAAAGCACAAGATTGATTCTTTCATCCAATTCCCCAAGATCATGAACTTGAATGTTTTCGTCCTGTAGAAAGCTAGATTTCTCAAGACCATGTTATTTGTTGTATGTGAAATGAAAACTGACTTTTCATTAACGAGTAGAATATTAGTACTAGAAGGAATATTAGCAACCACCCCACACCATTTACAGATAAGGAGGCAAAAACCCAGAAAAAAGAAACTACATACCTGGAATGGCCTAGCATATTTATTGCAGAGTTGTGTTGTGTCCCATAATGCCAATTAAGGTATCATTTTCATATGCCTTTCTTTTGCGACATTTCCAATGCTGTTTAATGATCTGTGAGACCTAGTTTTTGTTAATTTTAGAGTAACTGGGAAATAGGGAGTTTTACACAATGCAAGCAAGAGCAAAGGACCACATATTCAAAACCTCTAAACCAGATTAATCTTTTCAAGTAATCACTATTCTAGGCTAGAGGAAACAGGCCCTAGAGAACTAATATATAACACAGAGCAATTCAGTTCAATCTTTTCTTATATTGCTGCTGAGACTGAAAGGGTAGGCTTTCCAGTTACTGCTTAGAGTCAAAGCTATCCTTCATATGTACTGACACATAAGCCTATGACTTCTCTCATTTCAAGTATTATTTTGGGCTTTCCACAAGGATGTCCAAATATGTATTCTTTCTTAACTGAGTTAACATACCCATCAGTATGTGAGGGCTCTTGCTTAACCAAGTGGAAAGTAAATCTATTTCAACCAGATTTTTTTTTTTTTTCACTATTTCCACTGCCTTATTTTGGACTTTCTAACTGCCCAGCTTTCAAGACAAGATCCATAATTATTTGCAAACCTCCACAAATTAAGAACCTGGAACAGTAGCTTGGCACTGTTCCAGATGCCCACGTGCAATCTCTCACACCTGTGGTCTCTTAGAGGGTCAAGCCTAAGTTGTCATCAAGTGCGGGTGGGCAGGCCACCATCAGACTCTAAGTCAGATAGCAGTTTTTACAGATCTAACTACTGTTGCTCCACTGGGTGTCCATGGAGACTGAAAAATTGGTTTATTGCCTAGAGAAATGGAAATAAAACCAAGTCATTTGGTTTCTATGTGGTTTCCACGAAGCTCAGGAAATTTTTTGGCAAATGATAAAACTACAGATGGCTAAAGCTACATGATTCCCTTGGTCAATTCTCGATCTTATCAAAAAAAATAAGCTCTGTGTACATTACTTGTAAAATATGAAAATATTCAAAATGAAGGCATATCAGATTCTCAGGTTATTTGATTTTTGGTTAGATTGAAACTATTATTTAAAAGAGTGACCAATATATGCAACAAAATCTAATAGGTTAAAAAGTCCTTGGATTCATTACATATGGAAAATGTTTCTCATCCACAAATTCAACAGTGTTCCAAGCATGAAAGAAAAAGCTAGTATTTAATAAGGGTGGAGGAGACTGAAACACCTATTCATTAATCCTATGGAAATATTTGTCACTCATATGTGGTTTAGGGAATTGGGTAAAAATAGCACCTTCCTAAGCATTTGTTCATCTGGGTATGGACCTTTATCTATCTGAACAAGTAAACATGACGTAATAGCAGACAGGAGACTTGTACAATGGACTCCCTGATAAATAAGGATGCAGAGGTGACAGCTTGGCACGTGTTGGCATGATTTCACAGCATCTGTTGGCCTACCGTCAGATAGAAAACAACGCCTGGCAGACTCCCTTTCTCAATGAATGCACAAAACTAGTCAGGCCAAGAAAGGTGGCATACATGAGTTACAACTGAGAATTGGCCTGAACTCAGCTGTTCAGTATTTGGGATAATTAATGCTGCTTTTTAGCTTGTCTCAGAAAACTTACGAGAAATACCCATAAAAGTTTAACTTCAGAAGTGAAAAATAAAAATTGATTTTATACATGAATGCCCATCGTGGCCAAGTAGGTATGAAAATTAATGTATGGAACTAAGCATAAGTAAAACAAGAGACCGGTGTGATGATAAATGCTACTGACACAGGGGCTCAGAGTTGGGGAAAAACTAGGAGTAGTGACGGCTGTGGCAAAGTATAGAACACACGTCTTCTTGAAAGGGAGTAATCACGGCTCCAGTCTACCTATTTGATGACATGTCTTCAAATATTACAAAGGAAGCTAGGTTTGGTTTGCCCACATCTTGCTGGAGTCCCTACAGTGACCTATTTATTTAAGGAAAAAATAGTAAAAGGAATGTGGACAACCGACGATAACCAACTCATTAAAATAATTTTGTATGTCACAAATTTGTATAAAAAAAGTAATTTCATACAAATGTATACACTGGCAAAAAAAAAAAAAACTGTGCATACAACAACCCCCCCACCCCCATGACACACACACTAAGCTTACATGACCCAGAAATAAAGGAAAGCTGACTTGGCTAATATACAGAAAACTGAAACATGGGCTATGAATCCAGCAAGGAAGGAGGAAAATGGTGTTTTCCTATTTTGTTTCTTCCATCATTCTCCTAGACTTTCTCCTATGTGTGGTTTGGCTTTGTGTTTGGGGCTTAAGTAATCAAGAGGTTACAGTGAAGGAACATGTGGAGTTATTTCTCACTTCTCCACCCTCTGCCTATAGAAGAGTCATTTCATTATAAGCCATTCCACTTCAATCATATTTTATAATTTGAAACCTTCCCTGGTTTCCCAATACTTGCCAAATAAAGTCCCAATTCCTTGGTTCAGGCCCCAACAAGCTTCCCAATATGGTCTCCACTGCCACACCCACCCTCAGCTTTCAACCAACCCTCCTCACCATCCCTCCTATCCACCACCATGTTGTCCTCTTCTACCTCTTGATAGTGCTTTTTCTCTGTTCCTCTCCATCAACCTCCTATGTATCCTTCCAGATCTACTTAAAATCTCATCTCCTGTATGAATCCCTCCTAGACCAGACCAGTTGAAGGCAATTGCTCCCTCCTCTAAATTTCACATGGAACCATAATAACGATGACAATAGCCAACATGTGCCAGGCTCTCCTAGCCTCTGATTCTCTGTGAGATAGACAGCACTATTGACCCCATTTTACAGGGGACTATGCTTGAGCTAGACATAAAAAAGAAAAGTGTATGTCTTTCCTGACAGAAAAACAACAGGAAGAGATCTCATTGGACAACTTGAACTATTTGCTTATCCCTGAACCAATTACAGTGGCCAGGCCTTGGATCACATACTGATACTATGGGGGTAGGATGAGCCAAACCCCAAATCATGCTGACTGATGTCAGAAGGGAGGGGAAGTTCCCAGAGGAAAGCTGGGGTTGCCTAATATGAGAAAGAACGCTGGGAAGTCCAAACAAAATTTCCACTCCACTTCCTTACCTGCAAAACTGTTAACTCCATTTAGCTCCTGCTCCCAAATTAACCGAGCCCCTGCTATCCTTCTTTAAGTAAAGCAAGACTTCTAGTCCATATGACACAGGGAGTTCACACTTTTACTCCCTCTGCTTTGACCACACAAAAAGGAAAGATAATAGACAACTTTTTAAAAAACTGGATACAAAATCAAAAGAAACATTTTTGTAGACCAAAAACAATAAAAGCAGCATAAAACTCTGAGCAGAGCAGGAATTGATAGACATATGACCATTTTAATACTTAAAACTAAGCATAAGGTTGGCCTCTCTCCCCACCTCCAGCTCCATTCTCAGTCCTGTATATGATCAGCCCCTCTCCCCATACCTGTAAAAGAAGGCTGGAGAAAACTATTACTGACCAACAACTAGGGCAGTGCCTTTAGCAATGTGAAAGCCTACAGACCAAATACAGCTTCCTGATAAAGTCTCCCACTGGCTCACTAACTGGATCTAAAATACCCCCATTGTTGCCTTGAAGGTGAGTCTGCAAAATGCTGTTGCATATTCTGCATAGAGGTGCATAGTGAGTCAGCTGAAGCTACCACCACATGTTTGGGTAGGGAGACATGAACACGATAAGGGGGAGGGTCTTTCTTTTTTTTTAATTATACTTTAAGTTCTAGGGTACATGTGCACAATGTGCAGATTTGTTACCTATGTATGCATGTGCCATGTTGGTGTGCTGCACTCATTAACTCATCATTTACATTAGGTATATCTCCTAATGCTATCCCTCCCTGCTTCCCCCACCCCACAACAGGCTCCAGTGTGTGATGTTCCCCATCCTGTGTCCAAGTGTTCTCATTGTTCAATTCCCACCTATGAGTGAGAACATGCAGTGTTTGGTTTTCTGTCCTTGCGATAGTTTGCTGAGAATGATGGTTTCCAGCTTCATCCATGTCCCTACAAAGGACATGAACTCATCTTTTTATGGCAGCATAGTATTCCATGGTGTATATGTGCCACATTTTCTTAATCCAGTCTATCATTGATGGACATTTGGGCTGGTTCCAAGTCTTTGCTATTGTGAATAGTGCCACAATAAACATACGTGTGCGTGTATCTTTATAGCAGCAAGATTTATAATCCTTTGGGTATATACCCAGTAATGGGATGGCTGGGTCAAATGGTATTTCTAGTTCTAGATCCTTGAGGAATCGCCACACTGTCTTCCACAATGGTTGAACTAGTTTACAGTCCCACCAACAGTGTAAAAGTGTTGCCATTTCTCCACATCCTCTCCAGCACCTGTTGTTTCCTGACTTTTTAATGATCGCCATTCTAACTGCTGTGAAATGGTAGCACACTATGGTTTTGATTTGCATTTCTCTGATGACCAGTGATGATGAGCATTTTTTCATGTGTCTGTTGTCTGCATAAATGTCTTCTTTTGAGAAGTATCTGTTCATTTCCTTTGCCTACTTTTTGATGGGGTTGCTTGATTTTTTCTTAAATGTGTTTAAGTTCTTTGTAGATTCTGGATATTAGCCCATTGTCAGATGTGTAGATTGTAAAAACTTTCTCCCATTCTGTAGGTTGCCTGTTCACTCTGATGATAGTTTCTTTTGCTGTGCAGGAGCTCTTTAGTTTAATCGGATCCCATTTGTCAATTTTGGCTTTTGTTGCCATTGCTTTTGGTCTTTTAGTCATGAAGTCCTTGCCCATGTCTATGTCCTGAATGGTATTGCCTAGGTTTTCTTCTAGGGTTTTTATGGTTTTAGGTCTAACATTTAAGCCTTTAATCCATCTTGAATTAATTTTTGTATAAGGTGGAAGGAAGGGATCCAGTTTCAGCTTTCTATATATGGCTAGCCAGTTTTCCCAGCACCATTTATTAAATGGGGAATCTTTTCCCCATTTCTTGTTTTTGTCAGGTTTGTCAAAGATCAGATGGTTGTAGATGTGTGGTATTATTTCTGAGGGCTCTGTTCTGTTCCATTGGTCTATATCTCTGTTTTGGTACCAGTACCATGCTGCTTTGGTTACTGTAGCCTTGTAGTATAGTTTGAAGTCAGGTAGCGTGATGCCTCCAGTTTTGTTCTTTTGACTTAGGATTGTCTTGGCAATGCAGGCTCTTTTTTGGTTCCATATGAACTTGACAGTAGTTTTTTCCAATTCTGTGAAGAAAGTCATTGGTAGCTTGATGGGGATGGCATTGAATCTATAAATTACCTTGAGCAGTATGGCCATTTTCATGATATTGATTTTTCGTATCCATGAGCATGGAATGTTCTTCCATTTGTGTCCTCTTTTATTTTGTTGAGCAGTGGTTTGTAGTTCTCCTTGAAGAGGTCGTCCACATCCCTTGTAAGTTGGATTCCCAGGTATTTTATTCTCTTCGAAGCAATTGTGAATGGGAGTTCACTCATGATTTGGCTCTGTCTGTTGTATAGGAATGCTTGTGATTTTTGCACATTGATTTTATGTCCTGAGACTTTGCTGAAATTACTTATCAGCTTAAGGAGATTATGGGCTGAGATGAAGGGGTTTTCTAAATGTACAAGCATGTCATCTGCAAACAGGGACAATTTGACTTCCTCTTTTCCTAATTGAATACCCTTTATTTCTTTCTCCTGTCTGATTGCCCTGGCCAGAGCTTCCAACACTATGTTGATTAGGAGTGGTGAGAGGGGGCATCCCTGTCTTGTGCCAGTTTTCAAAGGGAATGCTTCCAGTTTTTGCCCATGCAGTATGATATTGGCTGTGGGTTTGTCATAAATAGCTCTCATTTTGAGATACATCCCATCAATACCTAGTTTATTGAGAGGTTTCAGCATGAAGGGCTGTTGAATTTTGTCAAAGGCGTTTTCTGTATCTGTTGAGATAAGCATGTGGTTTTTGTCTTTGGTTCTGTTTATATGGTGGATTACATTTATTGATTTACGTATGTTGAACCAGCCTTGCATCCCAGGGATGAAGCCCATTTGATCATGGTGGATAAGTTTTTGATGTGCTGCTGGATTCAGTTTGCCAGTATTTTATTGAGGATTTTTGCATCAATGTTCATCAGGGATATTGGTCTAAAATTCTCTTTTTTGGTTTTGTCTTTGCCAGGCTTTGGTATCAGGATGATGCTGGCCTCATAAAATGAGTTAGGGAGAATTCCCTCTTTTTCTATTGATTGGAATAGTTTCAGAAGGAATGGAACCAGCTCCTCCTTGTACCTCTGGTAGAATTCGGCTGTGAATCTATCTCATCCTGGACTTTTTTTGGTTGATAGGCTATTAATTATCACCTCAATTTCAGAGCCTGTTATTGGTCCATTCAGAGATTCAACTTCTTCCTGGTATAGTCTTGGGAGGGTGTATGTGTCCAGGAATTTATCCATTTCTTCTAGATTTTCTAGTTTATTTGCATAGAGGTGTTTATAGTATTCTCTGATGGTAGTTTGTATTTCTGTGGGATCAGTGGTGATATCCCCTTTATCATTTTTTATTGCATCTATTTGATTCTTCTCTCTTTTCTTAGTCTTGCTAGCCATCTATCAATTTTGTTGATCTTTTCAAAAAACCAGCTCCTGGATTCATTGATCTTTTGAAGGGTTTTTTGTGTCTCCTTCAGTTCTGCTCTGATCTTAGTTATTTCTTGCCTTCTGCTAGCTTTTGAATGTGTTTGCTCTTGCTACTCTAGTTCTTTTAATTGTGATGGTAGGGTGTCAATTTTAGATCTTTCCTGCTTTCTCTTGTGGGCATTTAGTGCTATAAATTTCCCTCTACACACTGCTTTAAATGTGGCCCAGAGATTCTGGTATGTTGTGTCTTTGTTCTCATTGGTTTCAAAGAACATCTTTATTTCTGCCTTCATTTTGTAATGTACCCAGTAGTCATTCAGGAGCAGGTTGTTCAGTTTCCATGTAGTTGAGTGGTTTTGAGTGAGTTTCTTAATCCTGAGTTCTAGTTTGATTGCACTGTGGTCTGAGAGACAGTTTGTCATAATTTCTGTTCTTTTACATTTGCTGAGGAGTGCTTTACTTACAGCTATGTGGTCAATTTTGGAATAAGTGGGATGTGGTGCTGAGAAGAATGTATATTCTTTTGATTTTGGATGGAGAGTTCTGTAGATGTCTGTTAGGTCTGCTTGGTACAGAGCTGAGTTCAAGTCCTGGATATCCTTGTTAACTTTGTCTCATTGGTCTGTCTAATGTTGACAGTGGGGTGTTAAAGTCTCCCACTATTATTGTGTGGGAGTCTAAGTCTCTTTGTAGATCTCTAAGGACTTGCTTTATGAATCTGGTTGTTCCTGTATTGGATGCATATATATTTAGGAGAGTTAGCTCTTCTTGTTGAATTGATCCCTTTACCATTATGTAATGGCCTTCTTTGTCTCTTTTCATGTTTGTTGGCTTAAAGTCTGTTTTATCAGAGACTAGGATTGCCACCCCTGCTTTTCGTTTTGTTTTGTTTTCCATTTACTTGGTAGATCTTCCTCCATCCCTTTATTTTGAGCCTATGTGTGTCTCTGCATGTGAGATGGGTCTCCTGAATACAGCACACCTATATGTCTTGACTCTTTATCCAATTTGCCAGTCTGTGTCTTTTAATTGGAACATTTAGCTCATTTACATTTAAGGTTAATATTGTTATGTGTTAATTTGATCCCATCATTATCATGTTAGCTGGTTCTTTTGCTCGTTAGTTGATGCAGTTTCTTCCTAGCATCAATGGTCTTTACAATGTGACATGTTTTTGCAGTGGCTGGTACCGGTTGTTCCTTTCCATGTTTACTGCTTCCTTTCAGGAGCTCTTGTAAGGCAGGTCTTGTGGTGATAAAAATCTCTCAGCATTTGCTTGTCTGTAAAGGATTTTATTTCTCCTTCACTTATGAAGCTTAGTTTCGCTGGATATGAAATTCTGGGTTGAAAATTATTTTAAGAATGTTGAATATTGGCCCATAAAGGGGAGGGTCTTAATAAAATATATCTGACTGAAAATCAGCCTATACACTGAAATTCCAAAGTGTTTGAGAAACTGTAATACTAAGACAGACTAAGCAAATATTTGCTCCAGATGAAAATAATTTATCAAAAATAGTCTGATGAAGATTTTCAAATAAGTTTAGAGTATTCAAATAAAGAACAAAGAAATGATGTCCGTTTTTTAAAAAGAACAACCAATGATGCAACAAACACATGAAAACAAAATTAGCACTGAGCACAGTTTAAGAGTTAGAATCAAAATGGGATTCCCCTTCACACCCACTAGGGTGACTTAGAAAAAAAAATCAGATAGTAACAAGTGTTGGCAAGGATGTGGAGAAACTGGAGCTGTCATACACTGCTGGTGGTAAGGTAAAATGGTGCGGCACTTTGAAAAACAGTCTTGTTCTTCCTCAAAGAATTAAACATAGAGTTATTATTTGATCAAGCAATTTCACTCCTAGATATATACTTGACAGAAATGAAA
The DNA here is from genome assembly GCF_000001405.40 of Homo sapiens. Taxonomy (NCBI): domain Eukaryota; kingdom Metazoa; phylum Chordata; class Mammalia; order Primates; family Hominidae; genus Homo; species Homo sapiens. The sequence continues at coordinate 92,956,600 of NC_000007.14, read as the reverse complement.
ACATACATTAACATAAACTTTTACATGAATGTTTTACCATAGTCAAAAGGTGGAAACAATCTAAACATCCATCAACTGACAAATGAACAAAAGGTAGTATGTCTATACAATGGAAGATTTAGTCATAAAAAGAAATGAAATACTGATACATGCTACAGAGTGGATGAATCTTGAAGACACTGTGCTAAGTGAAATAAGCTAGTCACAAAAGACCACATGCTATATGGTTCCATTCATATGAAAGGCCAGAACAGAGAAATCTAAAGAGGCAGAACATAAATTAGTGATGGTTTAATACTAAGGGAGAGGAGCCAGGCATGGTACCACATACCTGTAGTCCCAGCTACTTGGGAGGCTGAGGCAGGAAGATTCCTTAAACCGAGGAATTAGAGACTGTAGTGAGCTATGATCACACCACTGCACTTCAGCCTGGGAGACAGAAAACAAAAAAAGACTGGGGAAGCTGGGTGATGGAGAATAAAGGAATAGGGGGGTGATAGATAACAGGGAACAGGGTTTATTTTTGAAGTGATTAAAATGTTTTAAAATCAACTGGTGGTGGTTGCACAACTCTGTCAATATACTATTAGGTTGGTGCAAAAGTAATTGCCATTGAAATTGTAATGGTAAAATTGCAATTACTTTTGCACCAACCTAATAAAACCATTGAACTGTACACTTTTTTTTTTTCTTTTTTTGAGATACAGTCTCGCTCTTTCGCCAGGCTGGAGTGCGGTGGCACGATCTTGGCTCACTGCAACCTCCACCTCCCAGGTTCAAGCAATTACCCTGCTTCAGCCTCCTGAGTAGGTGGGATTACAGGCGCATGCCACCAGGCCCAGCTAATTTGTGTACTTCTAGTAGAGACGGGGTTTCACCATATTGGCCAGGATGGTCTCGATCTCTTGACCTCGTGATCCGCCCGCCTCCGCCTCCCAAAGTGCTGGGATTACAGGCATGAGCCACCAGGCCCAGCCTGAACTGTACACTTTAAATGGGTAAATTGTAGGGTATGTGAACTATATCCTAATAAAGCTGTTTACAAAGTTTCTCAAAATGTCAACCCCTGTGAAGTTACCTTAGAATGTTTTAATTCGGAATTTTCACTTCAACAAAAGTTGAAAAAAGTAGTATAGACGTTTGTTGGGATTATCTTGATGACCACCAACAGATAACATTAGTGCCCATGCTTTATTCATGTTTACAATCTCCTTCTCACCACAGGAAAAGCCAAAACGCCTTGGGGCAAGCTGCAGACACGAGGTTGAGAGTCATTTACGTAGAAAAAAGTGATGGGAAAACCCGGCCACCACAAAGTTCATGCCAATAAAAGGAAACTAGACTCAAATTACCCATGACAGCAGTCAGACCACCACATACTGGGAGCCCTGGGAGTGAATGTATTGTAGGTCCTGGTTTGTACAGACCAAATTGTCCCAGCTCGTTAACAATATGGGTGATAGTACACCTGTTGTGAAGTTTGTTATAAAGCAACTTTTAACTGCTTTTTATTATTGTTTTTGGGGTACATTATTCAAATGACTGCTCCATCAAAACAAAGGGCCAATGTTAAAAACAAGACAATTGCTTAAGAGAAAAATTAATGATACTGATCATGATGATTATTCAAACAAAGGCTCATAGTGCTCAAAATCAAAAGAATCAAGTCAACATAAGCCTTTTTTTCTTATATTAAGCCCAAAGCTCAAACAAAACTATCCATCACATCAATCATATATGGTTCATTTAGATTACATTGTTTTGTCATTTGATTTATATTAATTACTAAATTTGCCCTTGTTTTGTTATTTTAATAGGAGCTATAAGTATCATGAATCTGAATCCAGTTTTATCACTGTACATACTGTAGAAGCATGGTATTTAAGATAATTGACCTCAGCATTAGAAGTCCACGTCAATTATTTTCTTCTAAAAAGGTTCTGTACATTTTTTTGTTGTGAGGATTCCGTGAGATAGGTTTGTAGAATGTTTAGGCAAAAAATGCAGATTTTAGGCTTGGACAAATAACTAATGACAAAATGTTAATGGTCTGAAACCACAAAGAAGCTAGACTTAAGTGAAAAGAGGGCATAATAAATCTCAATTAACCAGAATGTTTGAGACTTGTGTGTTTCTGAATAACCAGAAATTTACTTTTAAGCTTCAATGCTCCTTGAAAATATTTTCTAAGTGTATTGGTCTGCTTTTCTCATTAAAGAAGATAATTTAATTGTTATGACCTAGAAACTCTCAGTGCTTCAAGTTCATCTTTAATAAGTTCTTACTGTAGCTCCACAAAACAAATAAGAAAGTACTCTTAAAACTATAAGGTATAAGCATTTTTGCGCAATCTCTCCCGTTTCAACAATGGAGTGCATAATATTATCTAATTAATTTAAATTTCTGAGTAACTGGAGTCCAGTTAATTGAGGTTTTATTGTGTATATATTGCTACTTGGATATAGGATGGAAACGCCTAACTGTGGGGAAAGGAGAAGAGGTGAATCATTTGTCCCTAAGTGCTTAAGAACCAGGAAAATTTATATTCAATTTTATATACTTTCATTGAATGACTGCTATGGAAAGAAACTGGGGGAGGGATGAGGAGAGACACAAAAGGACAAATGAGATATTATCACCAACCTCTCAGAAGTCTACAGTCAACAGGGAAATCAAAACTTTGTGATCCTATTGCATCAGAGGACCTCAACACGCAGCTGCAGTGATCAACACACTAAGGCTGAGAGAGCATTTGAACACTTGGAGTTCCAACAACATCCACAGTGGGGATGACAGCTCTGCCTACCAGGAAGTAATTCTGTAAATCCATCTAATTAACTGGTTAATGTCACTACAAGGGCCAGTTTCAGAGGGAGTGCCACAGGCTCTGGACAGAGCCGTCTTGCTAATCCTGTTTTGAAAGATGAGAATAAAAAGATATTTTTTGCATATTTATCAGATTTCCAGTTAAAAAAAAAACGGAAAGGAGAGCAAACACAGGATGAGAGAATTAGGATCCAGAAAGCTGAAACATTTGGCTGAATTTAACAAAATGATTACAATGAGGAAAATGTAAGTTTCTGCACTCTAGCCCATATTAAAAAAAAACTACATACAAGTACAGGATGGGAGAGGCATGGAACAATATGTGTGAGTGTGTGCCGGTGTGTGGGGCTGCGTGTGTGTGTGTGTGTATTTTTGAAGACTCAGGTTTGAACTAGCTTGAACTGACAACCACATAAAGAAGAAATAAATAATAAAACTATATGCATTATTAATCAAAGAAATTAAAACAGTAATCCCTCAACCTATCAAATTGATAAGCTACAAAGAATTGTAATTCTCAATGCTGAAAAGGGTGTGAAGAAATAGACTTTCTCATATACATCATGTGAAAGTGGGAACTTGTAAGCCCTTCAGAAACAATTTGGCCACGTGTATTGGAAATCAAAAAAACATGCAGAGCTTTCATCCTAATAATTACACTTATAGTAATTTTCTTCATTAAATAATTAAGGATGCACATAATATTTAGCTACCAGAGGGTTAATCATAACATTGTTAATAATGGAAAAACATACACATTCATGAATATGCATACAAAATATCCCCAATAGGAAAGAACTATATAAACAAAATCTATAGTCTAGTTAATGGTATTACACTAATGTCAATTTTCTGGTTTTGATAACGTACTATACTTATGTAAAAGGTTGCCATTGCAGGGGAGGCTAACTGAAGGGTGTACAGGACTTCTTTGGAATAATTTTTCAAATTTTTGTAAGTCTATCATAATTTTGAAATAAAAAGAATAAATTTATTAAAATAGAGAGCTTTTTATGGAAAAAGAGCTGATACCAAATTAGAAGGTATGATTCTTTTTTTGGTAAAATATCCATGTAATTTATGTAATTATGATGATAAGAGTACTACCTACTGAAATCTTGTTTTGTGGTTCACAAATAGTATCTCATTTAGATCTCACATCAGCTAAAAGGATAGATCTAATTATTCCTATTTTACCAGTGAGGAATGGGATTAGGAGAGATTATACAATTTTTCAAGTGTTACACAACTAGCCAGTATTTGAGTACAGTTCTCTTAGGCTCCAAAGTCCATGCTGTTGGCTTTCCAAATCATTCACTACCGAATATCTTTTTTTTTTACAGTCTGGAAAAATATATTCTAAATTTTTAACTATAATTATCTCTGTGTAGTGATTATTGGTGGCATTGTTTTTCTTTTTGCTTATTGAATGCATATCATTTGTGTAATTAAAATAATATTTATTGGCTGGGCGCAATGGCTCACACCTGTAATCCCAGCACTTTGGGAGGCCAAGGTGGGTGGATCACTTGAGGCCAGGAGTTCGAGACCAGCCTGGCCAACATGGTGAAACCCCGTCTCTACAAAAATACAAAAATTAGTCAGGCATGGTGGTGTGCACCCGTAATCCCAGCTACTCAGGAGGCTAAGGCAGGAGAATCACTTGAACCTGGGAGGCGGAGGTTGTAGTGAGCTGAGATCGTGCCACTGCACTCCAGCCTGGGCAACAGGGTGTCTGTCTGTCTCTCTCTCTCTCTCTCTCTCTCTCTCTCTCTATATATATATATATATATATATATGTATATATATATATATATATATATATATGTATGTGTGTGTGTGTGTGTGTGTGTTTGTATGTGTGTGTGTATATATATATGTATTTATTTTAGAGATATGGTCTCACCATATTGCCCAGGCAGGTCTCAAATTCCTGGACTCAAGCAATCCTCCTGCCTCAGCCTCCTGAGTAGCTGGGACTACAGGTGTGTCACCACCCCCAGCTAAAAAAGTAATACTTCTTTTAAAATACTTCAGTGTTTTTGTTGAAAGCAGGATTAGTGTGAGTCTACAGGACTCATGATAGTCAACATAGCTATGTTTGGCTACATAGACAGACGAATAGTTATTTAAAGTCAAAAGGCCATACTAGTTCAACTGTGCAAATCTAGAATATGGAACTCCTTCCATTTTGGGAGCCACACTTTGGTAGGGACATGAATATAGAAACTGAAGGGCATTTGGAGAGGATCCAAAAGCATATCATCATAATATTGATGGTGGAGAGAAATAGGGACATATCTACCTTGGATAGAAACAAACTCAGAGGGGAATATAACTGCCTTAAAATGTGTAAAGAGTCATCCTCCAGAATAATAGTCATCACTATGTGCTAAGTACATGCATTATCTCAATTAATCCTCACCACAACACTATAGAAAAGTACTGATATTATCCTCCCTTTATGGATGAGGAAACAAACTCAGAGTTAGATAACTTGTACAAAAGTCACACAGGCATTAATGACAGAGCTCGGATTCAAACCCAGAACCTGTCTGTTGTTACCCATCCTTCAGGGCTGTCTCACAACCCTACAGAGGAAAAGGAACTGTAGGCTTGTGTAGGAAAAGGAAAAGGCTTGTGTAGAATTGCGGCGACAGAAGAGAGATTCGGAGACACAGTTATCAGCTCAATATCAGACTTTTCTCTGAAAACTCAAAGCTATCCAAATATGGAATGGGTTGCCTTAGAAGATAATAAACATTTCCCATACAGTCAATAAAGTCAATGGTGCTCCACAGTGATGTCAGAAGGGAAAGTCAATCAACAGATGGATCTCAAACTTTAGTACACACCAGAATCACCTGGGAGAGTTTCTATGACACAGATTCCTGTGTTCCACCTGAGCGATTCTGATTCAGGTGTCCTGGGATGGTGAGATCCATGAATTTGCAGTTCCATCAGGCTCCCAGGTGGTGCCAATGCTGCTGGTCCAGGATCACACACTGGGATTTCCTCAAGTCCTAAAATTCTTCTACTTTTAAAAAAATAAAAGTCAAACTGTATGGATTGGACCAATTTTGTGTCCCTCCCAACCTCTCTCATGGAATGGCAGCCATAATGTCCCTGAGCCGTGCAATAGGTTGGTTTGTGTGCTTGTTTCTGTCCAAATTACTATTCAGGAGAGTGTCCTACATACTTTCAACATAGCCTTTTCTAGCTAGTTGTTTAAAAATTTCAGGGTTTCCTAATACATTAGAGACAGATTTTTTTAGAAATCTACCTATATTTCTGATGAAGAAAAAATGGGTAAAAGCAAACCACATTAAATTATATAATAAGAGACTGATAAATCTTAGCATGTTCAGATTGTTAGAGAAGAAATGTATTCTTCTAATTATGATTTACTCTTCAACTGTCTAGCTCAATTTGGAATAAGAAGTAGAAATGCTATTGTTTTCCAAGAAGTAAGGATTGATGGCCATATGTTATGAACAGTGCTTTGTTATTCTTAACAGTGGCAAACTGAGCATGAGAGGTGTTTTTTTTTTTCTCCACAATTTCCAAATTCTATTTGTGTTTAACTTAAAGGGAGCTTTGTTTGATTTTTTCCCCCACTTTTGGAGGCAAAGATTGCCAAGTACCTTTAAAGTGGGCAAAAATACTCCAAAATCAAATATTAAGGAAAAAATAGCTCTCTGTGGACTGCACTGTTGGCCCTCTCTTCTTGGAAGGCAGAGCTGATACAAGGCCACAGCTGCTTCTTGACACACAGGATTGTTGCTCACTACCCTGAACAGCCAACATCCTCATATAAGAACCACAAGTGGCTTTTAAGGTGATAAGGTAAGAGTTTAGCTGCCATATTTTATGACATAATTCAGCCGATGTCTCTTTACAGAGTGGCCAACTTCAAACAGCCATAAACATTTGATTATATAGTAATTTAATTTAATGATTTATTTAATCTTCAAATCACAAGAGGCTATTTCCAAAACACTTTGTTGCCATGTTGATCCTCTTTTAACCTAAAGGATTAATAATTGATGTTGAAATACAGTTGGAAAAAGTTGACAATGAACTTCTTTCTAAAGGAAAAGACACCTGGATAGAATATCAGATTTATATATTGACTGCCCCAGATAACAGAACTTTCAAGTGACCAAACTTAAAATCACAAGCATTTTGGATTGAACTCTTTCCAAAATGTCATACATGCCTTCTTGCCATTTTATTTTTTTTTTGAGACAGAGTCTTGCTCTGTCATCCAGGTTGGAGTCAGTGGCACAATCTCAGCTCACTGCAGCTTCCACCTCCCGAGTTCAAGCGATTCTCCCGCCTCAGCCTCCCAAGTAGCTACAGCTGGGACTACAGGCGCATGCCACCATGTCCAGCTAATTTTTTTGTATTTTTAGTAGAGATAGGGTTTCACCATGTTGGCCAGGCTGGTCTCGAACTCCTGACCTTGTGATCCGCCCGCCTCACCTCCCAAAGTGCTGGGATTACAGGCGTGAGCCACCGTGCCTGGCCTGCCACCTTTTTTTTTTTTTTTTTTTTTTTTTTTAAGACAGTCTCACTTTGTTGCCTAGGCTGGAGTGCAGTGACACGATCACAGCTCACTGCAGCCTTGACTTCCTGAGCTCAATCCTCCCACCTCAGCCTCCCTAGTAGCTGGAACTACAGGTACAAACCACCACATCTGGCAACTTTTTTTATTTTTTGTAGAGATGGGATCTTGCTATGTTGACCAGGCTGGTCTCGAATCCCTGGCCTCAAGCGATCCATCTACCTCAGCCTTCCAAAGTGAGGAACCACATCCAGCCCTTTCTTGCCATCTTAAACTGAGTAATGTTACATGCTTTAATATCTTTTGGTGAGTCAAAGATAAGCCTTTTAAATAAGTATGATTCTATGGTATAACTGAATGGTATCCTCAGAGAGAATAGTTGAGATTTGGTGGACTTTTTCCCTCTAAAATGCCTTCAGAACCTTACACCATGTTAGTCCTTTGAATTTTTATAGTTCACACTTTCTCTTTTCACTTAAATGTACCTACCACTGTTAATTTTTTCTTCCCTTTTAATTTGCCTTTAAATTTATCATGTACAAAAAATTTAGCTCACTTAATTTACTGGAAGTGTGTGTGCAAATAAGGTTTTATAAATAATGAGTTTTTCTGAGAATTGTGTGGCCTTCAATGTAAAGTTTGTGCCATAACTTCTCAAGAAGTTTGTTTTTAATAACTTCTGTTTCTTACCTGTCTATTGTCCAGTTAACCAGGTTGCCAGATATGCGACCTCTAATTAAGAAAAGCCTAACTGTGGTCACGTAATAATCATTGATCTTCACTTATTACTAGGCTGCTGTAACCATGCTAACTCTTTGCATTCAAATCTATATTTAAAGTTATAGCAGTCACAATCGTGAATGAAATCTAGATGACTTTTCTTTTCAAAGCCTAGGCATTCTCCCATGCCTTTATCCTTTAGACCTCACGAATGAAACCAGGTTAAGAGAAGAAGACACGACTTCAGATGGGAGTTTTACAACTCATCCCTTAATACCTCAAAAATGGAAGAAAACTCCAAAATTGGAGGGTTTTGTCTCCACTAATCTCAGAGATTAAAGAAGGAACAGCAGTAGGAAAACCAGGAAAAATATGCCATTTTATCCTCCTGAAAATCATGATTCTTCAAAATTCTTTTTGAGTTGTAGGCACACAGCACCATTTGGTGCTATGAGAAAAGGCTTTCATCAAGTAAAAGTTCTAAATCTGGCCCTCAAAAGCCACTAAGACATGGCTCAACCCACATTTCTCATCTTCCATTGCTTTCTTTCTGCCAAACCAAATCCTCCCTGATCCCCACATCTCTTTCATCTCTCTGCCTTTGGAGTATTTATTAGGTGCTAATAAATACTCCTCGGAAGGGGAGGGGAAGTAGGGTGGGGATTCCATGGTCAAATAAATTTGGAAAATGCTGGATTAACCAGCGTAAAATAGGTTTCCTTACTATAGTAAGTCTCAGAACCTTTTACAATTCTAATGTTCATTTAAATCTTCAAAGGTAAAATATGGTATAGAAGTGGTATAGATAACCACTCATCTCAGTCGGCCTAGAACAGTCCCAATGTATACCTGTTATCCCAGCATAATTACCAGTGTCCCTTTTAGCTTTTAAAAATGTCTTACATTGTACAATATGGTTTTCCTAGATACAGCACTTTCTAAATTAATTTGACCACTGTTCCCACTTTTCATATAATACCTAAGTATGTGGTAGAATACAGTTTGGGTAGCATGAACTTTCCCCCACTTTGCCAGGTGTCAATGCCTATCCAGATCTCAAATCCCATCCAGAATAGTTTACACTGCGGCAAAGGCTTTCCTCGTTATTTGTCCTCCTCTACAGCTGAAAGTACCTTGTCCTTCTGCTGAGGATCTAACACCTGCTTTTTACCTTTCCCTTGTGACATTGAGTATTTTCTACCCTACTTTTGGTTCGAGGTTCAAGCCTTTCCACTGTGTCATTTATGGTAAAATCCAAGTAGTGTTTCACTTTATCTTCCTGCACAGTGCCAAACTCAGTAAATACCTTTGATTGGTTACACTGGGTTGCACCTGACGCTGTCCTTGCCTCTCATTATAAAGAGGTAGATTCTCAAAGCAGGCCAAGGCAACTCCTTTTCCTGCCTTCTTGGAGACCTCACTCTGCTGACTGTCCCCTCCCTTTCATATCTCCCACAACACTTAAGCATGCTCAGGATTCCTCCATCTTAAATATGCCTGGTTTCTCTCTCCACCGCTCCACTCAAACGATTCACATCAGGGTCAACAGTCCTTTTTTTTTTTTAACTAAATCCTATTAATACTCCTCATTTGGGTTCCAGCTCAGACTCTGAAATGAGTCTGCCTCTTTGATTTATACTCTCTTTACAAGTCTCCAAAGTTTCTCAAAAAGTTAACATAGAATCGTCAAAAGGCCTAGCAATTCCGCTGCTAGATATATACCCAAAGGAAAGGAAAGGACAGACTCAGATACGTGTGCACCAATGTTCATAGCAGCATTATACATGATAGTCAAAAGGTGAAAATGACCCAAAACTCCAGCAATGGATAAGAAATATGGGTATATTACATACAATGGAATATTATTCAGCCTTAAAAGGAAATGAAATTCTGATACAAGCTACAATATGGATGAACTTTGAAGACATGCTGAGCAAAAGAAGCCAGACACAAAAGGGCAAATATTCTGTGATTCCACTTATATGGGATACATAGAATAGGAAAATTCACAGAGACAGAAAGTAAAATAGAGGTCACCAAGGGCTAGGGAAAGGAGAAATGGGCAATTATTGTTTAAGGGGTACAGAGTTTCTATTTGGCATGATGAAAAAGTTCTGGAAATGGCTAGTGCTGATGGTTGTTCAACACTGTGAATATATTTAATTGCCACTGAGTTGCAACACTTAAAGATGGCTAAGGTGGTTAATTTTGCATTATGTATATATTACCACAATAAGAAACAAAACTGTGTAAAATATTAAAATTCCTGAAATATAAAAACATTCATAGTCAACAGAGAAAAATCAGCCTCATAACTCCCTTTTGTTCAATAAGAATCTCATTCTGGGAGAACACCCGAAGTGGGGAATTCCCAATCAAGGGAGGCGTCCTCATCAAGCATATTGGAAAGAGCTTTCCACTTAAACTTATCTCTAGTCCTTCGGGTTACACAGCCACACCTCATTTTACCAGTACCAATATTTCTGTAAAGTTGTAAGCTAAATCATATCTTCCCAGGTCATAACCGAGGTTATATAGGCAGAGGGGTTTTATCTAAATGAAAATTGCTCTTCAGGTGGTGGCATTGCTCCAAGTTTTCCCTTTGGGTTTATCTCATCCTTTTCTTCCCCTACCTAACACTCCTCTACAAAGAGGATAGTGATTTCTAAACAAATAGGTAAGCAAGGAGAGAGCCAGCTATTTGTAAAATCAGAAGGGGCATCAAAGGGAAGAGGCAACATAGTCCACTCCAGTAAGCACAGATTAACTCTTTTATCGAGCATTAAGTTTGTCAATGCTCCAATTCCCTGCCTGTGGTGTATTTTATACTTGTATAATATACTGTCAGTCATGAATGACCTGCTCCCTATGCCCAGATCTTCTGTAACAGCAGGGAGCCAAATCAGTGAGGGTGATTTCTCTGACTTTTCAAATGCAACACATTATTTGTTAGTACTCATTGGCGATGTCCCTATTGCCTGACAAGAAAGTCCTTACCCCAAAGCCTCACAATTTCCAAATCCCAAGTAAAGCATCTTGCTCCCTCAAAGAGTTTTCTATAAGTCTATCATAGGAGAAAGCCTCTAGTGTTTCAAATTATGAATTTTTCGTGGGGGTTGGTAGTGCTTGGGAGCGCCTTGTAAAATTCTCACAAGATAAGTAAGATATTCAAAATTCTGCCTAGGATAATTATTACTGTTTTGCGTTTGGTGGATTTGAGGGAGGATACATCAAAGCAATGAGGCTTTGCAGTATACCAAGTCATTAAGGCCTGAATGTGGGCTGTGGTAGCAGAAAAGGAATGATTCCAAAAGTATTAAAAACATGAGACAAGAGGACACTTTGTATCTAAAGCATTCATTACTCTGAGCATCTTTTCCTTAGCTTTTCTGAGTTACCTGATGGCATGGGAGCAAGTTTCCCATTAGAAAGCCTCTTTTGCTTTCTGTCCTTTTTTTTTTTTTTTTTTTTTTTTTTTTATGGCCACAGAGCTCTCTACTCCCATGGAATTTCATGGAGATCCCATGAAACTGTGCATGAATTGTGCCTTCTCCAGAGACACTCCCTCGTGCACACGACACTGGGCCCGATTTTGTAACTGCGTTTATGACTGATTTACGGAACTTTTACTTGGCAGGCCCTGCTGTTACTGTTAGCTGGTTACTATGGCTCTTTCAACATGCCACTCTGGCATGTTGCATTAAAAATAACCTCCCAAGACTGTACAGAATACATAGAACAACGAGAGTACAGTCATAGCTGCAGATGCCAGGGTCTGCTCTGGTGCCTGTGTGTTCACATGTGCTCCTAGGTGAAGTAACTACAGAAAAATCATTCAAACACCTTCTAAAACATCCACTTGCATCACAATTTTTCTAAGCTTCCCCAAAGCAGAGGTTCTCAGAGATCAACAACATCCCAAACAACTGTGAACCCTAAGAATAACAAAACACAAATGATAAGTGTTTTTTAAGGGCACAGATCCAAAGTCACCGTGTCTGGGTTTGAATCCAGGCTTTCACACGTAACTAGCCCTGGGATCTTGGCAAGTTATACCACAGCCACAGCTATCTCCTCTGCAAAACTGAGTGATAACATCAATCTCAAAGCGTTGTTCTGAGAATTAAGGGTGCTATCCAAGGAAAAGTTCTTGATTCAGTATTAACACATAGAAGGTGCTCAATAAATAGATTATTCTCCTTTGAACTTCTTTGAACAAGTATTTGCTTAATAAATATTTGTTGGCTGAAAGATTAACACCCAGCTATTCATGTACATGTCTCATCCCATTTTCTAGATTATCTAGTTCTTTAGATAAGTTATATTTCATTCATCTTTGTATTTCACAGCTCTTTGATTGTTGCTGAATAAATATTTATTAAATTAAATGGAAAGATAAAGTCTGTTGTAAGGGACAACAGTTAGTATGTAAACGGGTAGCAAAAAAGAAAAATCACAGGCTTTAAGTGCAAATAGAATCCAGTGCCAAGAAAACACTGATGTTCCCTGAAACTAAATGAATACAAGCTACACATGAATACAATATTTGTAATGCTAGATCTGGTTCAGCGACTCTGGTTCTAGCTGGGTACTGCAGAGAAGAGAAAAGCATTTATCTCTATCCCACCCTTGGCCTCAGCCCATGAGCCAGGCTTGCCCACAACTCAAGAGAAGAATTGCTCTCCCAGAGCCAGACACCACAGTCACCACAAGCTAAGTAGTTTCCTTATGCCATTGAAAGCATCATTGGATTTGGTGACAACAACACAAGCAGAAGACTTCTGCTGAGGACACAGGGCCAGCATAGTATAGACTGTGCCCTGGGTTCCACTATTAGTGCTCAAATCAACATGAACAGAGCTGTGCCCGTGCAGAGGGAGACAAGGCCATCTCCTCCTTTAGGAAAGCCAGGGGCCACTATGGATCCTAACTGGAGAAAACACTAATAGGGTTCTGTGACTGTGACTCCTGTCTAACCCCCAGAGCCAAACTGAAAATAATAAATCTGTTAAGAGACAGAGTGTGTGTATGCATTTGTGTAGGACACTGTTTCCTTCTTTTCTGATAGGATATCAACGCCTCCAGCCAAAGACTACCAAAAACACAACTGTAGTTGATTAAGTTAGGTTTATTATGCATTGCTGCATGGGATAACATTCATTATGGGGAAACCATGAGGCACCCAGTAAGATGGTGTTAGAAATAACCTATTATAAAATTTGGGCTTGAGTTCTTTGGGGAGGCTCTAGGGATGGGTAAGTTCATTTTAGATTGGATTCTGTCAGACAGTGGGGACAATTCTATGATTAGGTATCTCAATAAATCTTATCTATAGGAAAAGCAGAGTAAAGCAAAGATAAAGCTGTAATTGCCAAAGAAGTAACAGTCCATTACATTAGGCAGGAGAGGGAAAGGTTTGATAACTTGTGACTTTGTATTAGTCTGTTCTCATGCTGCTAATAAAGACATACATGAGACTGGGGTAATTCACAAAGGAAAGAAGTTTAATTGACTCACAGTTCCACACAGCTGGGGAGGCCTCACAATCATGATGGAAGGTGAAAGTCACATCTTACATGGCAGCAGACAGGAGAGAGAATGAGAGTCAAGTGAAAGGGGTTTCCCTGTATAAAACCATCAGATCTTGTGAGAGTTATTCACTACCACAAGAACAGTCTGAGGGAAACCACCCCCATGATTCAATTATCTCCCACCAGGTCCCTCCCACAACACGTGGGAATTATGGGAGCTAAAATTCAAGATAGAGATTTGGGTGGGGACACAGCCAAACCATATCAGACATGGACAACGTTAATGTTTTGTCTGTGTTCAAACATGATTATAGAGTCATTGTCTTGATCCATCATGGTCACAGAGTGGGTCTTATTTGATGGGGCATGTTCTGTGAAGTTTACATCCAACAAGAGAAAACCAAGACCTAGTTGTGAACACCAGGCCACCTGGGAACACCAAGGCCTCACTGACTGTACCTGGAATAAAGCAGGATGCCAAGAGCTGCCTTCTCTTTCTTGAATGTCACTAAGGCAATAGAAAAGTGGTAGAACAAGTGGAAATGTATTTCAACAAATCTCCTGATAAAGTGTCTTGAGCTTGGTACAGCTACACATTTTAACTGACTGATGATGGTACCCAATGAGTACTGATTGAATATCAGGCTGAGGTCAACCTGCACTATCTACTGATATGCCACAGTGTCATCCTTGGTTCTTTCTTGTCAATTTGCTTATCATTGAAGGCCTGTGTTCAAAATCTAAGAAGATAGTAACTATCTTAGTTGGCAGATTCTGAATCAAAAAATAATCTCCATAGGCATTAATGATGGCCTGAATCAAATAAAATGAACTTTAATAACAATTCATGTAAAGCACTAAATTGGGGTTCAAAACAAATTAATACAAGGACAAAATGGAAGATGTATGGCTGGGAAGCAACAGAAGGGAAAAAATTAATGGTTTAGCAGCTGGCTATGTTTTATTGCAGTCAACAGTGGCCACTAAGAAAAGTAGTGTAATTTTAGATTGCATTAATGGAAGTATGGAATCTTCAATAAAGGAACTGACAATCCTATCCATTCTACATGGGTCTCACAATACCTAAAATTCTGTGTTCAGTTCTGGGCATTACATTTTTGAAGAATATAATGTCTCAATCAGAGAAAGTGACGGATTCTCCTTCACTTAGAAACTCAACATGGGTCACGCCAAAACAAAAACACGAAATCATAAGAGGAGTAATTGATGAAGTGGTAGATATTTAGCCTGGAGCACAGGAGTCCCGGAGAAAATATGAAAACTGTCTTCAAGTATTTTAAGTACTATCATATGGGAGAGCAATTAGACCATTTTTGTTTGGTTTAAGGACCTAGGATCAGTTAAAGTTAAAGGGTGGCAAATTTTACTTTTAAGACATACACACACTCACACGATGACCCCAGAAATCATTTTTCGATTGAGAAAGCAAATTCCCCATGATTAGCCTTCTGCAAGCAAACGCAGAAGGACCAGAAGTGAAGATATTGTGGAAGAGATTCAGGCCTAGGATAATGGATTTCTAAGCTCCTTGATTAGAGCTTTTAGATAGTAAATACTTATAGTATGATATTCTGTTAATATCTTTCCAGATTCTGAATCAGGTTGACATGTTTCCAGTAGAAGTTATTTTTTTCTAGATGCATCCCATTCAGAACCTCATAGAATAATATGAACGTTTATCAAACATATATAGCTCAGTAAAACTTAAGTTTATCCTCAAACAATTCAACTGTTTTGAAGTTGGCTGATTTGATTCTATTCCACCTGCCTAACTGTATCTATTTGTATCTTAAGTTATTTGCTTTGTTTCTGAATATTAAATACTCTGCATTACAAATTCTATTTGTTGTTTTGATAGCCACACTGTTCTGTGCTACCTTCTACCCTGGTGTGACTAGATTTACCTTCACAACGATGTAGTTTAGTTTCAGAGAACTTGAAAGTTGTAAACTTTTATTATGATCTCAACGTTCTTAAAACTCTTCATCCTCTCCTGACTTGACAGTGAAAGATTGGTAAATACAGAAAGGAATGCTTTCTGAAAATACACCATTATCTCTTAATTTATAATAGACTAAACTTCTATTCTTCAAGTTTTCTTAATGTAAGTCTTGCATATAATTAGTATTTTTAAAGCTCAGGTAAGTGTGTATAATATTAATTTATTTTGCATGAAGCCTGCTGTTAGTCTGAGTTTCCTAAAAAGCACAGCCTGAGGCACATATTAAGTGCTGATGTTTTCTTTGGGAACACAATCCTAGGTCAATAAGAGTGAGGGAGAAAGAAAATAAAACAGGAAAAGATGGGAAAACTTAAAAGGGGAAATATTTCCATGCTGGCCACTGATTTACAATGAGCCGTGAAGAGACACAACAGGTCTACTGACTGACCTTACAGAGAAACTATGCCTCAAAGACGAGGAAGAAAAAGGGAACGTATCTGCCTAGTTGCATCCTGACTCCTGTTTTCCACTAGTCAAGTTTGAACCACAGGCAGTCTGTTTCCCAGCCCTTCCAGTTAGCTGCATTCAGCCCCTTTGGTACCCACTTAGATTCCACACATCACTGTGCAGCATTTCACTCAAATCAAAAAGTGGCAGAAGAAGCTACACAGCCCAGACCACCCAGCAATTGGGTAGCAGCGGGTGCTGGAACCACTTGGGCTCTGTGGCTAAGACTAATGGTTCAGGAGATGTTGGTGCAGAGTAACCAGAGGAAGCACTCAAGCTGTTTCTGATACACTTTCTCTGACCTTCTAAACCTCCAACACTTTCTGCTTTTAGTGAACTCTTACCACTTCATCTACACTGTCTATGACACAGACTACTAATGTCCACCCATATGTGAACATCCTCTTCCTCCTAGACACACAGGGATCTAGTTCCTGACTCCTTGCAGTCAGGTGAGGTCATGTGACTGATTCTGGGTAACAGTCATGAGAAAAAGTGCTTTGTGTGCTTCTGGGCCAAACTGTTTAAGAGAGAGTATGAGTTCTCACACTCTCGCTTTCTCTGCTGTGGCAACTCTGGAAGCCAGGCTGAAACGGTGAAGTCACAAGATGGAAATAGACTGAATCCCAGAGACACATATGGAGAAAGGAGCTGTGTTTACATTTCATCAGTCAGACTTCTTGGCTGACAAATAGAAATCTGCTCTAGCTAACTGAGGCAAAATATCAAAGGGAAGCTGAAGAAGCAGATTCAGAAAGCAGGTAAGAATCAGACTCCAAAACAAGAATCATAGTCAAAGTCAAGCCATAGGAACAATCTGGCTAAGATACTGCTGCTGGTCGCATCATCCCTGCCCCAGGGGACATCACTGCTGCTTGACTCTCTTTGCCACCATATAATAATTTCTAAACAGTCTTTGTGTCTTTGGGTCACTGTTTTCAGGATAAAAGTACCAAAGGGAGAAATGACCTCAGCTTACATCATACATTCATACCCTAGATACAAGAAGAGTAAGACAAAAGGGACATCTGCCCCATTCTGCTTCCATTTCACCAGAACCACACATTGGAGCATGTCCACAAGTAAAAAGGAGCTTGAATACTGAGCATCAAAAAAAAAAAAAAAATCCTACAAACGTCCACTGCAGCCATATGCTACTTTGTTTGTACTACAAAACCTGGCTCATTTCCTTTCTTGCAGTAATCAATTAATAAATATTTGTGATTGATGAAGAACTGCATAGCTTAACTTTACAGAAAATAAATGAGAAGCTACAGAATTTCAGCACCTAAATAGATGCTAAATAGTCTTTTTCTGATTAGCACAAATTAGGATTTTAAAAGGGAATGAAAACCAGGAACAGAAGGTTCTAAGTCAATGGTTCCTATTATTATAGTTACTAGTAGCCTTCCTTGTAGGCAGACCTTTATCATTTCTTTTCTATGTGTGTCTAGATATCTCCTTGCTTTTTCCTTCTGAAGGTCTATTTTCTGAGGAAATCAGAAGTCACCAGATCAGAGCATTTTTCTCTTCACTTCTTCTTTATTCAAATAAACACATGACCCCAATTATCACCTCTATTTCAAGCACCCCTAGCTTATGCGCCTTGGGTGACTGCTTCCCATTATCTGCAGAAAGCTTGAGATAAAACTGGGGATGGAAATCTATATCCTTTTATCCTTTGGTGCTCTTTCTACCCTACATATGTCACTGTCCGTCGCAAGGAGCCAACCCTGAGGAAAGAAAGCAATTCTAGATATATAGGTAATAGGTTACTAGAAAGTTACTAAAGATAATGGGTATTTTCATAACCTTTCGAGACTCCTCAAAAAATGTTCTTTGGTGCAGAAGCAAAATACCCCTATGGATGAATCCACAATCTGACTACTTTAGTATGTCTTATATCTTAAATTCTTGAAAGCGGTAATTCAGCCTTGAACTCAGAGCTTGAGTAAGATTGTCCTGATCATTTCTTTAGAATGAACTGAAACAAGGTGAGTTCAGGTAAGTGACCAGGATGCAGGCTGTGAAGATTAAAAAGAGAAAGCATAGGCCAGGCACAGTGGCTCACACCTGTAATTCCAGCACTTTGGGAGGCCAAGGTAGGAGGATCACTTGAGGTCAGGAGTTCGAAACCAGCCTGGCCAACATGATGAAACCCCGTCTCTACTAAAAAGAAAAAAAAATACAAAAAGAGAAAGCATAAATATAAGAAAATTCTAGTATCTGCCTCAGCAGGGTTAGATGCCAAGAAGAAAATGGTACTATTCAAAGCAAGAGGGCTTCAGATAGACAAAATGTTCAGTTCCCTGTTGGTGACATATAGGCTCATCCCCAGGGTGAGTGCTAAGACAGTGATTGTTTTGGCCATAATCAGCAAAGCAACAGCCAAAGGCAACCCACCCCAGGGAAACAACCTGAAAGGTGTTCACTCCTCACTTACCACTCTTAAACCACAGAGAATGGTTTCAAATACCCTAATGAAAGGCAACCAGGGAAGAATTGCATTTTTGCCTTTGATAATAACCATCATTGATTGAGTGGCTACTATATGAAATCCCTATGTGTTTGACATATACTGCTGTATACACTGCTTATAGAAGTTTTACAGATGAGGGACTGAAGCTCAGAGATACTATAATTTTTCCATGATTGCATAGCAAATAAATGGCAGAGCTAGGAACTGAGCCTAAGGATGCTTGATTCCAAGATGCATCTTCTATTTACTGAACCACATGTTTCAAAACAAATATGCTATTATTCACAATAGTCAAGATATGGAACAAACCTGTGTCCATCAATGCAAGAATAGAGTATGAGTGTGTTTTTATACATATATATGATTAAATATTATTCAATCTTTAAAAAGAAGCAAATTCTGTCATTTACAAAAACGTGAATGAATCTGGAGGACATTATGCTAAAATATACCAGGCACAGAAAAACATATACCACATGATTTCACTCATATATGGAATCCAAAAAAGTAAAACTCATAGAAATAAAGGTTAGAACGGTGATTACCAGAGGTGGGAGAAGGGGAAAGGAATGGAAAGAGGTTGACCAAAGGGTACAAAGTTTCAATTAGACAAGAGAAATAAGTTTTCAATATCTATTGCACAGCAAGGTGACCATAGCTAATGTGTTGTACAGTTCAAAATTGCTAAAAGAATAAATTTTATATGTTCTCACCATAAAAAATTATGTGAGGTGATTGATATACCAATTTGATATAATCATTTCTCAATGTGTATGTGTATATATATATCTCTCTCAAAGCATCACACTGTACCCCATAAATATACACAACTATTATTAGTTGTTTAAAATATAAATTTAAATTTAAAAAATAAATATGCTGAAAAAGAAGGCACTTGACATATGATTTTTTTAAATGCTGCTGTGAATTACATTCATTGGTGATTAGAATGTATTTCCTTTTGTGGCATACTAACTCATCAACAACAAAGAAAAAAGCATTTTCATGGTAATATTGTCACATTTCTTAATAAATTTAGGGATCTTTTGTCAGTGGCACTGGGAAATTCTGGTTATAGCTCTTTGACAACCTGGCCATCCCTTATTAAATAAGGAGATATACTTTATTTACTATGAACCTTCTGCTTGAAAAAAATCAGTTTAAAACATATTACTTATTGCATATTACTTATAACAAATAAAGGTTAATCAGACATAAATAGCCATAAACACTGCCTCCCTGAGAATGTGTTTGCCTTTTCCTTTTGATGATGAGAATCATGTGACTTTGTGTTTACCTTTTGCCCTAGCTTCCAGAATCAAATCTGATGCTCAGCAACAGAAGTACATGTCAATCCATACTTAGCATACTTGCTTCCTCTTCTTTCCCTTGATTCTCATTTTATCTAGTCATTGACTTATTCAATAACTATTTGAGTACTTAATACATGACAGACACTTTGAGCAAAACTTGGTTCCCACCTTCAAGGACCTTATAGTCTATTAAGAAAACTTACATGAAACTAATTATAAGATCATATAATAAATGCTATCATGAAATTATGTACATGGAACAGTGGTAGAACAACATAGAAGCATCAGATTGACAAGGAATTTTGAGTTGGGTCTTAAAATATGAATAGAAGTGTGATGGGTAGGTGGTTGAGTGGGAGTGAGGGGTTGGGAAAGAGTATTTCAGGTAAATTTATAATCATTTTACTTTTATTAACCTTATTGGATATAATTTTATCTATATTATCTAATTGAATATAATATCATGTATATATTATAGATATATCTGTCCAATATAATTTTATTAAAACTTATTTTAAATCCTTTTGGAAAAGAGGTGGGAGATCATTAGATAGATAAAGATGGATAGATCGACAACAGAAATACACAGACAGACTGATTTCCATGCCAGTGGAACCTTGTGCAGTGGGTTGCAGGGGGAGAGACAGGCAGCCAAAACAACCTGATCACAGACTCGAGAAAGAAAGGTAGGCTGGGCACGGTGGCTTACGCCTGTAATTCCAGCACTTTGGGAGGCCGAGGCAGGCAGATCACCTGATGTCAGGAGTTTGAGACCAGCCTGGCCAACACGGTGAAAACCCGTCTCTACAAAAAATGCAAAAATTAGCCAGGTGTGGTGGTGTGTGCCTGTAATCCCAGCTACTAAGGAGGCCGAGGCAGGAGAATCACTTGAACCCAAGAGACGGAGGTTGCAATGAGCCGAGATTGTGCCACTGCACTCCAGCCTGAGTGTGCACTCCAACCTGGGAGACAGAGCAAGACTCCATCTCAAAAAAAAGAAAAAAAAAAAAAACAATGGAAGGTATATTTAGTTGCAGATCCAGAGCTCTTAAGTGTCCACTTCTTAAGGAATTTTGAAGCTTAGTCTGTCATCTTTCCTCATTGCTGGTTTCCTCCATGATAATACCATATCTTTCTATTCCCTGACTGTTCTCTTAGAACATTAGCATAAGACTCAACAAATTTGTCTTGTTTAAATTTCCTAGCAATAAGTGCAATTCGGTTCAGTCATTTCACCTACTAGCTGCGACTCTACTTTTTCTCACATAAGGAAATTTACCCCCTTAAATGCTGAGGTGGTTGCATTTAATGTTGCTGAGGGTGTACAATTAGCCTATGTTCTAACCCTCCTGTCTATTCCTCATTCCTTAATGTTCTCTTTGTCTGGAGGGGAGCATAAAGTAAAAAGCATGGACTTTGGAGTCATATCTAAGTTTGAATTCATGCTTATTCACTTCCCAGATGTGTCACTTTGGGCAAGTTATCTAACCTCTCTGGACCTCAGTTTCCACAAACATAAAGTAATGACACTAAAATCAGCCTTTTAGAACTGGTGAAACAATGTACACAAGGAGTCTAGCACAGATGCATTGCATCATTGCCTGGCATATGGTAGCTTCAATACACTACAGCTGCTGCTAACATAATAATACTTCTGCTACTAATCTTACTATTGTCACAATCAGATTCATTTGTCTTAACCTCTTCCCTACCCTCAAAAACATTTTTTTTTTTTATTTTAAGTTCTGGGATACATGTGCAGAACATGCAGGTTTGTTACATAGGTTTACATGTGCCATGGTGGTTTGCTGCACCTATCAACCCGTCATCTAGGTTTTAAGTCCCACATCCATTAAGTGTTTGTCCTAATGCTCTCCCTCCCCTTAACCCCCATCCTCAAAAACGTTTTTTAAGAACATTATACTAGGCTGGGCACAGTGGCTCATGCCTGTAATCCCAGCACTTTGGGAAGCCAAGGCAGGTGGATCACTTGAGGTCAGGTGTTCAAGACCAGCCTGACCAATATGGTGAAACCTCGTTTATACTAATTAAAAAAAAAAAATTAGCCAGGTGTGGTGACGGACACCTGCAATCTCAGCTACTTGGGAGGCTGAGGCAGGAGAATTGCTTGAACCTGGGAGGCAGAGGTTGCAGTGAGCTGAGATCATGCCATTGCACTCCAGCCTGAGCAAAACTCCATCTCAAAAAAAAAAAAAGCATTATACTGATTGAACATTGTGTTTACTTTTAAAGGATGTCTCTAAAAGTCCTCTATTCCTTTCACATTTCCAGTCTCACTTTTCCAGAGTCTTCAGGTTCCCTTCTCTCCTACCAAGCCAGCCTCTCCCAACCTGCCAAGTCTTCAAGTCAAGATCCCACCCCTTCTGTTCTGTTTGTCTGCATTAGAACATAAACTCCCCAGGGCAGGAAACTTGTCTTTCTACATATTTGTCAAGTACCGTGTACATTTAGAGAGCTAAATAAATAACAAATATTACCCAGTCAGAATGAACTTGTTCAATAAATACCTTAGGTATTATCTCTAGGCTGTAATTACACCAAATCTATGGACATGAGATATATAAACAGAGCTGGCTAAAAAAATAATAAAATTACATTTTTGGCTTCTCTACATCAGAAACAGGCTGTCAATGTGGGTGGATAGCTAAGTGCTTCCTATTCTCCATTCCTTGAGAGCTGAATCCCAGCTACCACTCACATCAGGCATCATACTCAAAGGGCCAGCCATAGGTCAAAGACTAGCCCAATAAAGTCATCTTTCCTCTGCAACACTGACCATAGACAAGCTGCTAAAACCTCTCAAGTGAAATTTATCTAGTATGTGTAGGTTGTGCTACACAAATCTCTGCGTATGCATATGTTGTTTCCTAGTTATTGTATTGGCCTGGCTCTGTATTTTTAACTGATCTCTAGACTCCCAGAAAGTGCCTTTTCCTTATTTTTTTATTCCCTCACCATATTGGGAACTTAATCTGTACTCAAGAATTATTTGTTTTGACTTGAACAGCCACCAAATTGATGGTCTCCTCCATGTCAGATTTTGGCTAATTTCTCATTTCTTTTTTAAGTGTTTTCAAAATGCTTATATAAAATGTTTTAAACGTACAGAAATTTAAAAATATGATACTTATGTACCCAGTGCCTGAACTAAACATGTTAATATTTTGCCATGTTTTCATCAACTTTCTTTTTCGTGTTAAATAAAAACAGAAAATCACCTCCATTCCTTATCACTTACTCCATTCATCTCTCAAGGTAAGACATAATTCAGTTGGACTATATAATTCTCACCTAAGGTTTTTAACTACTACATATGCAGTTATCTGTAAACTATGTATTTTTGTTTTATGTGTTTTAAAATTTCCATCCATGGTGTTATTGTGTGTATTTTGCAGTACCTTGATTTTCTTCCTGCAAGATTCTATTTTTGAGATTTTCCATGTTAATATTTATAGATCCAGTTCATTCATTTAAGCTCCTAACAATAGTCCATGGGTATATCCATGCATTCCCTCTTGAAGGAGCAAGTTAGGCTATTCATACCTTTTTATTATTCTAAGTAGTGTTGCAGAGAATACTAATAATCATCACTCCTGGGACCTGCATTATTACAGGCAATATTTGGTGCTCTGGAGCCTAACTGCTCCAATCTAAACCCCAGCTCTACCACAACAGTACGACCTTGGGTGTGTTATTTAGTTTCTCTGCACCTTGGTTTCCTCATTAGTAAAATTAGGATAATGATAGAACCTCCTTGAAGAGAATAAAGCAGCAAAAACGGTCTTCCCGTAGTAGTTCGTTCTCATGCTGCCAATAAAGACATACAGGAGACTGGGTAATTTATAAAGGAAAGAGGTTTAATTGACTCACAGTTCAGTATGGCTGGGGAGGCCTCAGGAGACTTACAATCACGGCAGAAAGGGAAGCAAACACACCCTTCTCCACACCGCAGCAGGAAGGAAAATGAGCAAGTGCCCCACAGAGGGGGAAGCCGTTTATAAAACCATCAGATCTCGTGAGAACTAACTTACTATCACGAGAACAGGATGGGAGAAACCGCTTCCATGATTCAATTATCTCCACCTGGTCCCTCCCACAACACGTGGAGATTATGGGAACTACAAGACAAGATGAGATTCAGGTGGGTGCACAGCCAAACCATATCACTTGCACATAGTAAGACCTCACTTGCTAGGGGTCCGCCCTAATGATAATTGTTGTAATTGATAATTACAGGTCAGGTGCTGAGCATCTTTTTAATATCTATTGCCAAACTGATCTCCAATTGGTTGTACCAGTTTACACTCTCTCCAGCACTAGCATGAGTTTCTGCTCCTCCGCATCATCTCCAGGACTTGTCATTAGCAGTGTGACTTCCTGATCCTTTCACTTCTCCTAATCCTAAATCACTTCACTTTTCCTAATCCTAAACACAAGGAGACTCAAGAAAGAAATGAGGGAACAGGAAGGAAGAGAGTTGTGCTGGTAACAAGTAATCAGAAAGATCAGGTGGCTAACAGGAAGGAAAAAAATAGTGAAATATTTGGGAAAGTGGAAAAGAGACCCTTTTCCCCCCCTCAGCTTTATTGAGTACGACTGACAAATGAAAATTGTATATATTTAAGGCATACAACATGGTTTTGATATAAGTATATATTGCAAAATGATTATCACAATCAAGCTCATTGACATATCAATCACAGTATTACCCTTTTTTTTTTTTTTTTTTTTTTTTTTTCACTGAGTCTCGCCCCGTCGCCCAGGCTGGAGTGCAATGGCACAATCTTGGCTCACTGCAATCTCTGCCTCTCAGATTCAAGCAATTCTCCTGCCTCAGCCTCCCAAGTAGCTGGGATTACAGGCGCCCACCACCAAGCCTGGCTAATTTTTGTACTTTTAGAAGAGATGGGGTTTCACCATGTTGGCCAGGCTGGTCTTGAACTCCTGACCTCAGGTGGTCCACCTGCCTCAGCCTCCCAAAGTGCTGGGATTACAGGCATGAGCCAATGCACCCAGCCAAGATCTTCTCTCTTAAAAAATTTCAAGTAGATATTATTGTTAACTTGAGTGACCATGCTATACATTAGGTTCCAGAAATTATTCACATTATGAATGAAAGTTTTCACTCTGATTAAATCTCCCAATTTTCCCTACCTTCCAGCCCCTGATAACCACCATTCTGCTGCTTCTACAGGTTCAACATTTTTGGATTCCACATACACATAAGATGATGCCGTATTTGTCTTTCTATGTGGAGCATATTGAAATATAATACCACAATCTATTTTTTATACTATGTATCTATTGACAAGTTATTGTAGTTCTAGTTATTTTTAATATTTTTGTATTTTAACCTTTATACTAGAGTTTAAATTGATTTACATACCTTCATTACAGTATTTGAGTATTCTGAATTTGACTATATACTTATTTTATACTTTCATATATTTTTGTATTGCTAACTAGCATTCTTTCATTTCAGTTTGAAGAACTCCCTTAGCATTTCTTATAAGGCACGTCTAGTGGTGATGAACTCCCACAACTTTTGTTTGTCTTTATCTCTCCTTCATTTCTGAAACAGACTTGCTAGGTAAAGTAGTCTTGATTGGCAATTTTTTCTTTCAGCACTTTTAATATATTATCTACTTTTTCCTGGCCTGCAAAATTCCTGCAGAGAAGCCCACTGATAGTTTAATGGGCATTCCCTTGTATGTGATGAGTCTCTTTTGCTGCTTTCAAAAATCTCTCCTTGACTTTGATTTTTGATAGTTTGATTATAATGTGCCATATCCCTAGGTGTCTATATCTATCCCTAGATTAGGGAAGTTTTCAGTTATTATTTCCCTAAATGAGCTTTGCTTCTCTTTTCTCTCACTCTTCTTCTTTGGGAATTCCCATAATTCTCTTGATGGTGTCCCATAAATCCCACAGCCTTGTTTCTTTTCATTCGTTTTTCTTCACTTACTGGATAATTTCAAATGACCTGTTACTGAGTTCATGTTTTTTTCTTTTATTTATTTATTTATGTATTTATTTATTTTGGCTTGATCTAGTCTGCTCTTGATGCTTTTTGTTGCATTTTTTTATTCATTCATCCTATTCTTCAATTCCAGAATTTCTGTTTGGTTCTTTTTTACAATTTCTCTTTGTTAACTTCTCATTTTGTTTACCTGATTATGTTGAGTTGTCTATCTGTGTTGAAAAGATGCTGAACACAGCTGAGTTTCCTTAAAACAATTATTTTAAATTATTTGTGGGCAATTTGTAGATCTCCATTTCTTTAGAGTCAGTTACTGGAAAAGTATTATATTCCTCTGATAGTATCGTGTTTACTTGGTTTTTCTTGTTCCTTAAAGACACCGGAAAAAGTAATCACCTCCTCAAATCTGTACTGACTAGCTTCAGAAGAGAAATACCATCACCAGCCAGCCTGACTAGGGATTTCTGAGGCTCTCTCAGAACTTATCTATGGATTTGCCTACTCCACATCTCTTGTTCCCTCTTGAGGAGGAATACTTAAGATTGTATGTCTTCTCTCAATCACACAAGCCATGGTAGATTAAAAAAGGCTACCATTTCTTGTTCCTAGGTCCGTGCCCTGAAATGCTCAAGTTTGTATAGCTTCTTCCTATTTTTCAGAATCAGGCTGGTTGTCTGTGCAAGCTCATAAGCCATCTGCAGAGGCCTGTACTTTGTGTTCACAGGCACATGCACAGAGCCAGCCACAGTCAGGGGCAGGAGTGAGGTACACAGTGTTGGGGGTGCCCATGAGCCAGCTGAAGGGGTCTGCAGGCAAGGTCTCCCAAGCAGCTCATGGGCAGGTTTTCTGATCAAGTCTCCAAAGCAGTTAGTAGCATCCAAGGCCTTTGGTTGAATTCCATGCCCTGGTTGCTGTAAATCCCCATCTCTCTTCTCTGCTTCCAGCCTCTCCCAGCCACTCAGCTGTGCTGGGTGGGGCTAAAAACAAGTGGGCCTCTTTGGCAGCACCCCATGGCTGGCTGCTCACTGACTATACTCTCACTTTTTCCTACAGGATAAATCATGGACTAAAGGGGTCTCTCTTGGTATTGAGCTATGTCACCTTAGAGGAGTGACATAGGTAAATGAAACTGTTTTTCTTACCCTCTTCAATGCATCTATTCTCAAATTTTCTTCTTCAATGGTAAGCTGGAACTTGTCCACTGGATTCCCAGACTCTCTCAAAGGTACTCTCATCCATGTGTGGCCATTAAAATTGATGCTTCCGTGGGGTGATGATGATCAAATAGTGATTCTTGCTGATATCACTCTCAATAATTTTTTAGGTGGGAAATAAAAGTCATTTAGAATCAGACTCTGCAGAAACTCCGGAGAGATACAGAAAATAAGAAGGTACAGCCAGGCGCAGTGGCTCACGCCTGTAATCCCAGCACTTTGTGAGGCTGAGGCGGGCGGATCACGAGGCCAGGAGATCCAGACCATCTTGGCTAACACAGCAAAACCCCGTCTCTACTAAAAATACAAAAAATTAGCCGGGCGCGGTAGCGGATGCCTGTACTCCAGCTACGCGGGAGGCTGAGGCAGGAGAATGGCGTGAACCCGGGAGGTGGAGCTTGAAGTGAGCCGAGATCGCGCCACTGCACTCCAGCCTGGGTGACAGAGCGAGACTTCATCCAAAAAACAATAAATAAATAAATAAATAAATAAATAAGAAAGGACATTACGAACATCTCTCACAGATTCACAGAACACAGTAATTAAGGTCTGAAAGGCTTCCCAATCAAAGAACAGGAGGAGTTCACTCTGGGTTAACTGTTTAACCAGCATCCCTTGTGAAATAGAACTGCCACTGTATCTTTTTAGATTGAACTGATTTAATTTCCTACTGTTTGCTTCTAAGTAGGAATTAGAGCTTCCATTAGGAATTGCTAATGGTGCCCATTCTGGACTCCCTTAGCCTAGAGTGGAAGATGAGGGAAGGACTAATATAGTGTGCATGTGATTTAAGATGCAGGCAGAGCCTGGTCACAGGGCTAGTTCTGCAGCAGGCAGAAATAACGAAAAATTATTGAACCCACATGGTGTTTATATGTCTAATTTTGATACTAATCATTTATATGCTCTAAGGAAGATGTTATACTTTTATAGAACCATTAAAATGTGCTTTGAACAAAAATATGTATGTAATTCCAAAAGCATGCTTAAATTTCACATCTCATTTCCTAGCAGATATTCAGTCAATACATTCATGCAGTGACACCTGTAACTCACATGTATTAGTTTACTTTAGTAACAGTTTATTTGCCTTTACAATAAAACAATCACTTGAACTCAAAAAAAGGAAAGATATACATTACTAAGGAAAGATGTTAACAGGTTAATAGATGAAAGCATATAAGCTGAGTGGTGAAGAAACAGTAGACAACAGAGGTCTTTTGGAAATCTGTTGGTGACTCCTCAGAGACAGTCTGAACCCTCTTGGGTGATGTAAGTAGGGACAAAAATACTCTTTCCCAAAACGGACAAGGGAAGAAAGAGAACAGCAAAATGTGAGGATTTGTAGAGGACCTGAGGTGAGAAGATAAAGTTTCAGGGAAAGAAGTGAATTGGAAGTGTTATTTTTTCCTGGAGACAGGCAGACCAAAGTCACCTACATGACATAATGTCAGCCTCTGCAGCATCTCTTTGATTTGTTTCTCCCACTCATTTTCTGTAGCCACTGCCACCCTCCAGATCCTCATTTCCTCACACCTGTGTAGCTGCAGTGGCTTAATGGTGTGCTGAACCTGACTGGTAAGGCTGGTATTTTCATCCCCAATTTGTGAATGCAAGAACTAAAGCTCAGAAAGATCCACTAGCTTGCTCAAGATTGCACAATTTTATAATGGTGAAACCAAGACTATAGCCTAGGTATTCTGTTTCAGGATTCGGGGCTCTTTGCACCAAAAAAAAAGATAAACATCTTAAAATCTTTTGTTCTTGGACTCCGAATATTAAAAGGATCCTATTTTTCTCCCAAGACAGTGACAACTCCTCTGTTTGACTTTCAAGGCCTTCCATTAGTTGGCTCTTGTCTCTCTCTCAACCCTATTTCCCACGACATTTTAGCTACACTCCCACCTCTCCCTCTGAAGTCTGTTTGGCTGCTTTGTGAGCTAACCAAGATCATTCCCACTTCTACGGCTTTGTTTATGCCATTACCCTCTTAAAGAGCCTTTCTCCATCATCCCTCTAGACCCTTTTCAAGTCTTATACAATCTATGATGGTGTTTTCAGTGTATACTCTTTGAACTGTCCAAATTGACTGTTTAATCGTGAAATATGACTCTTTAATGTATTATCTTGAATTGTTCTCAAATTGTTACCCTCTGCAACAAAATACAAAGCAAATTGCTACAGGCAGTCGTTTGCTTGTTTGTGTTTTCTTACCAACTGCTTCATTTTATATAGTGATTTTTGAATTATCCTTAGCCTAACATTAAATATATACCAGGACCTCCATAAATACTTGATAGCTAAAGAAATACAGAACAACTCTTAAGATTTTGTCAAGGCTGGCAAGATGGCCAAATAGGAAGAGCTCCAGTCTGCAGCTCCCAGCAAGATCGACGCAGAAGGTGAGTGATTTCTGCATTTCCAACTGAGGTACCCGGTTCGTCTCACTGGGAATGGTTGGACAGTGGGTGCAGCCCACGGAGGGTGAGCTGAAGCAGGGCAGGGTGTCACCTCACCCGGGAAGCGTAAGGTATCAGGGAATTTTCTCCCCTAGCCCAGGGAAGCCTTGAGGGACTGAGTCTGAGGAACTCCAGCACAGATACTGCACTTGTCCCATGGTTTTTGCAACAGGCAAACCAGGAGATTTCCTCCAGTGCCTACCCCACCGGGGCCCTGGCTTTCAAGCATAAAGCTGGGCGGCCATTTGGGCAGACACATAACTAGCTGCAGGAGTTCCTTTTTTCCATACCCCAGTGGCACCTGGAACGCCAGTGAGACATAACAGTTCACTCCCCTGGAAAGGGGTGCTGAAGCCAGGGAACCAAGTGGTCTGGCTCAGCGGGTCCCACCCCTACGGAGCCCAGCAAACTAAGATCCACTGGCTTGAAATTCTCGCTGCCAGCACAGCAACAGTCTGAGATTGACCTGAGACATTTGAGCTTGGTAGGGGGAGGGGCATCTGCCATTGCTGAGGCTTGCGTAGGCGGTTTTCCCCTCACAGTGTAAACAAAGCCCCTGAGAAGTTTGAACTGGGCGGAGCCCACTGCAGCTCAGCAAGGCTGCTGTGGCCAGACTGCCAGATTTCCCTTCTCTGGACAGGGCATCTCTGAAAAAAAGGCAGCAGCCCAAGTCAGGGACTTATAGATAAAACCCCCCATCTCCCTGGCACAGAGCACCTTGGGAAAGGGATGGCTGTGAATGCAGCTTCAGCAGAACTTAAACTTCCCTGCCAGATGGCTCTTAAGAGAGCAGTGGACCTCCCAGCACAGAGTTCAAGCTCTACTAAGGGTCCAGACTGCCTCCTCAAGTGGGTACCTGAACCCCATGTATCCCGACAGGGAGATAACTCTCAGCAGGGGTCGACAGATGCCTCATGCAGGAGAGTTCTGGCTGGCATCTGGCAGGGGCCCCTCTGGGATGAAGCTTACAGAGGAAAGATCAGGCAGCAATCTTTGCTGTTCTGCGGCCTCCACTGGTGATACCCAGGCAAACAGGGTTGGGAGTGGACCTCCAGCAAAGTCCAGCAGACCAGCACCAAAGAAGCCTGACTGTCAGAGGAAAACTAACTAACAGAAAGGAATAGCAGTTCCACTCAAAGACCCCATCCAAAGGTCACCAACATCAAGGACCAAAGTTAGATAAATCCACAAAGATGGGGAGAAACCAGTGCAAAAAGGCTGAAAATTCCAAAAACCAGAACGCCTCTTCTCCTCCAAGGATCAAAACTCCTTGACAGCAAGGGAACAAAACTGGACAGAGAATGCATTTGACGAATTGACAGAAGTAGGCTTTAGAAGGTGGATAATAACAAAACTCCTCCGAGCTAAAGGAGCATGTTCTAACCCAATGCAAGGAAGCTAAGAACCTTGAAAAACGGTTAGACGAATTGCTAACTAGAATAACCAGTTTAGAGAAGAACATAAATGACCTGACGGAGCTGAAAATACACAGCACGAGAACTTCGTGACGCATACACAAGTTTCAATAGCCAAATCAAGCGGAAGAAAGGAAATCAGTGATTGAAAATCAACTTAATGAAATAAAGAGAAAAAACAAAATTAGAGAAAGAAGAATAAAAAGGAACGAACAAAGCCTCTAGGAAATATGGGACTATGGGGAGTTCCAAGATGGCCAAATAAGAACAGCTCCAGTCTACAGCTCCTAGCATGAGGGACGCAGAAGACAGGTGATTTCTGCATTTCCAACTGAGGTACAGGGTTAATCTCATTGGGACTGGTTGGACAGTGGGTGCAGCCCACGGAGTGTGAGCTGAAGCAGGGCGGGGCATTGCCTCACCTGGGAAGAGAAAGGGGTCGGGGAATTCCCTTTCCTAGCCAAGGGAAGCCGTGACAGACGGTACCAGGAAAATTGGGACACTCCTGCCCTAATACTGCGCTTTTCCAACAGTCTTAGCAAACGGCACACCAGAGATTATATCTTCTGCCTGGCTGGGCGGGTCCCACACCCACGGAGCCTTGCTCACTGCTAGCACAGCAATCCGAGATCGAACTGCGAGGCAGCAACGAGGTTGGGGGAGGGGCATCTGCCTCGTTGAGGCTTGACTAGGTAAACAAAGCAGCTGGGAAGCTCGAACTCGGTGGAGCCCACAGCAGCTCAAGGAGGCTCCCTGTCTCTATAGATGCCACCTCTGAGGGCAGGGCATAGCTCAACAAAAGGCAGCAGAAACTTCTGCAGACTTAAACATCCTTGTCTGACAGCTTTGAAGAGAGTAGTGGTTCTCCCAGCATGGAGTTTGATATCTGAGAACAGACAGACTGCTTCCTCAAGTGGGTCCCTGACCCTCGAGTAGCCTAACTGGGAGACACTTCCTGGTAGGGGCCGACTGACACCTCATATGGCCAGGTACCCCTCTGAGATGAAGTTTCCAGGGGAAGGATCAGGCAGCAACATTTGCTGTTCTGCAGCCTCTGCTTGTGATACCCAGGCAAACAGGGTCTGGAGTGGACCTCCAGCAAACTCCAACAGACCTGCAGCTGAGGGTCCTGACTGTTAGAAGGAAAACTAACAAACAGAAAGGAATAGTATCAACATCAACAAAAAGGACACCCACGCCAAAACCCCATCTGTAGGTCACCATCATCAAAGACCAAAGGTAGATAAAACCACAAAGATGGGGAGAAACCAGAGCAGAAAAGTTGAAAATTCTAAAAACCAGAGCACCTCTTCTCCTCCAAAGGATTGCAGCTCCTCACCAGTGATGGAACAAAGTTGGACAGAGAATGACTTTGATGAGTTGACAGAAGTAGGCTTCAGAAGGTTGGTAATAACAAACTTCTCCAAGCTAAAGGAGAATGTTCGAACCCATCGCAAAGAAGCTAAAAACCTTGAAAAAAAGATTAGAAGAATGGCTAACTAGAATAAACAACGTAGAGAAGACCTCAAATGACCTGATGGAGCTGAAAACCATGGCACGAGAACTATGTAACACATGCACAAGCTTCAGTAGCAGATTCGGTCAAGTAGAAGAAAGGGTATCAGTGATGGAAGATCAAATGAATGAAATGAAGAGAGAAGAGAACTTTAGAGAAAAAAAAGAGTAAAAAGAAATGAACAAAGCCTCCAAGAAACAAGGGACTATGTGAAAAGTTCAAATCTACATTTGATTGGTGTACCTGAAAGTGACGGGGAGAATGGAACCAAGTTGGAAAACACTCTTCAAGATATTATCCAGGAGAACTTCCCCAACATAGCAAGGCAGGCCAACATTCAAATTCAGGAAATACAGAGAACGCCACAAAGATACTCCTTGAGAAGAGCAACACCAAGACTCATAATTGTCAGATTCACCAAGGTTGAAATGAAGGAAAAAATATTAAGGACAGCCAGAGAGAAAGGTCGGGTTACCCGTAAAGGGAAGCCCATCAGACTAACAGTGGATCTCTCAGCAGAAACTCTACAAGCCAGAAGAGAGTGGGGGCCAATATTCAACATTCTTAAAGAAAAGAATCTTCAACCCAGAATTTCATATCCAGCCAAATTAAGCTTCATAAGTGAAGGAGAAATAAAATCCTTTACAGACAAGCAAATGCTGAGAAATTTTGTCACCACCAGGCCTGCCTTACAAGAGCTCCTAAAGGAAGCACTAAACATGGAAAGGAACAACTGGTACCAGCCACTGCAAAAACATGCCAAATTGTAAAGACCATCGATGCTAGGAAGAAACCACATCAACCAACGAGCAAA
Source organism: Homo sapiens (assembly GCF_000001405.40). Taxonomy (NCBI): domain Eukaryota; kingdom Metazoa; phylum Chordata; class Mammalia; order Primates; family Hominidae; genus Homo; species Homo sapiens. Next base: position 92,923,275 of record NC_000007.14, on the reverse strand, counting down.
ATAACCTGCTAACATCATAATGACAGGATCAAATTCACACATAACAATATTAACCTTAAATGTAAATGGGCTAAATGCCCCAATTAAAGGACACAGACTGGCAAATTGGATAAAGAGTCAACACCCATCGGTGTGCTGTATTCAGGAGACCCATCTCATGTGCAGAGACACACATAGGCTCAAAATAAAGGGATGGAGGAAGATCTACCAAGTAAATGGCAAACAAAAAACAGCAGGGGTTGCAATCCAATCTCTGATAAAACAGACTTTAAGCCAACAAACATGAAAAGAGACAAAGAAGGCCATTACATAATGGTAAAGGGATCAATTCAACAAGAAGAGCTAACTCTCCTAAATATATATGCACCCAATACAGGAACAACCAGATTCATAAAGCAAGTCCTTAGAGATCTACAAAGAGATTTAGACTCCCACACAATAATAATGGGAGACTTTAATACCCCACTGTCAACATTAGAAAGATCAATGAGACAGAAAGTTAACAAGGATATCAAGGACTTGAACTCAGCTCTGCACCAGGCAGACCTAATAGACATCTACAGAACTCTCCATCCCAAATCAACAGAATATACATTTTTCTCAGCACCTCATCAAACTTATTCCAAAATTGACCACATAGTTGGAAGTAAAGCACTCCTCAGCAAATGTAAAAGAAAAGAAATTATAATAAACTGTCTCTCAGACCACAGTGCAGTCAAACTAGAAATCAGGATTAAGAAACTCACTCAAAACCGCTCAACTACATGGAAACTGAACAACCTGCTCCTGAATGACTACTGGGTAGACAATGAAATGAAGGCAGAAATAAATATGTTCTTTGAAACCAATGAGAACAAAGACACAACATACCAGAATCTCTGGGCCACATTTAAAGCAGTGTGTAGAGGGAAATTTATAGCACTAAATGCCCACAAGAGAGAGCAGGAAAGATCTACAATCAACACCCTAACATCACAATTAAAAGAACTAGAGAAGCAAGAGCAAACATTCAAAAGCTAGCAGAAGGCAAGAAATAACTAAGATCAGAGCAGAACTGAAGGAGACAGGGACATAAAACCCCTTCAAAAAATCAATGAATCCAGGAGCTGGTTTTTTGAAAAGATCAACAAAATTGATAGACTGCTAGCAAGACTAATAAAGAAGAAAAGAGAGAAGAATCAAACAGACGCAATAAAAAATGACAAAGGGGATATCACCACCAATTGCACAGAAATACAAACTACCATCAGAGAATACTATAAACACCTCTATGCAAATAAACTAGAAAATCTAGAAGAAATGGATAAATTCCTCGACACATACACTCTCCCAAGACTAAACCAGGAAGAAGTTGAATCCCTGAATGGACCAATAACAGGCTCTGAAATTGAGACAATAATTAATAGCTTACCAACCAAAAAAAGTCCAGGACCAGATAGATTCACAGCCGAATTCTACCAGAGGTACAAAGAGGAGCTGGTACCATTCCTTCTGAAACTATTCCAATCAATAGAAAAAGAGGGAATCCTCCCTAACTCATTTTATGAGGCCAGCATCATCCTCATACCAAAGCCTGGCAGAGACATAACAAAAAAAGAGAATTTTAGACCAATATCCCTGATGAACATCGATGCAGAAATCCTCAATAAAATACTGGCAAGCCAAATGCAGCAGCACATCAAAAAGCTTATCTACCACAATCAAGTTGGCTTCATCCATGGGATGCAAGGCTGGTTCAACATATGCAAATCAATAAACATAATCCATCATATAAACAGAACCAAAGACAAAAACCACACAATTCCCTCAATAGATGCAGAAAAGGCCTTCAAGAAAATTCAACAGCCCTTCATGCTAAAGCTAAAAACTCTCAATAAACTAGGTATTGATGGGATGTATCTCAAAATAATAAGAGCTATCTATGACAAACCCACAGCCAATATCATACTGCATTGGCAAAAGCTGGAAGCATTCCCTTTGAAAACTGGCACAAGACAGGGATGCCCTCTCTCACCACTCCTGTTCAACATAGTATTGGAAGTTCTAGCCAGGGCAGTCAGGAAAGAGAAAGAAATAAAGCGTACTCAAATAGGAAGAGAGGAAATCAAATTATCTCTCTTTGCAGATGACATGATTGTATATTTAGAAAACCCCATTGTCTCAGCCCAAAATCTCCTTAAGCTGATAAGCAACTTCACCAAAGTCTCAGGATACAAAATCAATGTGAAAAAATCACAAGCATTCCTATACAACAATAGCAGACAAACAGACAGCTAAATTATCAGTGAACTCCCATTCACAATTGCTAGTAAGAGAATAAAATACCTAGGAATACAATTTACAAGGGATGTGAAAGAACTCTTCAAGGAGAACTACAAACCACTGCTCAAGGAAATAAGAGAGGACACAAACAAATGGAAAACCATTCCATGCTCATGGATAGGAAGAATCAATATCATAAAAATGGCCATACTGCCCAAAGTAATTTATAGATTCAATGCTATCCCCAACAAGCTACGACCGACTTTCTTCACAGAATTGGAAAAAACTACTTTAAACTTCATAAGGAACCAAAAAAGAGCCTGCATAACAAAGAAAATCCTGGGCAGGAAGAACAATGCTGGAGGCATCAGGCTACCTGACTTCAAACTATACTATAATGCTACAGTAACCAAAACAGCATGGTACTGGTACCAAAACAGATATATAGACCCATGGAACAGAACAAAGGCCTCAGAAATAACAACACATATCTACAACCATCTGATCTTTGACAAACCTGACACAAACAAGCAATGGGGAAAAGATTCCCTATTTAATAAATATTGTTGGGAAAATTGGCTAGCCATATGCAGAAAACTGAAACTGGACTCCTTCCTTATACCTTATACAAAAATCAACTCAAAATGGATCAAAGAGTCCCTCCTAGGACCATAAAAATCCTAGAAGAAATCCTGAGCAATACCATTCAGGACGTAGGCATGGGCAAAGACTTCATGACACCAAAAGCAATGGCAACAAAAGCCAAAACTGATAAATGGGATCTAATTAAACTAAAGAGCTTCTGCACAGCAAAAGAAACTATCATCAGAGTGAACAGGCAACCTACAGAATGGGAGAAAATTTTTGCAATCTATCCATCTGACAAAGGGCTAATATCCATAATCTACAAAGAACTTAAACAAATTTACAAGAAAAAAACAACCCCATCAAAAAGTGGGCAAAGGATATGAACAGACCCTTCTCAAAAGAAGACATTTATGCAGCCAACAGACATATGAAAAAAAGTTCATCATCGCTGGTCAGTAGGGAAATGCAAATCAAAACCACAAGATACCATCTCACACCTGTTAGAATGGCAATCATTAAAAAGTCAGGAAACAACAGATGATGGAGAGGATGTGGAGAAATAGGAATGCTTTTACACTGTTGCTGTGAGTGCAAATTAGTTCAACCATTGTGGAAGACAGTGTGGCGATTCCTCAAGGATCTAGAACTAGAAATACCATTTGACCCAGCAATCCCATTACTGGGTATATACCCAAAGGATTATAAATCATTCTACTATAAAGACACATGCACATATATGTTTATTATGGCACCATTCACAATAGCAAAGACTTGGAACCAACCCAAATGCCCATCAATGATAGACTGGATAAAGAAAATGTGGCACATATACACCATGGAATACTATGCAGCCATAAAAAAGGATGAGTTCATGTCCTTTGTAGGGACATGGATGAAGCTGGAAACCATCATTCTTAGCAAACTATCACAAGAACAGAAAACCAAACACCACATGTTCTCACTCATAAGTGGGAGTTGAACAATGAGAATACATAGACATAGGGAGGGGAACATCACATACCAGGGCCTGTCGGGGTGGGGGGCTAGGAGAGGGATAGCATTAGGAGAAATACCTCAAGTAGTGGATGGATTCGCGGGTGCAGCAAACCACCATGGCACATGCATACCTATGTAACAAAACTGCAGGTTCTGCACATGCACCCCAGAACTTAAAGATAATTTTTAAAAAAATAGAAAAAAAAGAAACACAGAACAATCACAATTAATAGGAAATATGAAGTATGAAGACTTGGAAGTTATAAAATTGATGATCAAGATAAAAGTCTATTAGGTGTGATGGAAAATTTTAACGACAAACTTATAAGACAAACTGGTTAAAAAGGGGCAGAAACAGAGTTGACCAACACACTGAGCCATAGCTTTTTCTGTGTTTCCTTTTATCATGGCTGTGGCTTTCTGACACTCTGCAAAACAAGGCAAATGTCTTATTATGATTGCTAAACAGACTAACCCAGGCTCAGAAATAATCAGTATTATTTGCAAGTGATGGTCACATGTGTGCTCATGCATCCAGAGTTGTAGCTGGCATTTTATGAAATGACACAAAAGATTCTGTGCATCTTCAATTTTCCAGATTTAATGAGTGTCTTTTCAGAACAGAGGACTGTTACAAGAATGGTGGAGAGATATCAGGAAGGTCATTCCCCTTTCCCCTGGGGAGCTTTAAGCATGTATAGTTAGGATGAATCACTTATATCCATGCACAATTAAATAGGTCTGCTGCAGAGCAACCTGTGAACAAATGCGGGTCAAAATATCAGTATGTGTATCCATGTTGAAGTGATGCTGATAAACAGGAATAAAAAGAATCAGGTGGAAGGTTTTCAAAACAGTATCAGTAAAACTGATGAACTTAATTTCATGGGGAGGAAAGGGTAAAATATTCTAGCATATGCAAAGTTATGGAAGTAGAAGCAAATACTTCATCACAGTCTACCTCATCACAGTGGAATAGTATGTTTTATTATTATAATCGTTATTAGTATTCCTATTTGAGAATGGGAGATGGCTGAACATGTAAATTAACCTGCCCCAAGTCACATAGTGAGTTACCAGTGCAGCTAAAATAAGTGATATTTTAGGAACAGTTTACATCATGAAACACTGAAGCTGTATATTTTTTCAATAAATGATAGTACTCTAGGTAGTTCTTAGACAACAATGAGTAGAAACTAAACTATATTTTTAAAGGGCTTACTTAATAAATATTGCAAAAGATAGGGCAAAGAGCTTTCTTATTCCCCTAGTGAAGAAAGCCAGGGTATTTTTTTAAAGGAAGAAGAATCATTAACAGTATTTCCTGAAGGAGAATAAAGCCTTCCAGCCTGCATCAGAATTCCACATTACTACCCGAATTCTAAGATTAAGGGTGTGTTTTACCCACACCCTAGATTTTTGGGAACACAGGCTCAGCATTATGTAAGGTCCACTAAGGAGGATAATGTGACTCTTCTCTTTACGGGAAAGCCCTTATCCTGATCTTATATATATATATATCATATATATATATATATATATATATATATCATATATATATATATATATATATATCTCATATATATATATATATCATATATATATATCATATATATATATCATATATATATCATATATAAAAATCATATATGAGTCATATATATCATATATATGATTCTATCTATATAGCAATATATAGATATATATTTCTATATATAAATATAGAAATTATATATATATATATATTTCTTTTTTAAATGCACTTTATCCTTTAGCCAAACTGCCAGATCACTCAGATTGGCACACATCTATTTATCTCTACTGTCAGCTCCTGTAAATGGTAGCATTTACCCAAGACAGAAAAATCTCCTGGAATAACCAGTATACTTGTTTCAATAATCTGCAGAGCCATAAATGAGAATGATTCAGAATAGAAGAGTAGCTGGTTTCAAATACTATTTCATTTTCCTCCCAGCCCACTACTAGAGTCTAGTACACTACTGTATAGTGTGGGCCTTTGTGGAGGCTTCTATTTCCCACCTGTATTTCTTTTTCTTTTTCCAGCAACAGTCTGCCTTTGTGCCAACTCCTAAATAACCATAAATTTTGTTCTTATAAACCTTAATGAATGCTTGGCCAAGATGCTGTAACTATTGGCTTCTATATTGGAGCATAAATGGAAAGGGGGAAAAAAGTGCACTGTGAAAAACTGGATAAAATGGAAAAAAGATCACAGCAAACCCAAAGTCGCAATTTGCCTTTAATGTGAAGGAGGCCTTGTTTTCACGGTGTGGCAGCTTTCAGGGGTTTTAATCTCAAAGTGGCTGATCAATTTAAGGTAAGTGGCAGGCATTTGGCCTGGTTCCCAGGCTTTGCTTTGCTGCTCTGAGAAAAGAAAGGATTCAGTCAGACACACAGACAAGAGGCATCATCAGCGGCTCCCACATTCCAAGCATTTTAACACAGATTAGGTTGGCATGATTCTACTGTTTACTGAAATCTCCTAGGTGTTGCATTTTTCCTTTTCCTTGCTGCAGTTATCCAAGATGGTTTTCTCAGGTCAAGACCTTCATATGCCAAATAGCTTGCAGTGCTGTGAAGGGAAAAGAAGAGCAGAGGTCAAGACTTCTGATTAAAATGCTATTTCACTTGCTTGCTGCAAAATATGAGACTTCAGACAGCAGGTAATTGAGCACTGAACTTTTTGCCTAAGGCATACATTGAGACAGGAACTGTTTTACATGCATGCCTGAGGGGGAAAAAAAACAAAGATAATTTCTTTAACAAGGACAAACTTAATTCAACTAGGAATGCCCAAAGGATTAACAGGGTGATCTGTAGTTATTCTTGCTTCAGATTTTATAAGCATGAGGCTTACAGATAATGTTGAACAAGATTACAACCAATATAGTCCATTTTTAAATTAATATTTTTACACCATATACTCTTTATTTTTTCAAACAGCAATATTAAATGAGTTCAACAGACCCCTTACCACTGTCTCATCTTCTTAGCAAAAGTTAATTTTTTAATCCATTTGACCTATAACATAGGTTAAATAAAATATGCATTCCATCGATTAAGCCAAAAAACAAATAAATTGTCTCTCATATATTTTGGCTATATTATACCATATAGAAAATTTGTATTTTAAAATACATTTTCACAGTTTTTAAAGATACTTTGCCTTACTTTAATATAATCAAGAACACCTTCCCATTAGTCATCTTCATGGCAGATCTCCTCATGTTTTATTTCTAAGAATTTTATCAAAATAAGAAACTACTATAGATTTTTAAAAGTAATTTTTCTAGCTATTATACTTTTCAAAAGCAATGTTGAATTATTACACTTACTATACCTAGAAATGCCTTCCTAACATTTCATACATTTACATTGACTTATTTCTTCCAAAACTAACACATGGTTGCACTTGAGTAACTTATATTAAGAATAAGTGTTCTTCAAAAAAATTAGCCAGGCATGGTGGCAGGCGCCTGTAGTCCCAGCTACTCAGGAGGCTGAGGCGGGAGAATGGCGTGAACCCAGGAGGCAGAGGTTGCAGTGAGCCGAGATCACGCCACTGCACTCCAGCCTGGGTGACAGAGCGAGACTCCATCTCAAAAAAAAAAAAAGAATAAGTATTCTTGTTTGTAAGGGTTAGCTTAGAAACTAATGCAACTATAACCAGTTATCTTAACTTCAGTTGTTATATATGCAAGTGTGGCTTTTAAAAAATAATATATGACTTTTCACTGATTAAAGAAAAAAAATAGAGTCAGAAAAGAAGCAGCTAGCAACCGTCCTTCTGCTGTTGCCGCATATGTCTTATCAACCTGTGATACTTGTCAACATGTGATACTTGGAACTGCAGCAGCCATCTTGCGAACATGAAAAGAGCCAGCCTAAGAGGCCTAGCTGAAGTGCTGAGGATGGCAGACAGGAAAGATGGAAAAAGTATGGTTTTAAATTATGTCATTGAGCCATTGAACCAACAATCCTGGGTCCACTCAACTTGAGATTTCTTCTTATGTAAGATAATAGATTCCCTTTCATTCATGCAATCATATTTGTTGAGCATCTACCATGTCCCAGACCCTATTCTAGGTGTCTGAAGTAGCTCAGTGAACAAAACACAAGATCCCTACCCTTGTGGAACTCACATTCTAGCCAAGAGAGATTATAATAAACTAAAAACGTTAAGTAAGAAAATTCTATAGTATGTTAGGAAATAGTAAGCAGAAAAAAATTGATAAGAGGAGCATGGCAAAAAGAATCAAGAATGCTAGGATCAAAGGGACAGGTTTTGATGTTGAATAAAGTGAGAATTTGGCTTCACTGAAGAAGTGAGATTTGAACAAACACTTGAAGGAAATGAAGGACTTATTTCTTAAGCCAGTGGAAGATAGGTTGTATTTTTCTTATTGTTGACAATCCTCTAAGTGAGAGAGAGATATGGGAAGAGAGAGAAAGACAGAGAGAGATTTGGGATAGTGTCTGATTCCAGCTCCTCTTTGATTCTTCTTAGTTCCAGTCAACCAAATGACTTTTTCCTTTGCTTAAGTTTCGGCTGGGTTTCTGTCACTTGTCACTTGAAGACAGATTAGTAAGTTTTCGTTAGTCATAAATAAACTATCTCTGGTTCCAGGAACAGCCAGCCCAAATAGATATTGAGCCATAATTCCATCCTCTGTATAAAGAGCTTTATTGCCCACACTGGGGGTGTCCAGGCATCCATAAAACATGGCCTGTGAGGTTTTCAGCTTCCCAAGTGGAGTGAGAAGATGCTCAGGACTGGGGGGGGAGCTAAAAAGAGAAGCTCTATTTTGGGACTGGTAGTAAAAATTGATGGGCATATTCTAAAAGGGTAAATCTGCAGGAAGAAAGGTAAAATAAATAACAGAGAAAAAGAGGTGAACAACTAAAAAATGTATACTGTACCTAGGAGATAGGAACAGAGAACACTAGCTAGAAGCAACATCTCCCATTTTTTTGTAAAATGGGTTCAATGAGAATACCTACCTCATAAGACCCTCACAGGGTTATTGTGATTAAATGACATAATGCATGTAACCACAGGGCTATGATTTGGTAACTGTTCCATAAAAATTGGCCATATACCTTTACTATATCTATTTGTATTTGGTTCTTTTTGGGAGGCATACTACACAAGTTTATTTCAAAACATTGCTGTCGGATAAGAGATTTATGGATTCTGTGTGATTACGGATATTAACTAGAGAATCTCTGTATGTTGTTATATATTTGGGAGTGTCTTAGTCCATTCAGACTGCTATAACAAAATACCTTACACTGGGTGCTCAAAAATACCAGTAAATAAATTGCAATGCAGTGAGAGATTGTTTTTTAATGTGATGACAGTGCATAATTTCAATAGGGTCAGAGAAAACTGGATGCTCATATTGAAGGCTGACTTACAGACTTACAAAAATACACATTTATTTCTCACAGTCCCAGAGGTTGGGAAGTCCAAGATCAAGGCACCAGCAGATTCAGTGTCTGGTGAGGAATCTCTGCTTTACAGATGACACCTTGTTGCTTCGTCTTCACATGGCAGTATGGGCAAGGCGGCTCCCTTCAACCTCCTTTATAAGAAGCACTAATCCCATTCATGAAGACAGAGCCCTCGTAACTTTATTCCCAAAAGACTCTCACTTCTTAATACTATCATACTGGGTGCTAGGTTCCAACGTATGAATTTGAGGGAGATGCCAACATTCAGACCATAATAGGGAGGATGGGACAGTGTATGTGTGTGTATGTGTGTGTGTGTGCATGTATATATATGCATGCTAGTGCATGTTCACTTCTTGACTTCTCATGGTATTATTATGCTCTCAATTATCTTGCTTCCCCCCTCATCTTTCTTCCACGTCCAATTTGTCATTGACTCCAAGAGAGGTAGTTGAGGTATATTTAAAAATCAAAGCTGGCCTTGGAATTAGAACCCCACGTTAAATCTGTTATTAGTTCTGTGACGCTAAGAAAATCACTTAGTCTCTCAGAGCCTCAGTTTGTCACCTTCAAATCAATGAGAAAACCACACAGGCTCCTAGCATGACACCTATCCCATGGTAGATACTCAGGATACTTTGTTGAGCCTGCATCTTCTTTCATGATGTCTCTGAAATCTATGCCTTTCTTTTGTTACCTTTGCCACCCTGGAGCAGGACTTTATCCCCTCTCATCCAAGCCTCAGCCTCCAATCTGAACATCTAGTTTTCTCTGACCCAATTGAAGTCATGCACTGTCATCAGATTAAAAAATAATCTCTCACTGCATTGCAATTTATTTATTGGTATTTTTGAAGCAAACCACCAAAAATATCAAACTCTGATATTTTCCTTTCATACTTTTAGGTACATATGTTGTCAATATTGCCATTCTCTAGGCCTAAGAAGACCCTTTACTTGCTTAACTATTCCTAAATATTCTTTGTTAACACTTTCTCTGTGCTGTGTGACAACTCTCTCTTCTGAAGACTATATACTACTCTAAGCCCTGTAAGATACTAAGACAAATGAGTCCAAAAAATCTTGGCTCTACCACTCACCTGCAATAATATTAATAAAAACCACTATGTATTGTGCCCTTACATGGAAATATGCTATGATTTTATATGTGTTATCTCATATAATCCTCACAACAACCCTATAAGGTATTCTTATTATTATTTTATGAGAAAACTGTAGCTTGGGAATATTAAATCCATTTCCCATTATATAGATAGAAAGTGGTAGGGCACAGATTTGAACCCAGATCAAAGCCTAAACTCTTAAGCTCTCAGCTACTCTGCCTGTGTTATATTCTTGGAGAAATAATAGAAATGGCTGTACCATCAGACTGATTACAAAAGAGTTAACTACAACTTGCAAGTGGCATTAACTACTTACAACTACTTACAAATTACCTACTTATACATTCCTCAGAAATTTTTGCAACTCATTGTAGATATCTTAGTTAACGTCTCCTAGCTTCAACTATAAAATATCAGTGATATCACCTAGTTTATAGAGTTGATAGCAGTATTATTTGAATTACTGCCTTAATGTGGTTAAAGGGCTAGTATAGCTTCTGATATAGACACCCAATATATATTAGTTCCCTTCATGTCCTATGCTCCTTCTAATCAATTTAAATATTTGCTGCAACAGTTGGATTTTCATTTAATGCTCTCCATGGATTACCTCCTCACTGTCATTGATTAAAAAGCTAAAAGAACAGAGCAGGTCTTGTGAAGAAAGGAGTGCTCATTCTACAGCTGACTCAAGTGAGGCTTGATGATTTTCATGAAGTAACTGAAGGATTTTAGAGTCACTGATCATTTGTTCTCCATGTACTCAAAAGAGTGAAAAAGAAGAACAAAATAAGATAAATGCAATTCTAGAGATATTTTGATGAGACACTAGGAAGAATTTAATGATGTCAAAAAAGGAAAAAAATGTTGGAATAAGACCGAAAAAAAAGTCTCAGAAGATCTTTGAAAGTTAAGCTATGGCCTAGGTAATTTATAAACACACCCTCATCTAAAGCAACAGACTGAGCCAAGTAATTGATCAACATTTCCTCTAATTCTGTTGGTCTAGAGATTTCTTTTTTCTTGATCAAAGCTAAGGAAAACTATCTTTCTGTGTATTGTGGTATGTTTCTACTGTCAAAGGAGCCCAGTTGTGGTCCTTGTGTTTATGAGATTATTAGGTTACTTTCTAATTTCTCCTAACTATAATCATACCTTTCATCAACCCAGCCTACCTGTAAAACTTTTGAATAGAACAGAATGAAATGTAAGAACCATCACTTGTCCCCTCTTTTTGACTCTCTCAATGTTAATATTAAGAGTAAAAATATTACGTGTATGTATACACACACATAGAGATATATAGATATACAGTTGTATACACACCCATCTAGATATACAGTTGACCCTTGAACAATGCAGAGGTCGGGGTGCCAACCCCTCACACATATATGTTTTGATTCTCCAAAAACTTAACTATTAATAGCCTACCGTAGCAGGCTAACAGTAAATTAACACATATTTTGTATGTTATGTATATTATATATTGTATTCTTACAATAAAATAAGCTAGAAAAAAGGAAAATGTTATTAAGAAAATAATAAGGAAGAGAAAATACATTTACAGTGCTATATTGTATTTATCAATACCATAAATTCACATGGTCTGTTTACAGGATGAATCATCTGTCTGAAAGTCAACTTTTTCTTGTAATATCATGACTATTCTATGCTTCTCGGGAGCACTTCCAGCATCACCAGTGGCACTTTGTATGGGTCCCATAATGTTATTCAAGATTTACAGTATGGCACTAAGCATAATGAAAAATACACAAGAATCACAAGAGACCACTTTTTACTGCTATACGCAATTTACTGGAGAGACAAACTACTCACACGGAGATGATTAGCATCACATAGCATTTTAAGCAGATACAACGCTTGAGCTCACTACAATAGCAACAGGAGGTGGCTATAAACTTATTATGGTACTATAATATGTACTACAATTAGTTTTATGCAATTATTGTTTAAAATTGCATCTTTACATTTGTTTACATTTCTCTCCGCCACAAATGGTGCCATATTTGGTCTATAAGTGTGTATGTAAATTTTGATAATATTTAACTTTTTATGATAGAGTCGTGCATATTTTATGATAGTAAATGGTAAAACAGATTATTGTCTACACATATTATGTGCATTCATAACATATCTAACTTTTTCTTAATTCACACAGTTCATCTGTTTTTTCAAATTGTTGCAAATCTCCAAAGCATTTTCCAAAATATATATGGAGAAAAATCTGCATAGTAAGTGAAACCTGTGCAGTTCAAGCTTGTGTTGCTCAAGGGTCAACTGTATACACAAATATATATAATGATATAAATTTTATTACCCAGTGAAGTAAGGTTATGTTATCCCCAGTTTACAGATGAGGAAACTGCCTAAGATAAGATAGATAAAGGATTGGCAAACATCTGCTTAAAGGGTCAAAGAGTAAATATTTTAGGATTTAGGCCATGACCCAACCTCTGTTACAACTACTCAGCTCTGCCATTGTAGCATAGATGTAGCCACAGATGTCATAAATAAATTGTCATGTCAGTGTTCCAATAAAACTTTATTTACAAAAACATGCGACTTACCCATATGCCATATTTGCCAATCCCTTGGATAGATAACTAGATTTTTTTAAGTCCTGTTGATAAAGCAGTCATCAAGCTATAGTTTACTAAGAAAAACATTTACAATTAAAAAGGATTGTTGATTTTTAAAACATTTTGATGAACCATATTAATACATTTCCTAATATTAAGACATATTTGATTTCTGTAATAAACTTTATTCTTACTTTTAATGTATTTGCTGCACATACAAGAGAAATGAAAGCCCAGACTATAAGGATCCAGATCCAGAAGAAAAGGGAGTTACAGAGAGAAGTAAGCCCAACATTCTGCATGCAAATTTTCCTATGAAGCATTTCCTGATTTCTAAGATGAGCACATATGGGGCAAGATGGCAGCAACTAGACAGAAAGCAGCTGCTAAGAAGCTAAAAAGCTAAGCAGATATTTAGGCAATCTCATGGTACCAAGGAAACAAAAATTGGAATTCAGGAACCACCAAGTAAAAGAGGCACTAGTAAACACTTCAGGCTTTCAATTACGGCCCTGAAAGGGATATACCCTAGGAGTAAGAATAATGCAGAAATAGAAAAGGCTTAACCAGATTAAAGTGTTCTGCATGTACTCTATCTGCCCTCCAGGAGAAAAAAACTAAATCTTTTCTGGAAAAGCTTACATCATTCAGAGACTAATTTTTTCAATAAATTTCTTGTAATCAGTAAAAACTTACTAAGTATACTAGGAAACGGGGCCAAACAAACAAAAATAAAGAGAAAAAATAGACAATGAAAAACAGAACCATAGGTGATACAGACATTGGAGTTATAAGACACTGACTCTAAAATAACTGTAACTGATATTTTGAAAAAACATAAATAAGAAGATTTTAAAAATTCACCAGGGAATTAAAACCCATTTTTAAAGTACCAAACACTACAATTAAAATTTAAGAAACTACCACTTTTTGTGTTTCATTGTAGTATCAAAGAAGAATATTCACCATTTTCTGAAAAAGACTACTAAAACATTTCCCTTTTTAATTACATATACCTGAGCCCAGATTTTCTTTATGTACTGCAATCAAAACAACATATCACAATGGATTAAAGACAGAAGCAATAAGAGAATCCCACTGGTTTCCATTAAACTGGGCATTTTAAAAAAATTGTAAAAACAAGCCAGGCATGGTGGCACATGCCTGTAATCCCAGCTACTTGGGAGGCTGAGTCAGGAGAATTGCTTGAACCTGGGAGGTGGAGGTTGCAGTGAGCCGAGATTGCGCCACTGCACTCCAGCCTGGGCAACAAGAGAAAAACTCCATCCAAAAAAAAAATTGTAAAAACATAAAGCAAGGTTCTTTTTCTCACTTAATATTTTTTGTTTTAGAAAATATAGCTGTTTTCACTTATTTATGTATTTTAACATGTAATGGGTTTATTGTTATTTTTAAATTATTTAGTAAGTATGTTTAAATTTTCTCAGTTTTCCATTTCATTGTGGTAACAATTAATAGATATAACCCACATAAAGAAAAGCTCTTTAGAGTTCTCAATACTTTTTAAGATTGTAAAGGGGTCGCAAGACCAAAAGGTTTGATAACACTGATCTATAGATTCAAAACATTTACAATCAAGTTCTCAGGATGTTTTCTGTGTATCTGTCTGTGTGTGTGGAAATTGGCAAACTGTTTCTAAGCTTTATATGGAAATGCAAAGGATCAAAAATAGCCAAGAGAATTGTGAAGAAGATTAGCTTACAGCTATCAAAGTTTATTTTAAAGCTACAGTAACCAAAAGAGTGATATTGGCACCAGGAAAAATAAACAGACCAAGAGGATAGAATTGAGTCCAGAAATAGTCCTTGTATACAGTTACCTGATTTTCAACAACACTGTTACTATGATGGAGTGGAAAAAGGATGGTCTTTTAAATAAATTATGCTGGATTGATTGTTCCACATTCTCATCAGCATTTGGTATTTCAGTGTTTTGGATTTTAATGATTCTAATAGATGTGTGGTATTATCTTGTTGTAATTTGAAATTCTCTAACGGCATATGATGTTGGACATATGTTGATATGCCATTTGCTGTCTGTATATCTTCTTTGGTGAGGTGTTCGTTCAGGTCTTTTGCCCACTTTATAATTGGGTTGTTTGTTTTCTTACTGTTGAGTTTTAAGATGTCTTTGTATATTTTGGATTCAAGACCTTTATCTGGTACGTGTTTTACAAATATTTCCCCTCAGTCTGTGACTTGTTTTTTTTTACTCTCTTAAGTTAATGCTTTAAAGGAAATTAAAAACAGAATCTTCTCTTATGTTATATTCTAGAACTTGTATTGATTTATCTTTCAATCCTTCTGAAATTGATTTTTATATCTGATGTGAAGTAGGGGTCAAGTTTTACATACACACACGTATATACACACACAGACACACATATACATATATACATATATAGAATACACACACACACACACACACACACACACACACACGCACACACATCCATCCAGAACTCTTATTCGTTGCTGGTAGGATTGTAAAATAGTACAGCCACTTTGGAAGACAAATGGAATTTTATGACAATGCTAAACCTTGTCTCGCCTTATGATCCAGCAATCATACTCCTATGTATTTGCCCAAATGACTTAAAAACTTATGTCCACACAAAAATTTGACATGAATGTTTGCAGGAACTTTATTAATAATTGCCTAAAATTGAATGCAACCAAGATGTCTTTCAATAGATAAATGAAATTAGCAAACTGTGGTACATCCCTACAATGTAATATTAATACTATTAAGCAATAAGAAAAAAATGACCCACAAACAGATATAGAGGAACCTTCAATGCATATTGCCAAGTGAAAGACGCCAGTTTGAAAGGCTACATATGTATATCTCCAACAAATGTCATTTTGGAAAAGACAAAACTATAGAGACAGTAAAAAGATTAGTGGTTGCCAAGGTGTATTAATCAGGGCTTTCCAGACAAACAGAAGCAATAGGATATTTATAAACATATGAGATGGACTTTATGTTAATAACAATGTATCAATATCAGTTCATCAACTGTAACAAATGTATCATATCAATGCAAGACATAAATTAATAGGGAAACTGGAAGAGCAGGGAGTGTATGGGAATCTCTGTTCTTTGGCTCAATTTTTCTGTAAAACTAAAATTGCATTAAAAATAAAGTCTATTAATTAAAATAAAATGCACTAACATAATAAAATTGTTGATCATTTGGACTTATTAAAATTTAAAGCTTCTACTCATCAAAAGACACCATTAAGAGAGTGAAAAGGCAAGATGCAAAGTGGAAGAAGATATCTGACATATTTAAATCACACAAACAATTCATATCTAGACTATGTAAGTATCTCTTATAAATTTATAAAAAACACAGGCTCAATTTTTTTCTAAATGGGAAAAAAACTTGAACAGCTTTTTACAAGAGATATCCAAATGACCGATGAACATGAATAGGTACTCAACATTACTAGTTATCCAGAAAATGCAAATTGAAAACAACATAGGCTATCTCTACACACACCGTAGAATGGCTAAAATTAAAAAGATTGACAATACCAAGTATTGATGAGGATATAGAGCAACAGAAACTCATAGGATGCTTTGAGGGTGTAAATTGGTAAAAACTACTTTGGAAATTTTGTTACCAGTAAAGCTGAGCATATGTGCACCGTATGATTCAGAAATTCAATCTGCAGGTATAAAATTAAATGAAATGCATACATATGTGCACAAAATGATAGTTATGAGAATGAGAATATTCCTAGCACATTATTCTCCATAGCACCAAACTAGAAGCAACCCAAATGCCCATTGTATTAGTCCATTCTCACACTGCTACAAAGACATACCTGGGACTGGGTAATTTATAAAGAAAACAGATTTAATTAGCTTGCAGTTCTGCAGGATGTATAGGCTTCTGCTCCTGGGGAGACCTCAGGAAACTTACAATCATGGTGGAAGACAAAGAGGAAGCAGGCACAGTCTTCACATGGCCAGGAGGAGAGAGAGGGAGTGAAGTGGCAGGTGCTACACACTTTCAAACAACCAGATCTTGTGAGAAATCCATCACAAGAGCAGCAACAGGAAAGTCCGTCCCCGTGATTCAATCACCTTCCACAAGGCCCCTCCTCCAACACTGGGGATACAATTTGACATGAGATTTTGGTAGGGACACAGAGCCAAACTATATTACCCATTAACAATAGAATAGATAAATTGTAGTATATATGTATAATGGAATACAATTTAGCAATGAAGAAAACTATATCTATCTATAAAAACATTAATGAACCTCAAAGGTATAACATTTAGCAACAAAAGAGTATATACTATGTAATCTCATTCAAATAAAATTCAAAAACAGGCAACATTAATTTATAGTAATAGGAATCTGTGCCGTGGTTACCTTTGGAGGAAGTAACAACAGGGACAGGAGCACATAGTAGGCCTCTGTGGTGGTGTTAATGTTCAGTATCTTGCTTTGTGTCAAAATCAAGCTGTAAAATTAAATTTATGCCCTTACAAGTCCATAAATTAAATTTAAATTTAATAAGTGAAACAAAAGCTATATCGTTGCCTAAATCAACCAACCATAAAGTCATGAGTCATAAAAATTCCCAAATTACTTTTAATCCTATCATTCCTAACCCTAAAACAGTGAGGCCCTCCTGATAAAAAGACGCACTCTCATTACAGACAGTCCAATGCTCTTCCTGTGCCCAGCACATTATTAATAATTAATAACTAATATTTTAGTGCCAGACACCACACTGACTAAATAGTTATTGTGGATGAATATAGTTAGGGTGGATAATAGTGTGGACTAAATAGTTAGTGTGGATTAATGCAAATCATGCATTAATATATTGAAATCTCCCAATAACCCTTAGAGATGGCTATTATTAAGCTACTCTATAGATGAGAAAGTAAATTTTCACAAGGTCACTATATCAGTCAATATCTTTCATTACAATTAAAAGAGACCAACTTTCGTTTAAGCAAAAGGGAATGTGCTTAAAAGGGCATTGCAGAACTCCCAGAGTTGCCAGGACTGCCAATGTGAGGACTCTGTAGCCATGAACAATACCCCAGATCAAGTAATGGAGCTGGTCCAATGTGAAAACACTGTCTTATTGCCCAGCACTGGTGAGTGTGGCCCACTCTGCCACACTGCCAGACCTGGAGCCCAGACACGGGCACTGGCAAGTCTGCCACTGCTCTGTGGGAGCTTGCCATAACTTCTGCCACCAGCACGACCAGCAAGAATGACTCTCAGTTCCCACTGCAGCAACCAAGTGCTGAGCACATGTTTCATGCCCTAAGGCAAAAAGGAATATATGCACTTAAAAAATCCCAGGTTTGGAAGGTGGCAAGTGGGAATTTGAACCCAGCTGACTTGGTTCCAAAACCAAAGGCTCAAATTTTTGCGAGGCTGTCTACAAACGGGTGATGTTACTTTACCATTTAAAGGACCAAATGAGGCAAGCAAATCCAACAACAAGCAAACCCAACAACACTTCATGTCACTGTGTCACTATCAGAAAGATTCAAAAATGAATTGCTTGACTAATTTATAGACAGAACAAAACTATTTATATGACAAATAGGGCTGCTGGAAATCACCAAGTGCTTTAATAAAGGCAGACAGGGAGGACCCCATATGACAGCTCATCCGAGAACCAGAACTGCACCATGTGGGGCCATGTGGCTGCATGCTGACTCAGAAGAGGGGTGGGGAAGGAGGGCCGCTTCTGATTCACCAAGACCACATCCTGCCCCTCCTTCATTCTTTCCCCTGGAAGCTGCATATCAATCTTCTTAGTGAAATCTCCCCAAAGCATGGGGCTCAGGTATTTTCAGCAAACGTCTGTGAACCTAAGAGTCCCATTTTCCAGGAACATTTGGCCCTGCTTCTTTTCAATGGCATTTAGGTGTGAAGTTGACTATGACTAAGTGTGAAGCTGATAGTCTGCACATGAATACTCAGGGCTTGATTTGGGTTATTTAGTTTTCCCTGTGTTTTCTTGGGCACAAACCAATATCTAACATCATATATATATATATATATATATATATATATATATATATATATATATATATATATATATATATATATGTCCTTTAAAAAACTGGCTTTAGCTGGTTTAAATCAGAAAGAAAATTCTTAAACACACAATACCAGTTAGGTAACAACTTGGGAGAAATGTGTTCTTTCTGACAATCGTGTAAATACATATTCATTATCATCAAAGACTAAACAAGCATGTCATCCTGCTCTGATTCATCTTAGGAAAACATGTGGTAGGCAATTCAAAATCCTTCAAATAAAGAATAAAAAGAGGCAAGGTCAAGTTTTTTGTTAAAGGAAATTTAGTAAAATTAGTGTATTTGTGGACTTTTTAATTTTGTTTGCAGTTTTGAAGGTTGGGGTTTTTTGGGGTTTTTTACTTTTGTTTTGGGCTATCATTATTATTATTGGTTTCTATGAAGGCAGTAGTGGGAGTTAGGATTAGAAAGGTTGTGGTAGTCAATATATGGAGGACTTTGAAAGGTTAGGGATCTGATCTTTATTCTGTAGGGAGGGAGTAATTCATAAAGGTTTTTTATCTACTTTATTTTTACAATTTTTTAGCCAAATAGAACAAAGAGAAAAGTGTGGAAATTTTAAGTAAATTTAATTTTTTAAATCACACGTTATGCAATCACCATTCATGTCAAGAAATAGCTACCAGCACCTCAGGAAGTTCCCTTGTGGTATTTTTAAATTTAAAAAATTATCAACTATAACCAAATAGAGTGAAAACGTAAAACATGTATGTTCTGTTTAACATGTCATTGCCATCAAGGTCAAGAAGTCTAAGATCGAAAGCACCCCAGAAATCTCCTGAGTTTAACTTTGAAATCTCCTGAGTTTAACTTCGAAATCTCCTGAGTTTAACTTCCAAATCACAACTTTCTCCCTCCGCATCCACCATTCCCAAACCATAAGGTAATTGCTACCCAAATATTTGGAATAACCATTTCTTTGTTTTACTTTGTTTTTACCACCTAGGTATGCATTGCTAAATAAGATAGTTTAGTTTTGCCGTTTTTGAACTTTGTTCAGATACAATCATGCTTGATGTTTTCTTTGTTGTTTTGCTTCTTTACCCAACAGTATTTTTGAGGAGTCATCCATGCTGATTCTTGTAGTTCATAGTCAATTTCTTTATTATAAATAATCTGTTGCATGAATATATCACAAGTTATTTATCCATGCTATAGTTGTTAGACAGTTAGTGGTTTCCAGGCTGAGGCTATTACAAATAATGTTAAGGCATTGTCTGTGTGTATGTAAGGGAAAAAGAGAGAGAGGATTAAGATGTATCTAGTAGTACTATGCAAGCTGAACTCAGATAGGGAGGAAAGAATCACGGAATTTAGTTGGGAGACTCAACCATAACAATCAAACATATGAGCTTAGTGATTAAAAAAGAAAGTAAGAAAGGACAGATTCCTAGCAGGAGTTCCCATTAATCTGCATTTTTGCCTGCTTTTGATGCTATCCATAATTTTAAATGTTTGCTAAAATAATAAGGAAAAATTAGCTATTGCTTTACATTTCAGTTCCCTAATTAGTAGTGAATTTGAGCATTCTCTTGTATTTTTTCATCAGACTATGAAAATTTGTGTGTAAATTGCCTATGCATATCCTTTGCCCATTTTTCTATCAACTAATTCTTGTCTTTCTTGCTGATTTGGGGGAACTCAGTAACTTCTGAATATTAATCCTTTGTCTATTACCTATATTGTATAGATATTTTACTTGCATATTGCTTATCTCTGTTCACAGTGTCTTTTGCTGTATGTAAATTTTTAATTTGTATATATGATGACTTTTTTGAGGTGTTACCTTGGCTAGGCTACAATATCTAATTATTCAATTAAACATCTAGTCTTAGTTTTCTTGTGAAGGTAGTTTGCAGATATAATTAAAGCCCTTACTCAAGTGACCTTAAATAAGGGAGATTATCTTAAATAATCTGAGTAAACCCGATTAAATCAGTTGAAAAGCCTTAAAAGTGGGACCGAGGCTTCTCCCAAAGGAATATGAAGTTTCACACTATGATATTCCCTTTCTAAAGACCTTCTCTACTGATTTCAGACTTTCTTAGTAAGCCCCAACAATCACACAAGCCAATCCATATGTGTGTGTGTGTGTGTGTGTCTATCTGTATGTGTACACACACATCTCTATCTTTCTATACATGTATCTATCTATCTGCATCTATATCTGTCTATATATATGTGTATGTGTGTGTGTGTGTGTGTGTGTATTTAAATTTGAATTTGTATTTATAATTATTCTCCCTGCTGGTTCTGCTTCTCTGGTTGAACCCTGACTGATACAGTATAATATTTTTACATAGTCAATCTATCAATATTCTCATTTATAGCTGCTGGGTTTTGTGTCTTGCTGACTTAGTCTTCATATAAATATGTTTGTAAGTCATGATTATACAGAATTGGTAGTAATGGCTAAAGATTGAAAAGCCCCTTCACTCCTCTCTACTATTTCTTCCCCATCTAGAAGTAACCATTGTTAATAAGTTGGACTATATTTGTCAAGCCTATTTTTTATACAAAAAAATAGCCCGTGTGTGTGTGTGTGTGTGTGTGTGTGTGTGTGTGTAAAAGTCTACAAAGTGAGCTGGAAGAACACATCCCAACTTAATGACAATGATTACATGTAAATGAGAAAAAAGTGGTAGACAGAAGTGAAAAGGGACTTTCAGCATTTTGTACTTTTGATTGTCTAAATCTTAGATAATGAGAATCTATTTGTATTTAAGTGATTTTTATATTAAAAAAACTTCATAAAAATTATTAATAATGATTCCATGATTCCAATATTTCAAATTTGGGTAAGCCAAGAGATAATGGTTCCATTGAGATAAATAAAAATGCCAAAAACCAGATGTTTACTTCAAGAATTACAAACTCCAAAGCCATGCTTAAATGCATAATAAAAGACAATAGGAAGATTGAATGTGGTGTCTAGCTAGGAGCACATGCTTGACCTAACTTTCAAAAGTCTACGGACAAATAAAACATATCTACAGGCCAAATTTGGCTTTTGGGCCATAGCTGTGTAACCCTTCCAACGATATAGGAAAAGAAGAGGTTGATTTCAAATCAAGAACGATAGAATTTGAGCCTTAGAGATGTTTTTAAAATCATAAAAGCTAAGACTCCAGTAAAAACAACAGCATAATTTGGTAAGAACTTGTTCCTTTTGAAAGGTGTATTATAGATACACACTCATGTTGTTTAAGAATTTCATCCTATTCTGATTTAATTTTGGCTGAAGGGCTGGAGCAATACAAAATTCTCTTCATCTACTTTCAGATAAATAGGAAGAGACACATTTCTCATAAAGACAATTTAGTAAGAGCTCTATTAAGTTTAGGAAACTGAGAAATGGCAAATTTTGAATTTTACAGTGTGACATTTAATAGAAGCTTCCATTAGAAATACCATACTTAATATCAAATGTTTTTTTTTAAAAATGAGGGACAGCAACATGGCCAGGACTCAGCATTTATCTCACACTTGTCAAGGTATAACTGTTGAGCAGACACTGTAATGGATAACAGCCCACAAATGTTTACAGACCAAAAATTAATCAATGTAATACATCATATCAATACAATAAAGAACAAAACATGATCATCTCACATGATCATCTCAATAGAAAAGGGAAACATTTCACACAATGCAAGACTAAAATATTGTTTATAAAAAACTAGGAATGGAAGGGAACTTTCTCAGCTTGATAAAGTGCATATATGAAAAACCCACAGTTAATACATGTTGAGCATCCCAAATCTGAAAGTCCAAAATCCAAAATGCCCTAAAATCCAAAGCTTTTTGAGTGCTGACATCACGCTCAAAGGAAATGTTCACTGGATCATTTCAAATTTTTGGTTTTTTTATTTGGGATATTCAACTGGTAAGTACAATGCAAATATACCAAAATCCAAAAAAACAACCACCAAATCCAGAACACTTCTGATCCCAACTAGTTCAGGTAAGGTATATACAACTTGTGTAATACATAAGGGTGAAGAACTGAATGTTTTTCCCCTAAGATCAGGAACAAGACAAGAGTGATTATTCTCACTACTTCCATTTAACATTATACAAGGTGAGCCAATTAGGGGAGAAAATGAAATGAAAGCAATAAAATTTGAAAGAAAGAAGTAAAATATATGTATACATGACATGATTAAGTCATCATGATTCAGAAAATCCTAGATAATCTAGCAAAAACTATTCAAACTAATAAGTTTTGCAATGCTGCAGGATACAAGATCATTATACAAAAATCAATTGTATTTCTACACACTTGCACTGAACAATCCAAAATGAAATAAAGAAAATAATTTCATTTCTTATAGCATCAAAAATAATAAAATATTTACAAATATATTTAACAAAGGAAGTGAAAAACTTGTGTTCTGGAAAGTATAAAATATTATTGAAAGAAATTAAAGACAACCTAAATAAATGGAAAGACATACCATTTTCATAGATCAGATACCATGAATACACCCATGTTCATGGGCAATATTTCCCAAACTGATCTACAGATTCAACTCAACTATTCAAACCATTCAATGGACAAAGAATAGACTTTGTAGCAAATGGTGCTGAACCCTTGCCTCACACTATGTAGAAAAATTCACACAAAATAGATCAAAGACCTCACTGTAAGAACTACTATAGTTTCATAAAACTAGTTTACAAAATGAAAACTATAAAACTCTTAAAAGAAAATATCAGCTTAAACCTTTATAACCTTGAGTAAGAGAAAAGTTTCATAGATATGACACTAAAAGTACAAGCAACAAAGAAACACATGGATAAATTGGATTACATCAAAATTTAAAATTCTTGTGCTACAAAAGTTATCATCAAGAAAGTGAAGAGACAACCCACGAAATGGGAGAAAATATTTGCAAATCATATTTCTGATGAGAGACTTATACCTAGAATATGTATAGAAATCTTATGATTCAGAGGTGGCTGGCAAGATGGCCAAATAGCAACAGCTGCAGTATGAAGCTCCCAGTGAGATCAACACAGAAAGCAGGTGATTTCTGCATTTCCAACTGAGACAGTGGGAGCAGCCCATGGAGGGAAAGCCGAAGCGTGGTGCAGTGTCACCTCACCCAGGGAGCACAAGGGGTCAGGGAACTCCCTCACCTAGCCAAGGGAAGCCGTGAGGGACTGTGCCATGAGGCATGGTGCATTCTGGCCCAGATACTACACTTTTCCCACAGTCTTCACAACCTGCACACCAGGAGATTTCCTCAGGTGCCTACACCACCAAGGCCCTGGGTTTCAAGCACAAAACTGGGTGGCCGTTTGGGCAGACCTCGAGCTAGCTGCAGGAGTTTTTTTGTTTTTGTTTTTGTTTTCATATCCCAGTAGTGCCTGGAACATAACCGAGACAGAACTGTTCACTCCCCTGGAAAAAGGGATGAAGCCAGGGAGCCAAGTGGTCTAGCTCAGCAGATCCCACCCACACGGAGCTCATCAAGCTAAGATCCACTGGCTTGAAATTGTCGCTGCCAACACAACAGTCTGAAGTCAACCTGGGATGCTGGACCTTGGTGGGGGGCGGGGCATCCACCATTACTGAGGCTTGAGTAGGAGGTTTCCCCACACAGTGTAGACAAAGCTGCTGTAGCCAGACTGCCTCTCTAGACTCCTACTCTCTGGGTAGGGCATCTATGAAAGAAAGGCAGCAGCCCCAGTCAGGGCCTTACAGATAAAACTCCCATCTCCCTGGGACACAGCACCTGGGTGAAGGGCTGTGGGCACAGCTTCCGCAGACTTAAACATTCCTGCCTGCCAGCTCTGAAGAGAGCAGCAGATCTCCCAGCACCGTTCTTGAGCTCTGCTAAATAACAGACTGCCACCTTAAGTGGATCCCTTACTCCCATGCCTCCTATCTGGAAGAGAACTCCCAGCAGGGGTCAACAGACACCTCATACAGGATAACTCTGGCTGGCGTCTGGCAGGGGCCCCTCTGGGATGAAGCTTCCAGAGGAAGGAACAGGCAGAAATCTTTGCTATTCTGCAGCCTCCATTGGTGATACCCAGGCAAACAGGGTCTGGAGTGGACCTCCAGCAAACTCCAGCAGACCTGCAGCAGAGGCTCCTGACCATTAGAAGGAAAACTAACAAACAGAAAGGAATAGCATCGACATCAACAAAAAGGATGTCCACACCAAAACCCCATTGGAAGGCCACCAGCATCAAAGACGAAAGGTAGATAAATCCACAAAGATGAGAAAAAAAACAGTGCAAAAAGGCTGAGAATTCCAAAAACCAGAATGCCTCTTCTCCTCCAAAGGATCACAACTCCTGGACAGCAAGGGAACAAAACTGGATGGAGAATGAGTTTGACGAATTGACAGAAGTAGGCTTCAGAAGGTGGGTAATAACAAACTCCTCTGAGCTAAAGGAGCATGTTCTAACCCAATGCAAGGAAGCTAAGAACCTTGAAAAAAGGTTAGACGAACTGCTAACTATAATAACCAGTTTAGAGAAGAACACAAATGACCTGATGGAGCTGAAAAACATAGCAGAAGAACTTTATGAAGCATACACAAGTTTCAATAGTCGAATTGATCAAGCAGAAGAAAGGATATCCAAAAAAGGAAGGATATCAGAGATTGAAGAGCAACTTATGCAATAAAGAGAGAAGACAAGATTAGAGAAAAAAGAATAAAAAGAAATGAACAAAGGCTCCAAGAAATATGTGAAAAGACCAAATCTACGTTTGATTGGTGTACCTGAAAGTGATGAGGAGAATGGAACCAAGTTGGAAAACACTCTGCAGGATATTATCCAGGAGAACTTCCCCAACCTAGCAAGACAGGCCAACATTCAAATTCAAGAAATACAGAGAACACCACAAAGATACTCCTTGAGAAGAGCAACCCCAAGACACATAATCATCAGATTCACCAAAGTTGAAATGAAGGAAAAAATGTTAACGGGAAGCCAGAGAGAAAGGTCAGGTTACCCAAAAAGGGAAGCCCATCAGACTAACAGCAGATATCTCTGCAGAAACACTACAGGCCCAAAGAGAGTGGGGGCCAATATTCAACATTCTTAAAGAAAAGAATTTTCAACCCAGAATTTTATATCCAGTCAAACTAAGCTTCATAAGCAAAGGAGAAGTAAAATCCTTTACATAGAAGCAAATGCTGAGAGATTTTGTCACCACCAGGCCAGCCTTACAAGAGCTCCTGATGGAAGCACTAAATATGGAAAGGAACAACTGGTACCAGCCACTGCAAAAACATACAAAATTTGCAAAGACCATTGACACTATGAAGAAACTGCATCAGCTAATGGGCAGAGTAACCAGCTAGCATCGTAATGACAGGATCAAATTCACACATAACAATATTAACCTTAAATGTAAACAGGCTAAATGCCCCAATTAAAATACACACACTGGCAAATTGGATAAAGAGTCAAGACCCATCGGTTTGTGGTATTCAGGAGACCCATCTTACATGCAAAGACACACATAGGCTCAAAATAAAGGGATGGAGGAATATTTACCAAACAAATGGTAAGCAAAAAAAAAAAAAAAAAAAAAAAAGCAGGGGTTACAATCCTGGACTCCAGCAAAGCAGACTTTAAACCAACACAGATCAAAAGAGACTAAGAAGGGCATTACATAATGGCAAAGGGATCAATGCAGCAAGAAGAGCTAACTATCCTAAATATACATGCACCCAATACAGGAGCACTCAGATTCATAAAGCAAGTTCTTAGAGACCTACCAAGAGACTTAGACTCCCACACACTCTCTTTGGGCCTGTAGTGTTTCTTTAACACCCTACTGTCAATATTAGACAGATCAACGATATAGAAAATTAACAAAGATATTCAGGACTTGAACTCAGCTCTGGACCAAGTGGACCTAATGGACGTCTACAGAACTCTCCACCCCAAATCAACAGAATATACAGTCTCCTGGGAATCACATCACACTTATTCTAAAATGGACCACATAATTGGAAGTAAAATACTCCTCAGCAAATGCAAAAGAATGGAAATCATAACAGTCTCTCAGACCACAGTGCAATCAAATTGGAACTCAGAATTTAGAAAATCACTCAAAACTGCACAACTACAAGGCAGCCGAACAACCTGCTCTGGAATGACTACTAGGTAAATAACAAAATTAAGGCAGAAATAAAGATGTTCTTTGAAACCGATGAGAACAAAGATACAATGTACCAGAATCTCTGGGACACAACAAAAGCAGTGTTTAGAGGGAAACTTATAGCACTAAATGCCCACAGGAGAAAGCAGGAAAGATCTAAAAATCGACACCCTAACATCACAATTAAAAAAACTAGAGAAGCAACAGCAGACAAACTCAAAAGCTAGCAGAAGACAATAACTAAGATCAGAGCAGAACTGAAGGAGATAGGGACAAAAAAAAAAAAACCCCTTCAAAAAATCAATGAATCCAGGAGCTGGTGTTTTGAAAAGATTAACAAAATAGATTGACCACTAGCAAGACTAATAAAGACGAAAAGAGAGAAGAATCAAATAGATACAGTAATAAATAATAAAGGGGAGATCACCACTGATCCCACGGAAATACAAACTACCATCAGAGAATACTATAAACAACTCTACACAAATAAACTAGAAAATCTAGAAGAAATGGATAAATTCCTGGACACATACACCCTCCCAAGACTAAACC
The DNA here is from genome assembly GCF_000001405.40 of Homo sapiens. Lineage (NCBI taxonomy): Eukaryota > Metazoa > Chordata > Mammalia > Primates > Hominidae > Homo > Homo sapiens. Next base: position 92,895,437 of record NC_000007.14, on the reverse strand, counting down.
AGGCAGAAGTTGAATCCCTGAATAGACCAATAACAAGTTCTGAAATTGAGGCAGTAATTAATAGCCTACCAACCAAAAACAAGCCCAGGACCAGACAGATTCACAGCTGAATTATACCAGAGGTACAAAGAGTAGCTGCTACCATTCCTTCTGAAACTATTCCAATCAATAGAAAAAGAGGGACTCCTCCCTAACTCATTTTATGAGGCCAGCATCATCCTGATACAAAAACCTGGCAGAGACACAACTAAAAAAAGAAAATTTCAGACCAATATCCCTGATGAACGTCAATGTGAAAATTCTCAATAAAATACTGGCAAACCAAATCCAGCAGGACATCAAAAAGCTTATCCACCACGATCAAGTCAGCTTCATCCCTGGCATGCAAGGCTGGTTCAACATACACAAATCAGTAAGTGTAATCCATCACATGAACACAACCAATGACAAAAACCACATGATTATCTAAATAGATGCAGAAAAGGACTTTGGTAAAATTCAACACCCTTTCATGCTAAAAACTCTCAATAAACTAGGTATTGATGGAACATATCTCAAAATAATAAGAGCCATTTATGACAAACCCACAGCCAATATCATACTAAATGGCAAAACCTGGAAGCATTCCCTTTTAAAACCAGCACAAGACAAGGATGTCCTCTCTCACCACTCCTATTCAACGTAGTATTGGAAGTTCTGGACAGGGCAATCAGGCAAGAGAAAGAAGTGTATTCAAATAGGAAGAGAGGAAGTCAAATTGTCTATGTTTGCAGATGACATGATTCTATATTTAGAAAACCCCATCGTCTCAGCCCAAAATCTCCTTAAGCTGATAAGAAACTTCAGCAAAGTCTCAGGATACAGAATCAGTGTGCAAAAATCAGAAGCATTCCTATACACCAATAATAGACAGAGAGCCAAATCATGAGTGAACTCCCATTCGCAATTGCTACAAAGAGAATAAAATACCTAGGAATACAACTTACAAGGGATGTGAAGGACCTCTTCAAGGAGAACTGCAAACCACTGCTCAAGGAAATAAAAGAGGACACAAACAAATGGAAAAATATTCCATGCTCATGGATAGGAAGAATAAATATCATGAAAATGGCCATACTTCCCAACATAATTTATAGATTCAGTCCTATCCCCATCAAGCTACCATTGACTTTCTTCACAGAACTGGAAAAAAACTACTTTAAATTTAATATGGAACCAAAAAAGATCCCGCATAGCCAAGACAATCCTGGGCAAGAAGAGCAAAGCTGGAGGCTTCATGCTACCTGACTTCAAACTATACTACAAGGCTACAGTAACCAAAACAGCATGGTACTGGTACCAAAACAGATATATAGACCAGTGGAACAGAACAGATGCCTCAGAAATAACACCACACATCTGCAACCATCCGATCTTTGACAAACCTGACAAAAACAAGAAATGGGGAAAGGATTCCCTATTTAACAAATGGTGTTGGGAAAACTAAGCCATATGCAGAAAACTGAACCTGGACCCCTTCCTTACGCCTTATACAAAAATTAACTCCAGATGGATTAAAGACTTAAATGTAAGACCTAAAACAATAAAAACCCTAGAAGAAAACCTAGGCAATACCATTCAGGACATAGACATGGGCAAAACTTCATAACCAAAACACCAAAAGCAATGGCAACAAAAGCCAAAATTGATAAATGGGATCTAATCCGACTAAAGAGTTTCTGCACAGCAAGAGAAACTACCATCAGAATGAACAGGCAACCTACAGAATGGGAGAAAAATTTTGCAATCTATCCATCTGACAAAGGGCTAATATCCAAAATCTACAAGGAACTTAAAAAAATTTACAAGAAAAAAACAAACAACCCCATCAAAAAGTGGACAAAGGATATGAACAGACATTTCTCAAAAGAAGATCCTTTATGCAGCCAACAGACATATGAAAAAAGCTCATTATCACTGGTCATTAGAGAAATGCAAATCAAAACTACAATGAGATACCACCTCACGCCAGTTAGAATGGTGATCATTAAAAAGTCAGGAAACAACAGATGCTGGAGAGGATGTGGAGAAATAGGAACACTTTTACACTGTTGGTGGAAATGTAAATTAGTTCAGCCATGTGGAAGACAGTGTGGTGATTCCTCAAGGATCTAGAACCAGAAATACCATTTGACCCAGCAATCCCATTACTGGGTATATACCCAAAGGATTATAAATCATTCTACTATAAAGACACATGCACACGTATGTTTATTGCAACACTGTTCACAATAGCAAAGATTGGAACCAACCCAAACGCCCATCAATGATACACTGGATAAAGGAAATGTGGCTTGTATACACCATAGAATACTATGCAGCCATAAAAAAAGGATGCGTTCGTGTCCTTTGCAGGGACATGGATGAAGCTGGAAATCATCATTCTCAGCAAACTAACATGGGAACAGAAAGCCAAACACCACATGTTCTCACTCATAAGTGGGAGTTGAACAATGAGAACACATGGACACAGGGAGGGGAACATCACACACGGTTTCCTTTTGGCAGGTGGTGGGGGCACTAGGGGAGGAATAGCATTAAGAAAAATACCTAATGTAGATGATGGGTTGATGGGTGCAGCAAACCACCATGGCATGTGTATACCTATGTAATAAACCTGCACGTTCTACACATGTATCCCAGAACTTAAGGTATAATAATTTTTTTGAAAGATTCGATAATAAAAAGACAAATACCATAGTTTTTAAATGAGCAAAGGATCTGAATAGACATTTCTGTGAAAAAGTGCATGAAAAAATGTTCAACATCATTAGACATCATGGAGTATAAATCAAAACTATAATGAGCTACCACTTTACACACACTGGGTGGCTATAATTTAAAAAAACAGATAATTACAAGTATTCATGAGAATGTAGAGATATTGGAAGCCTTATACACTGCTTATGAAGATATAAAAAGTCAATGGCAGTTTCTCAAAAAGTCCAACATAAATTTACCATGTGATCCAGCAATTCCACCGCTAGGTTTTCAGCCACAAGAAATTAAAGTATATGTCCACACAAAAGCTTGTTCAGGAAGGTTCATCACCACAGTATTAATAACAGCCAACATTTGGCAAATAAACAAATGTCCATTCAACTGAGAAATAATATGTGGTATGTTCAGATGATGGGATGTATCAATAAAAAGAATAAAGAACTGATACATGCTACAACACAGATGACCTTTGAAAACATAACAAATGAAAAAAGCCAATCATTAAAAAACCATGTATTATATAATTTCACTGATATTAAATGTCCAGAATAGGTAAATCTATAGAAATAGAAGGTAAATTTGTGGTTGCCTATGACTGAGGATAGGGACTGGGGAGAAACAGAGAATGACTAATGCTGGGTACAGAGTTTTTGGGGGGAATGATGAAAATGTTCTGGAATTAGTGGTATTGGTTGTCCAATGCTATGAATATAGTGAAAACCACTGAATTGTACACTTTAAATACAGGGCTTGTATGAATGTGAGTTATATCTCAATACTTCTTTTTTAATGCAATAAAATTAAGTTAAATTAAAAACTGATGACAGAAAGACAGCCCACCCATACTCCTACAGTGAATGTTACAGGGTAACTAAAATGGTGCATTCGTGTTTGATATATGGAAACTGGTTAAGCCTTACATTCAAGTCTTTTCTTTTCTTTAGATTTTTTTTAATTGACAAATAAGTCTATACATGCATGGAGTTCATGATGTTTTGATACATTAATACACTGTGGAATGATTATATCAAGGTAATTAACATGTCCATCACTCCATATACCCATCATTTTCTTGTAGTGAGAATATTTAAAATCTATTCTCTCAGCAATTTTGAAACATACAATACTTCATTATTAACTATGGTCACCTTGCTGTTCATTAGATATTGAAAAATTATTCCTCCTGTCTAACTTGAACTTTTGTACCCTTTGGTTACCTTCCCCCCATTTTCCATCCTCCCACAACTCCCAGCCTCTGGTAACTACCATTCTACTCTCTAGTTCTGTAAGTTTGAGTTTTTCAGATTTCACATATGAGTGAAACCATGCCATGTTTGTCTTTTTGTGACTGGCTTATTACACTTAACATAATGTCTTCCAGGCTATTTCTTGGTGCTACAATAAAAGAATTTCATTATTTCTTAAAGAACATAACAAATACTATTCTACTGTGTGTATACCACATTCTCTTTATTTATTCATCTGCTGATGGACACTTAGGTCCAGGTCCAGGACAACTTAGGTTGATTCCACATCTTTACTATTGTGAATAGTGCTGCAATAAACCTGGGGATGCAGGTATTGTTTTGTTATACTAATTTCCTTTCTTTTGGATAAATACCCAGTAGCAAGATTGCTGGATCATATGATGGTTCTATTTTTAGTTTTTTGAGGAATCTCCATCCTGTTTTCCATATTTGCTGGACCAATATATATTTCCATCAACAGTGTATAAGGATTCCCTTTTCTCTGCATCTTTGCCAGCATCTGTTATATTTTTTTTAATACTAGCCATTCTAACTGGGGTAAGATTATAATATCTCATTGTGGTTTTGATTTGCATTTCCCTGATGATTAGTGATGTTGAGCATTTTTATTTACTTTTTGACCATTTGTATGTCTTCTTTTAAGAAATGTCTATTCATGTCCTTTGTCTACTTTTTCATGGGATTATTTGGCATTTTTACTGAAGAATGGCTTGAATTCTTAATGTTTTGTAGATATTAGTACCTTGTTGGATGAACAGTTTGCAAGTATTTTCCCACATTCAACAGGTCTCTTTTCTGTGTTGATTGCTTCCTTTGATGTGCAGAAGCTTTTTTGATTAATATAGACTTTTTGTCTACTTTTGTTTTAGTTGTCTCTGCTTTTGGGTCTTAGCCATAAAACCTTTGCCTACACCAATGTCCTGAAGTGTTTTCCCTATGTTTCCTATTTATTAGTTTCAGGCCTTAAGTTTAAGTCATTAATACATGTTAAGTTGGTTTTTGTATGTGGTAAGAAGTAGGGGTCCAGTTTCATTCTTCTGCATGTGGGTAGACAGTTTTCCTGGTGCCATTTATTGAAGAGTGTCCTTTCCCCAATGTATGTTCTTGGCACTTTTGCTGAAAATCAGTTGGCAATAAATTTGTGGATTTATATCTGGATTCCCTAGTCTTTTCCACTGGACTCTGTGTTTTCTTTTAAACCAATACCATGCTGTTTTGGTTACCATAGCCTCTTAATACACTCTGAAGTGAGGAAATGTGATGATTCTAGCTTTGTTCTTTTTGCTCAGGATTGCTTTGACTATTTGGGGCTCTTTCTTGGTTTCATATAAATTTTAGGAATGTTTTTATATTTCTGTGAAAATGACATTTGTATTTTGATAGGAATTACACTGAATCTGTAGATTGCTTTAACAATGTGGTCATTTTAATGATATTAATTTTGATCCATGATCATGGGATGTTTTTTCCATTTGTTTGTGCCCCCTTCAATTTCTTTCATCAGCATTTTGTAGTAATCTTTGTAAAGATCTTTCACCTTCTTGGTTAAATTTATACCTGTTGGGGGAGCAGCCAAGATGGCCGAATAGAAACAGCTCTGCTCTGTGGCTCCCACCAAGAAGGATGAAAATGGTGAGTGAATTCTGAATCTTCAACTTAGGTACCAAGGTTCTCTCACTGGGCCTGACTAGACGGTTGGTCCAACCCACAGAGAGCAAGGAAAAGCAGGGTGGAGCAAGGCCCCACCCCAGAGCTGCACAGAGCCAAGGGAGGTGGTGAGGGATTATGCTACCCTTCCCTGAAAACCATGCTTTTCCCACAGATCTTTGCAACACACTGATCAGGAGGTCCCCTTGTGAGCCCACACCACCAGGGCCTTGGGTCCCAAGCATAGAGCTGTGAAGACTCACAGCTGCTGCTCAGGTGGGCAGACATTTGAGCAGGCACTGAGACACAGGAGTATTTGCATACTCTAGCTCTGGGAACTCCCATGAGGCAGGAGATTCATCCACTCCCACGGGAAGGGGGGTGAAGCCAGGGAGTCAAGTGGCCTCACTCCCCTGCAACCCCACAAGCTAAAACCCACTGGCTTGGAATCCATGCCAGCCAGCACAGCAAGCTGGAGACTGCCTAAAAAGACTGAGTTCCCAGTGGGGAGGGGCGGCCACCATCACTGCGGCTCCAGTTGACCATATTACCCCATCACCTGTGCCAGCAAGACTGGGCAGTCTGGACCAAGGCCACTTTTCTGTAGTGAAGCACAGCAGCTGGATCAGTTCATGGCCAGACTGCTTGGTTGAGTAGGAACCTGGTCCACTCCTCACTAGGCAGGGCCTCCCTGTGGGAATTTCAGCATCTCGAGCCAGGGGCTTATGGACAGAATTCTGCGATCCCTGAGAGGAGCCCCTAGGAGGAGCGGTGGCTGAGGTATTGTGAATCAGTGGTCTTAGTATTTTCTGCCTGCTGGCTCGAGAGAATCAGGGCAGCCCAGACTAGGGGGATTCCCCCCAGCACAGCACACCCACTCCACCAAGGGGCAGCCAGACTGCTTATTTGAGCAAGTCCCTGATCCCACTTCTCCTGACTGGGTGATACCTCCCAACAGGAGTCTCCAGACACCTCATACATAAGTTTTCTTGCTGGCATCAGGTTGGTGCCCCTCTGAGACAGAGCTCCCAGAGGAAGGAGTAGGCTGCCATCTTTGCTGGTCTACAGCCTCCACTTGTGATACCTCCAAGAACAGGAAGGACCCAGGCGGATAGGGTCTGGAGTGGACCCCCAGCAAACATCAGCAGCCATATAAAAGAGGAACCTGGTTGCTAAAAGAAAAACAAACACAGAGCAACAACAACAACAACATCAACAAAAAAGAACTCACACAAACCCAATCCAAAGGTCAGCAGCCTCAAAGATCAAAGGTAGATAAACCCATGAAGATGAGAAAGAATCAACACAAAAATGCTGAAAACTCAAAAAGCCAGAGTGCCTCTTCTCCTCCAAATGATAGCAACATGTCTCCAGCAAGGGCACAGAACTGGGCTGAGACTGAGATGGATGATTTGACAGAGGTAGGCTTCAGAAGACATGTAATAATGAACTTTGCTGAGCTAAAGGATTATGTTCTAACACATTGCAAAGAAGCTAAGAACCATGACAAAATATTACAGGAGCTGTTAACCAGAATAACCAGTTTAGAGAGGAAAATAAATGACCAAATGAAGCTGAAAAACACAACACAAGAAACTTCACAATGCAAACAAAAGTATCAATAGCTGAATTGACCAAGTGGAATAAAGGATATCAGAGCTTGAAGACTATCTTGCTGAAATAAGGCAGGCAGACAAGATTAGAGAAAAATGAATGAAAAAGAACCAACAAAACCTCCAAGAACTATGGAACTATATCAAAAGACCAAACCTACAACAGATAGGGGTACCTGAAAGAGATGAGTAGAATGGAACCAAGCTGGAAAACACACTTCAGGATATCATCCAGGAGAACGTCCCCAACCTAGCCAACAGGCCATTATAAAAATTAAGGAAATCCAGAGAGAACCCCAGTAAGATAATCCATGAGAAGATCAACACCAAGATACATAAGCATAAGATTCTCCAAGGTCAAAATGAAGGAAAAAATGTTAAGGGCAGCCAGAGAGAAAGGCCAGGTCACCGACAAAGGAAAGCCCATCCAGACTAACAGCAGACCTCTCAGTGGAAGCCCTACAAGAAGAAACTGGGGGACAATATTCAACATTCTTAAAAAAAGAATTTCCAACTTAGAATTTCGTATCTGGCCAAACTAAGCATTATAAGCAAAGGAGAATTAAAATCTTTTTCAGACAAGCAAATGCTGAGGGAATTCATCACCACTAAGCCTGCCTTGGAAGAGCTCCTGAATATAGCACTAAATATGGAAAGGAAAACCTGTTACCAGCCACTAAAAAAACACACTGAAGTACACAGACCAGTGACACTACAAAGCAACTACATAAACAAGTCTGCAAAATAACCAGCTAGAATCATGATGACAGGATCAAATTCACACATAAAAATATTAGCCTTAAATGTAAATAGGCTAAATGCCCCAATTAAAAGATACAGAATGGTAAGCTGGATAAAGAGTCAAGATCCATCAGTGTGCTGTATTCAAGAGCCCCATCTCACATGCAAAGATACACATAGACTCAAAATAAAAGGATGGAGAAAAATTTACCAAGCAAACAGAAAACAGAAAAAAAGCAGGGGTTGCAATCCTAGTTTCTGACACAATACACTTTAAACCAACAAAGATTAAAAAAAAGACAAAGAAGGGCATTACATAATGGTAAACAAGTCAATTCAATAAGAAGAGCTAATTATCCTAAATATATATGCACCCAATATAGGAGCAGGAAAAAGTTGAATCCCTGAATAGACCAAAAACAAGGTCTGAAATTGAGGCTGTAATAAATAGCCTATCAACCAAAAAAAGCCCAGGACCAGATGGATTTACAGGTGAATTCTACCAGAGATACAAAGAGGAGCTGATATCCTTTCTTCTGAAATTATTCCAAACAATTAAAAAAGCGGGACTCCTCCCTAACTCATTCTGAGGCCAGCATCTTCCTAATACCAAAACCTGGCAGAGACAGAACCAAAAAAGAAAAACTTCATGCCAATATCCCTGATGAACATTGATGCAAAAAGTTTCAGTAAAATACTGGCAAACTGAATACAGCAGCACATCAAAAAGCTTATACACCATGATCAAGTTGGCTTCATCCCTGGGATGCAAGGCTGGTTCAACATATGCAAATCAATAAATGTAATTCATCACATAAACAGATCTAGAGACAAAAACTACATGATTATCTCAAGAGATGCAGAAAAGGACTTCGGTAAAATTCAACATCCCTTCATGTTAAAAACTCTCAATAAACTAGGTATTGAAGAAACTCAAAATAGTAAGAGCCATTTATGACAAACCCACAGCCAATATCATACTGAACGGGCAGAAGCTGGAAGCATTCCCCTTGAAAACCGGCACAAGACAAGGATGCCCTCTCTCACCACTCCTATTCAACATAGTATTGGAAGTTCTGGCCAGGGCAATCAGGCAGGAGAAAGAAATAAAGGGTATACAAGTAGGAAGGAGGAAGTCAGATTATCTTTGTTTGCAGATGACATGATCCTGTATCTAGAAAACCTTATTGTGTCTGCCCCAAAGCTTCTTAAGCTGATAAGCAACTTCAGCAAAGTCTCAGGATACAAAATCAATGGGCAAAAGTCACAAGCATCCCTATACACCAAAAACAGACAAGCAGAGAGCCAAATCATGAATAAACTCCCAATCACAATTGCTACAAAAAGGATAAAATACCTAGGAATATAGCTAACAAGGGAAGTGAAGGGCCTCTTCAAGGAGAACTACAAACCACTGCTCAAGAAAATCAGAGAGGACACAAACAAATGGAAAAACATTCCATGCTCGTGGATAGGAAGAATCAATATTGTGAAAATGGTCATACTGCCCAAAGTAATTTATAGATTCAATTAAACCACCATTGACGTTCTTCACTGAATTAGAAGAAACTATTTTAAAATTCATATGGAACCAAAAAAGGGCTCATATAGCCAAGACAATCCTAAGCAAAAAGAACAAAGCTGAAGGCATCACACTACCGAACTTCAAGCTATAGTCTACAATAACCAAAACACCATGGTACAGGTACAATAACAGACACATAAACCAATGGAACAGAATAGAGAACTCAGAAATAAGACCGCACATCTATAACCATCTGATCTTTGACAAACCTTACAAAAACAATCAATGGGGAAAGGATTCCCTATTTAATAAATGGTGCTGGGAGAACTAGCTAGCCATATGCAGAAAATTGAAACTGGACTCCTTCCTTATGACTTATACAAAAATTAACTCAAGATAGATTAAAGACTTAAATATAAAGCCCAAAACTATAAAGACCCTAAAAGAAAATCCAGGCAATACCACTCAGGACATAGGCATGGGCAAAGATTTCATGGTGAAATTGCCAAAAGTAATTGCAACCAAAGCAAAGATTGACAGATGGTGCCTAATTAAACTAAAGAGTTTCTGCGGAGCAAAAGAAACTATCATCAGAGTGAACAGGCAACCTACAAAGTGGGAGAAAATTTTTGCAATCTATCCATCTGACAAAGGTCTAATATCCAGAATCTACAAGGAACTTAGAATTTACAAAAAAGAATATTAAAAAGTGGGCAAAGAAAATGAACAGACACTTCTCAAAAGAAGATATTCATGTGGCCAACAAACATGTGAAAAAGAGCGCAACAACACTGATCATTAGAGAAATGCAAATCAAAACCACAATGATATATCATCTCACCCCAGTCACAATGGCAATTATTAAAAACTCCAGAAACAACAGATGCTGGTGAGGTTGTGGAGAAATAGGAACACTTTTACACTGTTGGTGGGAATGTAAATTAGTTCAACCATTGTGGAAGATGGTGTGACAATTCCTCAGAGATCTAGAACCAGAAATACTATTTGACCCTGCAATCCCATTACTGAGTATGTACCCAAAGGAATACAAATCATTATATTACAGACATACATGCAGCTATGTATGCATGTATGTTCATCGCAGCTATTTTTGTCCTTCATTTTGTTGATTTGATGTATCACATTTATTGATTTGCGTACATTAAACCATTGTTGCACCCTTGGGATAAATCCCACTTGATCACACTAACGTGTGTGTGTGTGTGTGTGTGTGTGTGTGTGTGTGTGTGTGTGTGTGTGTGATGTGCTGTTGAATTCAGTTTGCTAGAATTGTTTTGAGAATCTTCACATCTGTGTTCATCAGGGATATTGTCCTGTAGTTTGTAGTCCTTGTCTGGTTTTTGTATCAGGGTAATGTTAATCTCAGAATGAGTTAAAAGGAATTCCCCCTTCTTCAATTTCTTATAATTGTTTGAAGATAATATAGTATTAGTTCTTCTTTGAAAGTTTGGTAGAATTCAGCAGTGGAGTCATCTGGTTCTGGACTTCTCCTTTTTGGGAGACTTTTTATTACTGATTCAATCTCATTATTCATTATTGCTCTGTTCAGGCTTTCTACTTATTTCTGACTCATTCTTGGGAGGTTCTATGAGTCCAGGAATTTATCCATTTCTTATAGGTTTTCTAGTTTGTTAGTGTGTAGTTGTTCATAATAGTCTCTGGTGATATTTTGTATTTCTATAGTATCAGTTGTAATGTCTCCTTTTTCAATTGTGATTTGGTTCTATAAAATCAGAAGAGTCTTCTTCTCTCTTTTTTTCTTGGTTAGTAGAGCTAGCAGTTTATCAATTTCATTTATCTTCTCAAAGAACCAACTTTTCATTTCATTGATCCTTTATATTGTTTTTTAAGTCTCTATTTCATTTATTTCAGTTCTGATATTTATTATTCCTTTTCTTCTACCAATTTGGGGCTTGGTTTGTTCTTGCTTTTTTAGTTTTTTGAGGTTCATTATTAGAGTGTGCACTTGAAACTTTTCTGCTTTTTTGATGTACACATTTATTGCTAGAAACTTCACTGTTAGCACTGCTTCTGCTGTATTCCATAGGTTTTGGTATGTTATATGTCGCTTTTCATTTGTTTTTGTTTTGTTTTGGTTTGGTTTTTGTTTTGTTTATTTGAGATGGAGTCTCACTCTGTCACCCAGGTTGGAGTGCAGTGGTGTGATCTCAGCTCACTGCAACCTCCACCTCCCCAGTTCAAGTGATTCTCCTGCCTCAGCCTTTCAAGTAGCTGGGATTACAGGCACCTAACACCACACCTGGCTAATTTTTGTAATTTTGGTTGTGATGGGGTTTCACCACGTTGGACAGGCTGGTCTCAAACTCCTGACCTCAAGTGATCCACCTGCCTCGGCCCCCCAAAGTGCTGGGGTTACAGGCATGAGCCACTACACCCAGCCTCGTTTATTTCAATACATTTTTTTTCATTTCCTCTTTAATTTCTTCCTTGATTCAGTGGTATTCAGGAGCATGTTGTTTAATTTCTACGTATTTGTACAGTTTCCAAAGTTCCTCTTTTTATTAATTTCTAGTTTTAGGCCATTTTGTTCTGAAAAGATACTAGGTGGGATTTCAATTTTTAAAAATTTGTTCACACTTACTTTGTGTCCAAACATCTGGTCTGTCCTGAAGAATATTCCATGTGCTGATGAAAGAAATGTGTATTTTGTAGCTGTTCAACCAAATATTCTGTAAATGTCTGTTAGGTACATTTAGTCTAATGTACAGTTTAAATCCAATGTTTCTTTGTTAATTTTTTGTCTAGATGTCTGTCTGATGCTGAGAATGGGGTGTTAATGTCCCCAGCTATTGTTGTGTTGGAGTCTATCACTCCCTTTAGATCTAATAATATTTGCTTTACATAACATATCAAGTGTTCCCATGTTCCTGCTTGTTTTGTTTCTAATTGCATAGAATATGTTTTCCACCTGTTGCTTTCAAGACGTGTATCTTTACAACTGAGATGAGTTTCTTGTAAGCAGCATATACTTGGTTCATGTTTTCTTTTTTTGTTTTGTTTTGTTTTGCTAATCCATTCCACCAGTCTACATCTTTCAAGTGGAAAATTTAATCCATTTACATTCAAAGTTACTATTGATATGTGAGGACTTATTCCTGACATTTTATTGGTTGACTTATGGTTGTTTTATATATCCTTGCTCCTTTCTTTCTCTCTTATTGTTCATCATTGTGGTTTGGTAGTATCCTGTAGTGGTAACATTTGAGTTTTTATCTCAAATCTTATTTAACAGTGTTGTTTTTTTTTTAATATTTTCATGTATTTTCATCATGGTAGTTATTGTTCTTTCCCTTCTAGGTATAGAATTCCCTTAAGTATTTCTTGTATGGCTGATCTAGTGGGGATGAATTCCCTGAGCTTTTGCTTGTCTGGGAAAGACTTTTATTTCTCCTTCATTTATGAAGGATAGCTTTGTGGGCATAATGTCCTTGGCAGCAAGTTTTTTTCTTCTGCACCTTGGATATATCATCCCATTCTCTCCTGGCCTGTAAGGTTTCTGCTGAGATGTCTGTTGTTAGTCTGATGAGGTTCTTTTATGATACTAGACACTGTTCTCTTGCTGTTTTTATAATTTTCTTTTTCTTTGATTTTTAACAGTTTAACTATAATGTGCCATGGAGAAGACTTTGTGAATCCTATCTATTTGGGGATCTTTGAACCTCCTGTATCTGTACATCTAAATCTTTTGCTAAACCTGGGATATTTCCATCTATTATTTTGTTAAATAGGTCTCCTAACCCTTTAGTTTTCACTTAACCTTCTGGGACACCAAGAATTTGAATATTTGTTTGCTTTATGGTGTTCCATATGTCAGATAGGCTTTGCTCAGGCTTTTTGATTATTTTTATTTTTGTCTGACTGGGTTATTTCAAAAGACCTGTCTTTAAGTTCTGAAATCTTTCTTCTCTTTGATCCAGCCTGTTATTGAAGCTTTTGAATTTTGTATTTCATTCAACCCATTCTTCATTTCCTGAATATCTGTTTAGTTCTTTTTTACGATATCTAAGTCTTTGGTAAATGTCTCATTCATATCCTGGTTTGTTTTTCTAATCATTTTGTATTGCTTTTCAGTATTCTCTTGTATCTCATTGTGCTCCTTTAATATCATTGAATTCATCGTCCTTAACTTCATAAATTTCCGTTTGATTGGGATATGTTGCTGGAGAATTATTGTGTTCCTTTAGAGGTGTTTTATTTTCTTGCTTTTTTATGCTTCCTGAGTCATTACATTGATATCTCCTCATCTGGTGTAACAGTTGTTTCTAATTGTTTTAATTTGCTTTCATAGGGGAGGATTTTCATGAAGATGTATCTATGAAGTTAGTTGGGTAAGGCACTTTGGTTTTGATTCTGGATGCACGTAGTAGTGTTGCTGCTGTATTATTTCTTTGGCTGTAAACAGCATCAGTGGTGTCTGTGATTTCCTCAGTGGTTTAGGATGTGGTTGTTAGTGGAGGCTTGTGGTGAAGTTTTGCTCGGACAAGGATACCAGGTAGGCTAGTCTTCAGGTCCCAGGGATGGCAGTAGTGGGCTGAGTTTGCTTGCCTTGGGCCCCAGAGTGACGTATGCTGGCACTGGTGTTAGCATGTACAAGCCAGCCAACTCATGGGCCTACAAGTGGCCTGCTTGGGTGCCTGGAATGGCAGCAGTGGGCTGGACAGATAGGTGGGTTCTCCATCCCCTGGGTGGTGGGCACGGCATGGGCAATGGAAGGACCAGTGGTGGGAAAATTCTCTGGGAATCAAGCAGTTCATGTTGGTGTTGGTTATGAAGGGCTGTGCAGGCCAGACCTCAGACCTGCAAGTGGCACATACAGCTGGGTGCCAGCTATAGTGGCAGAGGCAGGTTGAGTGGAGCATATCCTGGGAGGAATGCTGAGGTGCCAATGGTGGTGAACTGGGTTGGGCAATCCCCAGGCCCCCGGATGGCATGCTTGGGTACTGGAGGTATGGAGCTGGCTCAGGCAGACCTGCCCTCAGGACCCCCAGTGGTGCCTGCAGGTGCTAGCTGTTATAAGCAGTGGCAAGGTGATCCCAGGCCACTGACAGAAAGGTCAGGTGGGGGCAGCTGTGGCTGCATTGCAGCTCTGCAATGGTCAATGGGAGCAGCCATAGGCAGGTAGCAGGAGGAGCGACAGTGCATACTTCACTTGTGCCTTGCCCTGCAGCAACCCCTAGTGATGGCAGTTGTGGGCAGTGGAATGTCAGTGGGACTCCAAGGATGTAGAGATGCTGAGACTGTTGAGCCCCAGGTCAGGACACAGTCTGGTAAAAGTCAGGCTCCCAAAATGCACCATGCTGCAGCTTCTTAGGACTTGGGGGTTTGTGGGACCAAGCATGAGTTCTTTCTCTGGAGTAATGCCTCACAGTCCTCAGGAAGCTCCCTATATGAAGGGGCTCTACCATGGCTAGAATTGTAGGTGTCCATGGCAGGAAAGTGGACCACTAGGGGTCACTCATTTACCCTTTACCCACATTAGATAGCCTCTCCAGACTCCTAGCCAATGCTAGTTGAACAGGCTGCTTCACTTCCTTCTCCCTTCTTGCTTTCAGTGCCTCCCATCACTTCTCTGTTGAATGTCAGTGAGGCACCAAGGATGTAGAGATGCAGAAACTGTTGAGCCCCAGGGCAAGACACAGTCTGGAAGAAGCCGGGCTCTCAAAATGTGCCATGCTGCAACTGCTTAGGACTTGGGGGTTTGTGGCACCCAGCATGAGTGCTCTCTCTCTCTCTCTCTCTCTCTCTTTCTCTCTCTCTCTCTTTCAGTGTTCTCATTTAGATAATCTATTCAAAGTGTGATTATCTACTCACTATTTTGGTTCCTCTCCATGGAAGAGGTGAATACCAGATACATCTACTAATCCATCTTGAAGCCCCTCCTCTTTAATCCATGTTTTATTGTTTTCAGTATAGGGATTTTTCATCTCCATGGTTAAATTTATTCCTAAGTGTTTTAATTTTTGTTGTTATTGCAATGGGATTGGTTTCTTAATTCCTTTCCTGGATAGTTTATTGTTAGTGTATTGGAACACTACTGATTTTTGCACGTTGATTTTTTGTCCTGCAACTTTATTCACTAATCAGTTCTAACAGTTTTTCAGTGTAGTCTAGGATTTTCTACATATCATCTCATTGGCAAAGAATTCCAATCCTTCTTTTCCTATTAGGATGCCCTTTATTTATTTTTCTTGCCTAATAGCTCTGACTAGGACTTCCAGTAATATGTTGGAAAGACGTAGTCAGAAAGGACATGTTTGTCTTACTCCTGATCTTAGAGGAAAAGCTTTTAACTTTTCACCATTAAGTATGATGTTAACTGCAGGCTTGTCATATATGACCTTTATTGAGGTATATTCCTTCTATGCCTAATTTGTTGAGAGTTTTTATCATGAAAGAGTGTTGAATTTTGTCAAATTCTTTGTCTGCATCTATTGAAATGACCATATAATTTTTGTCCTTTCTTCTGTCTATATGGTGTATCACATTTATTGATTTGTATGTTGAATCATTCTTGAATCCAAAGGATGAATAACATTTGATCATACTAAATGATCCTTTCCAATGTGCTATTGAATTTGGTATGCTTGTATGTTGTTGAAAAATTTTGCATCTATGTTTCTCAGGGATACTGGCCTGTAATTTTCTGTTCTTATAGTGTCCTTGTTTGGCTTTGGGATCAGGGTAACACTGGCCTCATAAAATGGTTTGGAAATACTCCTTCCACTTCAATTTTGTGAGTTTTGCGAGGGTTGTTATTCTTTAAATGTTTGGTGGAATTCAGGTGTAAAGCCATTAGGTCCTGGGCTTTTCTTTGATAAGAGCCTTTTTATTATTGATTCAATCTCCTTGCTTGTTATTAGTTATTTAGATTTTCTATTTCTTCATGATTCAGTCTTGATAGGTTATATGTTTCTAGGAATTTGTCCATTTCTTCTAGGTTATCCAATTTGTTGACATATAATTGTTTCTAGTAGTTTCTTGTGATCCTTTGTATTTCTGTGGTATAAGTTGGGATGTCTTTCATTTCTGGTTCTATTTATTTGAATCTTCTCTCTTTTTTGTCTAGTTAAGAGTTTGTTGATTTTGTTGATCTTTCCAAAAACCAACTCTTAGTGGTATTAATTTTTTCTATTGCTTTTATAGTCTATATGTCATTTATTTGTGCTCTGATGTTTGTTATTTCTTTCCTTTTGCTAACTTTGCGTTTAGTTTTTCTTTTTCTAGTTTCTTTAGGTATAATTTTAGGTTGTTTATTTGTAATCCTTCTTGTGTTTTTGATATTGGTATTCATTGCTTTAATTTCCTTCTTAGAACTGCTTTTGTTGTAGCTCAGAAGTTTTAATAGGTTGTGTTTCCATTTTCATTTGTCTTGAGATGATTTTTATTTCTTTTTTAATTTCTTTGACTCACAAATTGTTCTGGAGCTTGTTAATTTCCACATTTTTGTGAATTTTCCAAGATTTCTCTTATTTTCTAGTTTTATACCATTGTGTTTAGAAAGATAATTAATATCATTTCAGTCCTGTTAAATTTGTTAAGGCTGGCTTTATGGCCTAACATATGATCTGCCCTGGAAAATGTTTCATGTGCACTTGAGAAGAATGTGTATTCTGCTGCTGTTGGATGGAATCTGTGTATTAGTCTGGGGGGTCCATTTGTTCTAATGTTCAATGCAAGTCCAGTGTTTTCTTATTGATTTTCGTCTGAATGATGTGTCCATTGTTGAAATTGGGATTAGTAAAGTCCACTACTATTATTATATTACAATCTGTCTCTCCCTTCAGATCATTTAATTTTTTATTTATATATTTAGGTTCTCCAAAGTTGGGTGCATATGTATTTATAATTGTTATATCCTCTTGATGAACTAACTCCTTTCTCTATATATTGACCTTCTTTGTCTTATTTTACAGTTTTTGACTTAAATTCTACTTTGTCTGATTTAAGTATAGCTACTCCTGCTATCTTTTGGTTTCCATTTGCATGGAATATCTTTTTACACCCCTTTACTTTCAGTGTATGTGTGTCCTTAAGAATGAAGTAAGTCTGTTATATGCAGCATATCATTGTGTCTTTTTTTTATCTATTCAGCCACTCTATATCTTTTGATTGAATAATTTAATTCATTTACATTCAAAGTAATTATTGATAGGTAAAGACTTATCACTCCAATTTTGCAATTCGTTTAAGGTTCTTTTGTAGATCCCTTGTTCCTTTCTTCCTCTCTTGCTGTTTTGCCTTGTGGTTTGATGGTTTTCTGTAGTGGTGTGCTTTGAATCCTTTTCATGTTTTGTGCAGGTACTACAGGTTTTTGCTTTGTGGTTATAATGAGGCTTACATAACAATTCTTATATTTATAATGGGCTTTTACAGAGTGGTAACAACTTAACCCTGATTATATTTTAAAACTATACATTTTTACTCCCCTTCCCCTACATTTCATGATTTTGGTGTCAAAATTTACATTTTTTTTCTTGTAACTTACATCTCTTAACAAATTATTGTAGTTACAGCTGTTTTTGATAGTTTTGCCTTTAAACCCATATACTAGAGATAAAATTACGTTACACACCACTATTAAAATACTAGAGTGTTCTGAATATGACTACATATTACTTATACCATTGGGTTTTGTAATTTCATATGTTTTATTTTATTAGTTAGTGGCCTTTATTTCAGCTTAAAGAACTCCCTGTAGCAGGCCTTGTGATAAGCTCCCTTAGCTTTTGTTTGTCTGGGAAAGTTTTTATTTCTTCCTCATTTTTGAAGAATAGCTTTGCTAGGTGACGTTTTCTTAGCTGGCAATTTTTTTTCTTCAGCACTTTTAATATATCATCCCACTCTTTCCTGGCCTGCAAAGTTTCTGCTAAGAAATCTGCTGATAGCTGCATTGGGACTCCCTCTTATGTGATGAGTCTCCTTTCTCTCACTGCTTTCAGAATTCTTTTTTTGTCTTTTTCTTTTTGGTCTTTGATTTTTAATAGTCTGGTTAGGATGTATCTTGGTGAACTCCTCTTTGGGTTGAATTTTATTGGAGTTCTCTGGGCTTCTGGTACCTGGATGTTGGCATCCTTCCCCAGATTTGGGAAGTTTTCAGTTATTATTTCTTAAAATATGCTTCCTGGCCTTCTTTCTCTTCTCCTTCTGGTATTTTTGTTATGCAAAAGTCAGTTTTCTTGAAAGTACCCCCCAATTCCTATAGACTTTCTTCATTCTTTCTCATTTATTTATTTATAATTCTCTTACTATAAAATTTGAAATGGTCTCTCTTTGAGGTCACTTATTCTTTCTTCTGCTTGATTGAGTCTGCTGTTGAAGCCTTCTATTGAATTATTCTATTAAGCAACTGTCTTTTTCATTTCTATGTTTTCTATTTGGTTTTTGTTTATTTGTTTTTATTTTTTGTGAAACTTTTCATTTTTTTCATGTATTGGCTTCCAAATTTTAATTTTCTATCCTTATTTTTTTAAACAGGTCACTGAACTTCTTTAAGAGATTTATTCTGAATTCTTTGTCATTTTATAGATCTCTGTTTCTTTAGGTTCCATTGCCTTTGCTGTTAGGTTGGGTGGTACTACAGTTGGGGGCTGCAGTCCAGTGAGACCATTCACTGGACTCTGCAGTCTGGCTGACCTATTGGCCAGGCACTGTGATTACCTCTAATCCAGCAGAGTCACAGGCTGTATTCCCTGGCTGTGCAGTACTACTATTTGGATTCTAGAGTTGGACAGCCTGTGGACTGGGCTTTAAGCTTAGGCAGAGTCATTGCTTGGAATTTTCAAGACTAGAGGCTATGCTCCATAGGAATACATAGTTGAGGCTTGCCTCCTTGCCTGGGCAGAGTCTTGCGTGGGCTCTGCGACTAGGCTGAGTCACTGTTTCAACTCCCAGGTTGGGCAGGGCCAGCCCCTATGCTGTACAAAAAAAAAAAAAAACAAAAAAACAGTGGCAGGCATTTCCCTGCTAGAGCACAATCTTGAGGTAAGCTCTGAGGTAGGGCCAAGTCACTGTTTGGGCTCCCAGGTCAGGCAGGTCCAGCCCCTGTGGTCTGCAGAAATACATGATGGCATACATCTCCCTGCCTGGGTGGACCATTGTGGTAGGCTGTGAGGTTGGTTGGAGTGGCTGGCTAGGGACTCAAGCCAGGTAGAACTTCCCACTGTATTTCTGGGAGCAATCAGCTCAGCTTTGTGGGTAGGCTATAACATTGGCTTGGTATCTTTGATCAGGTGCCACCATTGGCAGGAATACACAGCTACCACCAAGATCTGTATAGTGGTTACTATGAACCCTTCCCCCTTTTTTTGTTTTTACTGGACTCCAAACGCTCTAGTCCCACCATTACCCATAGTATTCCCCCATAAGGCAAGATAGGAGTGGGTGACCCATGATGCTGGGGAAGCTGGATGTCCAACCAGGCTCACTTTTCCTACTATAGAAACCATAGGCCTGGGGAATTTCCTCTGTGTGGGACTGTGCTGACATGGTTAAAGTGAGACAGTTCCTCTTACCCTTCTAATATAGTTTTTCATTTCTGTGGTCCATGTAGGTATCTCAGTCTCATTTCCAAGTTTTGCAGTTTTCACAAAGGTGTTCTTGTCTGAATAGTTGCTAGTTGGACTTTCTGTGTGGTGGACTGAAGCCTAAGACCTCCTATTCTGCCATCTTGCTGATATTACTCCCATCCAAGTCTTTATATAAAGCCCAAACATTTCCAATTTTTTCTCCTATAGCCTCCTAACCTCAAGTTGAATTCAACATAACAAATCTAATATAACCAAAGCTTTGAACCATTCTTTGGGAGATTTGAAAGACTAGAAAACGAACCAGACCACGCTGAATTTTTTAACAGAGTCATCAGACAACCTAATGGCAAAAATGAAGTCTCAAGGGGCTTCAACTTCTGAATTGCAGCTGTATATCTGCAAGCTAAACATGGTTTCTACATTCACTTACCATAAATATTGTTGTCCCATAGTAATTATTACATGCCTACCATATGCCACGTACTGTGCTAGATGATAAAGACATAATGATTAATGCAAGGTCTCTGTTTCTGAAGAATTTCCAGATTAAAGGGAAGCAAATAATCACACTAAGTAATAGATAAAAATGCTATACAGTGGTCTGGGCTAAGTGCTGTGGGAACAGAAGGAAACAACTGACTGTATGAGTAAAGCTGAGAAAGCTTCCTGTGAAGGTGACCTTTCAGCTGGGTCTTGGGGAATGAATAGAAAATGCCTGTAATGCCCTCTAGAAATTTTTCAACACATGCGAAATTTTTGTTACGCTATTAATCTAGTGTTTTATATGCCCTTATCTGAAAACAAAGCAGAATCAAGTAAATACAAAAAAGGCACTAAATTTGCTATAAAGCTATTTAGAAAATAATGGACATGAGTATGCACTGTGAGAAATTTATGGGCATTCTTTATCCTGCATTTTTGACCAAAAAAAAAGATAATCAAGAAAATATTATATTGTTGACCCTAATTGATCTAGCAATAGTTATAATCCTTCTGTTATATGTTGCTCTATCAAACAACAGACTCATTTCTTCATAAAGGTTGGGCTAAGCTATAAAATTATTTAATTATAGAGATATAAATTGTCCCCAATATACAGTTTGTGCATGTTGATGTTAGACCTGGCTGGGTTTAATCACTCCTGGCTTAAAATTTTTCTTTTTTTTAAATGGTTTAGCAAGAGTTCCCACAACTTCCTTTGGTAATCTGTCTTTTGTCATCCATGGTCTTAGATGTCATCTGTTAAGCGAAGCAAAGTGGTATTTTAATGTGCAATTACTAGTAAAAACAAACTGGAAACCCAGAAGACTAGGGTGGGATTTCTTAAAAGCTTGAATTCCTCTGAAACAGCAGCTTATCAGCAAATGGCCTGTGAACCAGCTTTGGATCCCACATATTTTACTCCATCTCTGAATGAGCAAAGAGCTTTTATCTCAGCATGATTTATCAAGTGATTACAAAGACACTTTATTACTCGATTTCCAGGCTGACCATAACCTGCTGTGATAAATTGAAACTTCTTCTGTCAGTTTAGTGGGAAATGGACAGAACTAAAATAACAGGAATAAAATTTCTATTTCAGGAATAAACAAGACATTCACAGAAGACAGCTTTCTACCCTTCTATCCTTGGACTTTATTGCTAGTCTTTTAGGAATCGACAAACACATTTTCCTACCTTCTACACCTGCTTACACACCAAATTAGCCAAATAGATTTATTGCTTATATTTGTGGGTTCTCTGTGCTTTTGTAGAACTAACAGTGTTATATGATTTTGTTAAAATTACATTTGCTGTTTAAGAAATATTACTTTAATTTCAATTTCTCTCTATTGAGTTTCTTGATATTTAATTCTTGCTTTAATTCCTTTAAATTAGATGTTCCAATCTCCCCTCCCCCAAAAGGATTGGCTTTGGTATGCTAAAAACAAAACAAAACAAAACAAAAAACACCGCATATCATTAAATGCAGGATGAACTTTGAAGGTATCCAGAGGTACTTGCAAATGCTTTTTCCAGTGTAATTTGGCCACAAAAGAGGAGCAGAACCATATTGAGCTTAAATTAGTACTGAAAGTTTCCAGATCTTCTACTAGTTGCTTAGTTATCACCAGTTCACCGGACTCTCAGAGTGGCATAAAATAATTATTTTACTGGAACCAACTAAGTCACTGGTTTTATGTAAGCACTTTCCAAAGAGGCACAAAGTCAAAATCTTATTTCTTCTCATATGAAAGGTTAATTACATATGAAAGCCCAGGAATTGAGCAGAGATTTAGGATGGTGGCCCATGATAACTGATATTAGGGATTAGCAGGCCTCTGGCCCCCACTGCCTCCAACATTTGCCAGCTCTAGCCTAACCACTTCCTGGGAGCCTTTGTGCCAAGAGTCTTGAAACCAGAGCCTTTCCCTGGGTCCCAGAGCATTTCCCAAAATAAACCCAGACCAAGAAATGAGTTCATCCTGGCCAACTCCTTCTAGAGAGGACAGAGGTAAACTCTTTCCTCCAAGTTTATGGTTCCTTAGAAGTGTGATAAATCCATACTTTGGTAACTCTTTTTCAAAGAGAGTTCACCTAGGGCTGCTACTATTTCCAAAGCCTGTGAAAAGTTCAGAGTCTTGTGATGTCATCAAGCCTGAGAAACATGCCAATACAAGTCAGTTGGACCCTTACTGGGTAGTCTAAATGCACTTCCATCTATCATTCATTATTCTGGCAAATTTACAGGTAGCCAATCCCACTATGCAGAGGTGAAATTGAGCTTCAGCAGATCATGCTGGCTATAAGAAGCCCATCAGAGAGCAGCACAGCCGTGTAGCCAAGGGCTAGAGCTCTGGACCCAACTGTATGAACCTGGGCATGACATAACCTCTCTGTGCCTCAGTACCTTCATCCATAAAATGGGGATAATAATAGTACTTAGTTCACAGGTGGTTTTGAAGAATGAATGTGTTAATACCTGTAAAGTGCTTAGAATGCTGCCTGAAACATTGTCAGTGCCACATAAATATTTGCTACTGTTATTTTTGAGCACAGCCAACAGACTGGGGCATCTAAAACTTCCTGCAAAGGCCAGGCATGATGGCTTACGCCTATAATCCCAGGACTTTGGGAGGCTGAGGCAGGAGAATTGCTTCAGACCAGGAGTTCAGGACCAGCCTAGGCAACATAGAGAGACCCCCCCAGACTCTACAGAAAAAAGAAAACAAAAACCCCTCTGTATGATATAATTAAAAACAAATAAAATTGCACCTGAATAGGCTTCAGCTTTGATTGGATTTCCTTAGGTATCTCGCTATAATATTACAGCATATCACTACACATTTCACATTTGGTTATTGTTCAAAAGCAACTATTTGAACACTTCTCAAACTGGTCTTAACAGAAGACTATTCCAGGAGTTAACTGTGTGTTCCAGCAAAGATTTTTTCCCCTGGCTTAATTGGCTTTTTGGTTTTTTTTTGGTTTTTTTTTCGACAGATTCTCATTCTGTCGCCCAGGTTGGAGTGCAGTGGCATGATCTCAGCTCACTGTAACCTCCACTCTCTCGGTTCAAGCAATTCTCCTGCCTTGGCTTCCTGAGTAGCTAGGATCACAGGCACGTGCCACCATGCCCAGCTACTTTTTGTATTTTTAGTAGAGATGGGGTTTCACCATGTTGGCCATGCTGGTCTCAAACTCCTGACTTCAGGTGAATCCGCCCAGCCTCAGCCTCCCAAAGTGCTGGGATTACAAGCATGAGGCGCCACGCCCAGTCTTAATTGGTTTCTTGACTCCAGGACTTACAGAGTTTTGAGCAAGAGGCAAAAATCTGAGATTTATCAGCAAATAGATAAATAAGTCCTTAACTCCAAGACTTATCTAATTACTGATAAATCTCAGATTTTTACCTCTTGCTCAAAACTCCCTTATAGCCTTCAGGCCTGTTTACCCTACTACTCACCTTCCACTTGCACATCTCACAGGTTCCTCAAACTCAACATGTTCATAACGTTACTCATCTTCTTCTCCCCAAACCTGTGTTTTCTATCTCAGGAAATGCACCATCATCCATCCACCCAATGCTGAAACCTAAGGGACCGTAGCTCTTCTTTTTATTTTACCTTCCACAATGCCCAGAGCCAAAATCCCAATTTTCCTCGAGATCAGTCAAATTTAGTTTCTAAACATCTCTAAAAACCTACCATTTTCTCTTTTCCTGGGCTAGTCTCTGCTCTTGTGCAAGACACCATCATCTTTTGCCTGCATAACTAGAACTCCAGGCTTGCCCCGTTGGTATTTTCTCCACTCTGCAGAGGGATCTTTCTAAAACTCAAATCTCATTACAACATCCCCTGGCTGAAAACCCTCCAGTGGCTTCCGGTACCCCAACTCTTCATCATGACAGCGAGGTCCTCCACAATCTGGTGCCTGCCAGGTTCTGCAGATGGTGCTTTCACCCCTCTATACCCAACAACTCTCAGGGTCATAAAGAAGCCACACTCCCTTAGAACATGTTACTCGCTTGTCTGAAA
Organism: Homo sapiens; assembly: GCF_000001405.40. Lineage (NCBI taxonomy): Eukaryota > Metazoa > Chordata > Mammalia > Primates > Hominidae > Homo > Homo sapiens. Next base: position 92,870,798 of record NC_000007.14, on the reverse strand, counting down.
CACTTCTCCCCACCACACACATATACCATTTACCCCACACACACTTTTGCGTTGCTCATTTTTTCTCCTCCTTCAGGTCTCAGCTTAGAAATCTTTTCCTCTGGGAAGTTTTCCCAGATGCCTAACCTTAATAATACCGGGTTAGAAGCACCTTCTTTTTTTTTTTTTTTTTTTTTTTTTTGTATTTTTAGTAGAGATAGGGTTTTGCCATGTTGCCTGGACTGGTCTCAAACTCCTGGGCTCAAGCGATCCACCCACCTTGCCCTCCCAAAGTGCTGGGATTACAGGCATGAGCCACCACACCCGGCCTCCTTTTTTTTTTTTTTTTTTTTGTGGGGGAAATAAATCTTTTCTTTCTCTTTTTCTCTTTTTGGAATAAATCTTTTCTTCTCTTTTTCTGTTTTTTTTTTTTTTTTTTTTTTTTTTTTTGAGATGGAGTCTTGCTCTTGTTGCCGAGGCTGGAGTGCAATGGCACAATCTCGGCTCACCGCGACCTCCGCCTCCCGGGTTCAAGCAATTCTCTTGCCTCAGCCTCCCGAGTAGCTGGGATTACAGGCATGTGCCACCACGCCCAGCTAATTTTGTATTTTTTTTTTTTTTTTTTTTTTTTAGTAGAGACAGGGTTTCTCCATGTTGGTCAGGCTGGTCTTGAACTCCCGACCTCAGGTGATCCACCCTTCTCAGCCTCCCAAAATCTGGGATTACAGGCGTGAGCCATTGCATTCGGCCCTCTTTTTCTCACACATGCTGTCTTTCCTCATCATAAAATTTCCTCCACAAAACAATAACTGTTTAATTGTCTGCCTCTTCCACCAAATAGTAAGCTCAAGAATACATGAACTATGCTCTTAAATTAACCATTATATCCCTTGAGCCTATCACTTTGCAAGCTCATAAAAGGCACCCAACAGTATTTTGAATAAATGAATTAATGTATATGATGATTGCCTTAGATTTTAAGTATGCTTAATTAGTGGATATATCTATTGACTCCCAAGAGGAAAGAGCATGCTCAAAATAGGATAATTCAAGGATAGTTGACTTACAAAGAGATTATATACAAATGTGGGGTGTAAGAGAACTACTAATAATGGGATAGTAACTTAAACTGTTATCACCCTTAGGCTGGAAATATTTACAGGAAAAGGAAGGATAAAGAGTCAGGTAGAGTCAGCCACTTCAGAGGAACTTTGGCCTTTGGTTAAAAGACACAGCCAGCTCAAGACCACTATATCAGTCAAGGCTCAAACAGAGAAATAGAACTAGTAAGAGCTATATATTGCGAGATTTGTTGCAAATAATAGGCTTATGTGATTGTGGGGGCTGATATAGCAAGTCCAAAATCTGTAAGGTAGGCCATTGAAAGAAAGGGCAGACTAGAACACTCAGGCACAGGGTGAAGCAACAGTCCACAGGCAGAATTAGTTCTTCTTCTTGGAAGCTTCAGTTATCTCTTAAGGCCTTTCAACCAATTGAGTCAGACCCACCAGATTCAGATAATCTCTGTCCCTTACTTACAGTCAATTGGTTATGGACTTTAATCACAACTACTAAATACTTTCACAGCAATACCTAGATTTGTGTTTAACTGAATAACTGGGGACTACTGTCTAGCCATGTTGACACATAAAAATTAACTATCTCTGATATCTTGAAAAGAAGGATCCAGGGAATACACATCCTGACCTCACTCTTCTTTCTCTTTGCTTCCCTCTTATCCACTTCCAGGGCTCTCCATCAGCTAAGCCCAACCAGTAGTTAGAAGGTGGAGAATTCACTGATGGAGTCCTTACAGGTTACTGGATTCCACAGATTGCCTGGAGTGTGGGGGAGGAAGCTAGAACCAAGCTCCAGACCACAGTCTGTGGGTTGGGGGGCAGAACTCTCAAAAAGGTGAATCCCCACAGTATGAGGATTCATACTGTGCCATTTTGAAGAAAGAGGCCCCTTAAAGAGGAGAGAAGCCCCAAAATTAGAAAGGACACACAGGGGTGTGTCCACCAATGCCTCCTCTATACAAAGTTTGTCTTTCATGTGTGTGTGCTTTTCTTTTGGGCATGGGAACAGATCCATGCAGGGTAGACTTTCAAATGTTGCCCCACTAAGTCAGAAATCTCATTAACCACACCAAGAGTTCCTGATCATTTGGATTCACCTCTATGCACATGTGTGGTGTGGCATGTGGCATGCAGAGCCAGAGCAGTATCTAGGGATGTGGCATGGCCCACATCCTCCTTCCTGTGGATATCCACATGGGGAAGCTGCAGCCTAGTGAATCAGGGCCAGCCAGTCACAAAGTGGGAGAAATGGCCATCAGTTAGACAACTCAGGTACTGTGGGGTAAGTTCACCTGTCAGGCTTTCCCAAGTGCAAAATAATAGAGTGACACTGGAAAAGGGTAGAGTGTCTCCTGGGTGATATCTATTTTTCGTCATTAAGAGTTCAGACTCTGGAGTTAGACTGCTAAGGTCAAAATCCCTGCTTCAATGCTTGCAGGCTGCAGAATCTTAAACAAGTTTCTTAACCTATAAACACAGAATTGGGGTTAGTGGAAGATTAAATGAATTAATAAAGATTTCACAACAGTACCTAGCATAGAGTAAATGTCCAATCAATGCTGTCAAGCTAATATTATTATTATCTAAAGCAAACTGATGTTTTCAATTTCCTAAATATAATAAACAGGAAGCAGGGCCAAATCCAGTCTGTCACCTGTTTTGTAAATAAAGTTTTACTGGAACATAGGCACATCCAACCATTTACATATTGTCTGTGGCTACTTTCACTCTGCAGAGTTGAAGAGCTGCCACAAAGACAGTATGACCCACAAAAATTAAAATACATACCCCCTTAATAGAGAAAGTGTACTGACCCTTAATTTAGAAAATGGAAGTGATAATTTGAAAGATATTAAATAAAACAGCTTTATATTCACAAGAATAAATGTCTAATCACAATGAGTAAAACTTGAATTTTACCAAAGAAATCTTGTCACTTATTACCAGTATTCAGAAACAAATATATTTTCATTCATAGTCCTTTACCTGCCTTTATTTATTTATTGCCTTGACTAAAAAGTCTGGATTGACTTGACCAAAAATATTTCAAAGCTGGATTTTAAAGATGAAGAGTCAGAAAATACCCTTTCCTTAAGTTACATGTGCATAACTTTGATCCCACTCTGTCTATGGCAAATTAGTTCAATAGGTTAGAGAAGGGTGCAACTAAAGCCAAAGTCAACACTCTGACCCCTAACTGGTTTTGTTCTGTATCATGACTTTGAATACAGACCAACAGCTAATTCCAGTCAGCTCTTCCACCAAGGGATACAGGTGCTCACAGTGATATCCCAAGGGAGACTTTGGGCTCTTCAGAATTGATCATCACTACAGGTATAATCATTCCAGAAACATATACTTACATGGTGGTTCAGAAACATCCTGTTAACTTATGATAGATGACTTATTTTCATGGAACGCACTACAACGTGTAATCACGGAATATGGTTTGACCAAATGGGAGTTCAACTGATAGGTGGGGTCAGTTAGAGATAGAAGAATTATTAAGCTACTTAAAACCTCTCACAAATCTGTCTATCCTTCATTACAATGTTTCTCCTACCTTCCCCTAGTTTACTGATTACTACATGTTCTGACCTTGACAAGTCTGCCTTGTTTTCTAAGTCCTGACTTAAACATGGCAACCTGCTTCTGATCTCCATCTTTCCTACATTATACCCTCCATGCTTTTATACAAATTGGTAACTTGACCCTAAATCTCTGTTACTTGATAAGTACCTCCCACACACATAAAGCATCCTCCAGTGAAAACAGCCTATAGCATAAATGGGATCCAATATGAAGAAGGTCAGATATTAAGTATTATATGTCCTGACTTCATATTGTAGTCAGTACCATATTTATGATTAATCTGTAATAAAATCTTAACATGAATTACATTTATAAAATGTGGACATTTGGGGAAATTCTTTATTTCTAAAACACAATGTCCTGTCTCTTAGCCAAGCACACTTATTTCACAGAGCTGGTATGCAATTAATGTATTTGGAACACATGACTGATTAAAAATAGCAGCACTATTCAGTTCTAACTTTGTTCTTTTGCCAGTTTTGAAGGTTCATGAGAGCAAAGGATTGAACGATCATAGTAACTAGATAAAACCAATGCTTACGTATGTTTATCTGCTTTGCCTCATTGAACATGTCCACATCTATATATGTAATTCAAATCAGGTCCTGCTATAGGCGTACATTCTCAGTTCAGTAGATCATTTATGACACTTAACATCATCACTTAAGATTTTCTATTAATAACATATTTGACATATTAGGTTACTTTATCAAATGCACTTATTTTAATAGAACTTGACTTGATAATAACAATAAAGCATAATCCAGAGAGTTGGTCAACAAAGTGAACCTTTATTTTTCATGCTTACTATAACTTAAACCTTATCCTTCCCAAAATTCCTTTTGAATTTTATTCTCTAGGAGAGGTTTCTTTCCAGAAAAAAAAAATTCGCGATCTGTTAAATTTTATTTATTTTATTTGTTTGGGTTGTTTGCCTAATCTTATAAGCTATTTCTGCCTTGCCAATTCCCCAAACCAAATGTAATAAAATATTTATCTCCTTTGCTTCTAAGCTCCTATAATAGTTAAATTAAATTAAATAACTGTATTGATCGATTTAATTACAAATTTGTTGGGGACTTCATACTTGACCAAATATGGTTCAACTATCTGTAGTCAGCTCCCAGTTATTCTCCATGCCTAAATTCTTTGGCTGAACTGATGATGAAACCTCCTGCTTCAGAAAAAAATATGCTTCATTTTGCCTCCAACCAACTCTAGACCTCCATAATACCAGTTATTCTCTCTCTTCTGTTAAAATTCTCCCTCTTCACTCTCTCCCCTCAAGCTATAAACAGGCTTAAGTTTCTCTGATTCTAAAAGTTTTTTAAATGAATACATAAAATTAAAATAAAAAGTGAACCTTATTTTCTCTGTGCACTCTCTCAACCTACATCCTATTCTCACGCTTTTTAACTGGCATGCATCTTAAAAGCATAGTCTATGGAGATTATCTCTACTGTCTACTTCAGGGAATTCTTTACTTCTGATTTCTTCTCCACCATTCTCCAGAAATTATTTTGGTACTTTGCCTAGTTTATCTTCCTATGGTATTTGACTCGACTGAACATTCCCCAGTGTTGGGGATGAGGCACTTCCATTTTTTTCTGGCTATGTGTTTTCATGTGGAACAAGGATCACTAAAGTAGCACTTTATTTGCCCTCCACAGGGAAAGAATAAATTTTCTGATTAGTTTGAGAGAAGGAGCAGAGCTTTGCTTCTCAGCCTCTTCCTTACAGAGAAGATGCATTCTTCCTTGCCTCTGCTTGCTATAAGGCAACTTGTGGCAAATATATCGGAGACCACCCTTATAAAACTGTCTTGTTTTGTTTGCAAACCAGCTTAGCTAACAAACGTAAAGGTATATGCTTTAATCTTTACTAATATATAACACAGATTAGTTTAGGAGTAGGAAGGTTATTTAGAGTAATGCATTTTTATCTTTATTTTTTTACTTTTAAAAACATTATCAGTTTGGGAGGCCGAGGTGGGTGGACTGCTTGAGGTCAGGAGTACAAGACCACCCTGGCCAACATGGTGAAACCCCGTCTCCGCTAAAAATACAAAAATTAGCTGGGCATGGTGAGGCACACCTGTAGTCCCAGCTACTCAGGAGGCTGAGGCAGGAGAATTGCTTGAACCTCAGAGTTGGAGGTTGCAGTAAGCCGAGATCACGCCACTACACTCCAGCCTGGGCAACAGAGCAAGACTCCAACTAGAAAAAAAAAATTATTAGTTTTAATTGACAAATCACAGTTGTATACATTTATAAAGTACAGTGTAATGTTTTGATACATGTATACAAAGTGGAATGATTAAGTCAAGCTAATTAAGATATTAATCACCTCACTTAACCATTTTTCGTGGCAAGACATTTGAAATTTACTCTCCCATTTGTTTGAAAATATACAATATATTATTATTGTCTATAGTCACCCTGCTCTACAATAGACCTCAACATTTATTTTTCTTGTCTAATTGAAACTTGTATCCTTTGATTAACAACTCCTCATTCTTCTCCTCTTCCCTCGTGATATGGTTTGGCTGTGTCTCCACCCAAATCTCATCTTGAATTGTAACTCCCACAATTCCCACACATCGTGGGAGGAAGCCAGTGGGAGGTGATTGAATTATGGGGGCAGGTCTTTCCTGTGCTGTTCTCATGATAGTGAATGAGTCTCACAGGTTTTAAAAAGGGGAGTTTCCCTGCACAAGCTCTCTTCTCTTGTCTGTCACCACGTGAGACATGCCTTTCACCTTCTACCATGGTTGTGAGGCCTCCCCAGCCACGTAAAACTGTAAATCTGATAAACCTCTTTCTTTTGGCAATTTCCCAGTCTCTGGTATGTCTTTATCAGCAGTGTGAAAATGGACTAATTCAGTAAATTGGTACCAGTAGAGGGCGTGTTGCTGAAAAGATACCCAAAAATGGGGCGGGCATGGTGGCTCATGCCTGTAATCCCAGCACTTTGAGAGGCCGAGGTGGGTGGATCACCTGAGGTCAGGAGTTCAAGACCAGCCTGGCCAACATGGTGAAACCCTGTCTCTACTAAAAATACAAAATATTAGCTGGGCATGGTGGCAGGTGCCTGTAATCCCAGCTACTTCAGGAGGCTGAGGCAGGAGAATCACTTGAACCTGGGACAGAGAGGTTACAGTGAGCTGAGGTCATGCCATTGCACTCCAGCCTAGTGACAAGAGCAAAACTCTGTCTCAAAAAAAAAAAAAAAAAAAAAAAGATAACCAAAAATGTGGAAGCAACGTTGGAAATGGGTAACAGGCAGAGGTTGGAAGAGTTTGGACGGCTCAGAAGAAGATAGTAAAATGTGGGAAAATTTGGAACCTCCTAGAGACTTGTTTAATGGCTTTGACAAAAATGCTGATAGTGATATGGACAATGAAATCCAGGCTGAGGTGGTCTCAGATGGAGATGAGGAAGGGAACTGGAGCAAAGGTGACTCGTTATGTTTTAGCAAAGAGACTGGCAGCATTTTGCCCCTGCCCTAGAGATTTGTGGAACTTTGAACTTGAGAGAGATGATTTAGGGTATCTGGTGGAAGAAATTTCTAAGCAGCATAGCATTCAAAAGGTGACTTGGGTGCTGTTAAAGGCATTCAGTTTTAAAAGGAAACAGAGCATAAAAGTTTGGGAAAATTGCAGCCTGACAATGTGATAGAAAAGAAAATAACTTTTTCTGAGGTGAAATTCAAGCTGGCTGCAAAAGTTTGCACAAGTAACAAGGAGCCAAATGTTAATCCCCAAGACAATGGGAAAATGTCTTCAGGACATGTCAGAGGTCTTCAAGGCAGCCCCTCCCATCACAGGCCCAGATGCCTAGGAGGAAAATGTGGTTTTGTGGGCCAGGCCCAGGGTCCCCGTACTATGTGCAGCCTAGGGACTCAGTGTCCTGCATCCTAGCCAGTCTAGCCATGGCTGAAAGGGGCCAACATAGAGCTCAGGCCATGGCTTAAGAGGGTGCAAGCCCAAAACCTTGGCAGCTTCCACGTGGTGTTGAGCCTGTGAGTACACAGAAGTCAAGAATTGGGGTTTGGGAACCTCCAGTAGATTGCAGAAGATGTATGGCAATGCCTCAATGCCCAGGCAGAAGTTTGCTGCAGGGGTGGGGCTCTCATGGAGAACCTCTGCTAGGGCATTGTGGAAGGGAAAAGTGGGGTCAGAGCCCCCACACAGAGTCCCTACTGGGGCACCACCTAGTGGAGCTGTGAGAAGAGGGCCACTGTCCTCCAGACCCTAGAATGATAGATCCACCAATAGCTTGCACCATGTGCCTGGAAAAGCCACAGACACTCAACATCGGCCCATGAAAGCAGCCAGGAGGGAGGCTGCACCCTGCAGAGCCACAAGAGCAGAGCTGCCCAAGACTGTGGGAACCCACCTCTTGCATCGGCATGACCCAATACTTGACATGGAGTCAAAGGAGATCATTTTGGAGCTTTAAGATCTGACTGCCCTGCTGGATTTCGAACTTGCATGGAGCCTGTAGCCCCCTGGTTTTGGCCAATTTCTTCCATTTGGAACAACTGTATTTATGTAATGTCAGGACCCCCACTGTATCTAGGAAGTGACTAACTTGCTTTTGATTTTACAGGTTCAGAGGGGAAGGGACTTGCCTTGTCTCAGATGACATGTTGGACTTGGACTTTTGAGTTAATGCTGAAATGAGTTAAGACTTTGGAGGACTGTTGGGAAGGCATGATTGGTTTTGAAATGTGAGGACATGAGATTTGGAGGGGCCAGGGACAGAAAGATATGGTTTGGTTGTGTCCCTACTGAAATCTCATCTTGAATTGTAACTCCCACAATTCCCACATGCCATGGGAGGAAACTGGTGGGAAGTGATTGAATTACGGGGGTGAGTTTCCTGCACTGCTCTTGTGATAGTGAATGATTTTCATGAGATCTGATGGTTTCAAAAAAAGGAGTTTCCCTGCACGAGCTCTCTTCTCTTGTCTGCTGCCATGTGAGACATGCCTTTTACCTTCTACCATGATTGTAAAGCCTCCCCAGCCACATGGGACTGTAAGTCCAATAAACCTCTTTCTTTTGTAAATATTCCAGTCTCGGGTATGTCTTTATCAGCAGGGTGAAAATGAACTAATATACCTTGTAACCACCATTCCACTCTCTACTTCCACTAGTTGGACTCTTTTAGATTCCGCATACAAGTGATAGTATGCAGTATTTGTCCTGGTAACAGTGATCAGTTGATCTTCATTTGCCCCTCTCTCAGCTGGTGCCAAAGTCCATGGGGTAGAGAGGTTTTCTTAATTGATCCCTCCTCCCAAAACTCTAAAATCCACCTCTTCAAACTCTTCCTATGTCTGTCTTCTCCTGTGTCACAGGACTGTAGGTACTATATTGTAGTACAAATTGCATTGCATTTTATGAATTTTTTTAACTATAAAAGCAATTCTTCTTACAGAAAACTTTTAAAATAAAATAAGTATAAATATAAATATAAAAATTTGTAAACTTAGAGCCAATCTAAAGATATACACCTTTAACATTTTGAAGGCTTTCTTAGTAGTTTTTTTTCCTAAGAGCATAATGAAAATTACATATACATGCACACATTTTTTCAACATTAGAATCCAACTTTACATAGTTTTAAAAAATCAAACTATTTATTGTTGCTTTTTACCATTTGGTAGCAATTTACACACAGGCTTCAATCATCAGAATACCCTGGAGTCAGTAGAAAAACCTTTTATAGTTTTATACAATAGAAACTTCCCCATAGCCAAAAATTAGGCTGTTAAAAAAAAAAAGCAAAATATACTTTTCTGAAAACACTTAACTTCGAACAAAGCACTGAAACACCAAAGCAGAATGAAAATATCATTTCAGCTCCACAAAAAGTAGTCATGATAAAAGGTGTAAAAGTCACCTAACTTCAAAGGCCCTGCTCCCTTTTTAAACATGAGTGCAAATACTAACTTGGAAAGATCTCCAAAATATATATAATGTAAAAACAGATAATTTCACAATCATATGTATATGTAGAAATATCCTATCTAGACAATAAAAGAAAAAATCACTTATATTGGTAAATACATGTACTTATATGAGAAAAGATCAGGAGAGATATACATCAATTCTCAACAGAGGTTGCACTTATTAATGTCAAGAAATAGGTAAAGTGATACATTCACTTATTACCTTGTACTCCTAGAGAAAACCACCATTAATATGGCTCTATTCTTCCCAACATTTTCTAAGTATATATTACTCAAATATCACCAAGCTTCACAGTGCTATGGCTTTCATTAGCTGTGAAAAAATGTAAGAAAATGTAAGAACATGGAAAAAAGTTACCCTTGTGCTACCCTTTGTACTGCTAGAGTCACTCATCTTTGCAAAGTTCTGCTCAAACCTCAGCAGCCCATAACATAATCACGGCCTCAAGTTTGAGCCACAGCCATGTTTCAATCAGACCACTATCTCCACCCCAATTTCATCTCTTTGGCTATGTTTAGACCACTACTCATCCTTTCTGCAAAAGTAGACAAAAACATGTCTCTTCTTCCTGGGTTGGACTATCTTAAGGAGTCCCTGTAACAGAGTGGCTTCAGCCCTAATATGTTATAGCTTTTTAGCTTTTTAGAAACACATCCTTTCTTCCACCAGTGTTCATTCCCACAGAAAGGATAATCAGGTGAATTCTTTCAAAAAACAAAAGCCATTAAAGACTCAGAATTACTTATGGAAAAATGTATTGTGCAGATATTCATGCACAGGTGAGAAATGACTTTTGTGCAAAGTTATTTATTGTAGCATTGTTTGTAAGAGCCAAAGACTGGAAACAACTAAATGTCTATCAATAGGATCTAGTTCAATAAACAATGATGTACCTATACATAGGACATTGGGAAGCTGTAAAAAAAATGAGGAATCTTTCTTTATACTGATAGGAAAAGAAGATATATATATTTAGATATATAATAAATCTATAATATAATAATTATTAGATCTATAATAAATCTATAATCTATACAGATATAGATATATAAACATATATTTAAAGCAAGGTGCAGAACAGTATGTGCAATATACTACCTTTGTAAACAAATGAAAAATAAGAATCAATACTTGTTTTTGCTTGTATATGTTTGAATAAACTATGAAAATTTGCATAAGATATTAAGTACAGTATTTACCAATGGAAGGAGCTGTGTCAGAACTGATCAGAGGAGGACAAGGATGGTAGGGAAACTTTTGTCGTATATCTTTCTGTTTTTTAAACCATATTTATGTTTTACTTATTCAACCCCTCAGATCTTCAGATTTTCTTTTTTCAAAGTCAAGTTCTTTTAATGGGCCCATGCAAGTGAAATCCTTGCAAGTTAGCCTCCTGACTCAAATACTTGGTATGGTATTTTTTCCCCCAGAAAGTTCCCCTGGGCCTTTTTATATTCAGTCAAATGAGTATGAGATGGACAGAGCACTCTTTTATATCTGATCTCTCCTTGTCTGGGAAATACTCTATTTTACAAGCCCACACAGACATATGCATACATGATGACATATATCATGTTTATATAAATGAATATTCTTCAGGTTACAACTCAAACTGTTATAATGATCAGTTATATCTCATGGACACCAAGTGCAAAAAAACACTTGAACCTCTGGAACAAACCAGAAGCAGAGGTTATTAAGCTATCAGAACTGTCTCTACTATGTACCTATTTTATTCTTCTCTCTTTGTATAGATGGCTTCCTGTGCTTCTCTAATCCATATTGTGGTTTAAAAAAAAAGTTGCCAATAGTTCCTGGTGTGTGTGTGTGTGTGTGTGTTCTTGTGTGTTCTTGATACAGCCACACACACAGTGCCTGGTGTTTTTCTCCTTCTTGTACAAAGGATGGCTTCTATTCTTGCTCTTGCTATTTTTTCTTTTTTTTTTTTTTTGGACAGAGTCTCGCTCTGTCACCAGGCTGGAGTGCAGTGGCGCGATCTCAGCTCACTGCAACCTCCACCTCCTGGTTTCAAGCAATTCCCCTGCCTCAGCCTCCCAAGTAGCTGGGACTACAGGCGCACGCCACCACGCCCAGTTAATTTTTTTGTATTTTAGTAGAGACAGGGTTTCACCATGTTGGCCAGGATGGTCTTGATCTCCTGACCTCGTGATCCGCCCGCCTCAGCCTCCCAAACTCTTGCTATTTTCTAAATTTCCTGGACAATGCCATCAATTAGACCAATCAGTTGTACTTTACTAGAAAGTTATATAACAGCCCCAAGTCAATTAAGTGGAAAGAGGTGGGTGAAGGGGCAATTCTGAGAAAACTTATTTGGCCAATTTCAGGTAGGTAAATGTCCATTATAATACTACACAAGGTATTTAACCTGGACTTTTCCTAATTTTGTTGTGATAAAAGCCTTTGTAAATACATTTCTGCACATTTAGCAGATTATTTCCTTTGGTCAAACTTGTTTAAGGATTTTGACTCATGAGTAAAAAATGATTTTCCAGAATGATGGCAAGACACCACCAGCAGCAGGATGTAAGCTTGCCTATGTCACTGCTCTTTACCATGTCATACTTGACATCATAACTTTTCATTTTTTTCTAATTTGATTGCATATTTAGTTCTAACTTTAGTTATTTTGTAATTTGGGAGCTTATTCCTTGCTGGCTCCCTGATGTCTTCGAAGTCCAATATAATTATATTATTACTAATAAGATCCCTAAATTCTAAGTCTCTGTAATTTACAAAACGCTTCTCTGATCAAGCACTTTTGGGCTTTATGAAGCGTCCTTTATATTCTTTGAAGTACAATATATACTTAGTCCCTACTCTATGACTTTCGGCTCAAGCATGTGTTTTAATCATCTCTGAATTCTTTGAAACACTTTATTCAAAGATTTTCATGTAATACATGCTCAATAAATACTTGTTGAGTATAATGTGGCTGTGTCTTTGTTTTGTGCTGCTACCACAGAATACCTGAAACTGGGTAATTTATAAAGAGCAGAAATTTATTTCTCACAGTTCTGGAGGCTGGACAGTTCAAGATCAAGGTGCCAGCATGTTTGGTATGAGGGCCCAGTCTCTGCTTCCAAGCTGGTGCCTTGAATGCAGCATCCTTCAGGAGTGAGGAATGCTGTTCTTCACATGGCATAAGAGCTCAAGAACAAAGAAGCAAAAGGGGCCAAACCCTCTCTTTTATAAAGGCATCAATCCCACTGATGAGGGCGAAGTTCTTTTGGCCAAATAACCTCTTAAATGGTCTCATCATTGCCTGTGACAATAACAGTTAAATTTCAACATGAGTTTTAGAGGAGACAAACATTCAAAGCATAGCAGATTTTAAGGAATAGAAAAATTCTGAAACCTGTTTCTAAGGTTCGTTATCCTCCAAGGCCATTTCTGTAATAGCAAAGAAAGGTAAGGTGGTTTGCCAAAATCTGTCTAGTCTCTCTAATATAAACATTCCCACCAATGTAGACAGTGCCATGTCTTCACATTATTGCTAAGTTGCAACCACTCTTTCTTTGACATATCTCTAGTATGTATCTTTTTTTTTTTTTAACACTACTCTTATTGCCATTATCCCGGTCCAGGTTCTCCTGATAACACTTGTCTTCACATAAGAAGGCAGAAAAAATTATATACCTATACTTGTTACACATAAATTATATATAATATATAAAATCATAAATTTTGTAGTTATTTATATTAATATATGTTGTATGATTATATTTATATGTTATATACTTTTATATTTTAATATATGTGGAGGAATTACATATGGAGATATTAACCAAGTTTTTTGCTGTTGTCTTGGTGATCACTACCTCCAGAGCAAATAGCATTCACAGCCTCTGGGGAACATTTATTTGTCCCAGAGAAAGCAGGGCACAAGTTATCATGAGGAAAAACAAAGAAGGCAATAGGCTTTTAAAAAATTTACAACAGAGGACTTAGTCTTGAAAGCCAATGAGCTTTTGATTTCAGATAGCCCAGTTTTTTGAAAAAGAAGTGTTTTGAGCACTAAAAGTTTGGCACTGAATATAAAAAGCCAAAACCCTGAAGAACTTGGTCCATAAAGTTTATACCATAGAGATAAGAGTAGTATCTAACAATAAAAGGGTGAGTTTTTCTGCCCCTACAAGGAGAGGTCTTGGTTGTTATACCACGGGCAGATAAGAGAGCTAGGAAGGAGCCTTACTCCACTTCTCCCCAGGGTTCAAACCAGAATGAAGTTCCAGGGGCTAAGTGAGGTGGAGTTTAGGAGTAGCCTCGAGCACCCGCAGTGTGATACCAGAGAACAACTGACAGCCACTGTACCCCAAAGAGAGGTGTATATGTGACTGAAAGGAGGCCATCAGATCCCAGAATCCTGATGGTTGGAAAAAGGAGGAGGTAGTTTATAGTCTTCATAACCAGGAATTCTGTAAGGTTGTGGTCTCCTAACATAGGCCAAAGGGATAGAGGCAGACAACCAAAAACCATATGGAATTTCTCTCTCAGCAGATGCCAGTGGAAGATCAAGGACAAATGAAGAGCAAATATCCCCTTCCTGGTTATTGCGTAAATTTAGCACAAACCTCCAGAAACTCAGATGTAACTTAAGGAAAAGTGCGCAGAAATCAATCCTGATTGAGGATTTTAAAATAAAATTGTAAAAACTGAGCTCCCTTAAAATCAACAAGATTAATTTTTTCACCATTATGTAGAATAAAGACTTAAAATAGAGGGTAAAATGAGAGGAAAGGGATACTAATTTCTATATTTATGTATAATACATAATACACTTAAGCATATATTATTACATAGTATAATTATTATATAATTACATATTATTACATAATATATTATATACATAATGCATATTATGTATAAATATAAAATATTTAAGTATATACTTACTATATTATATACATAATGCATATTATGTTTCTAGTTATATATAAAATATTTAAGTATATACTTACTATATTATATATATAATATGCATGTTGGGTATATACTGCCCCACATACATAATATGCATTATGTATATAATATAGTAAGTATATACTTAAATATTTTATATATTTCAATATTTGAAAATTTCCATCTGTATGAAAAAATTAAGACATACATGTTCTCAATACCAAAAATCATAATTTGAGACCAAGAGACTAAATATAGTGTGATATATCTATAACACACACACACACATACGCACACACACATACTGTTGGTAGTGATTCACTTTATCCTGGAAAGATAATATTAAATAGGTGGTACAGCTTACACTTGATAGTATCTTAGAATCAAGAAGCCATGTTAGTATTTGTTTTATCAAACTCACTGATGTGTAGACATCCTTGGAGAGGCAGAATGGCATATGATGCAGGGGTGAGACTTGAGAATCCCAACTTCACCAGTTTTGAGCTATCTAGGGCAAGTTTTGTAACCTTTCTGGAACGAATAATAAAATTCCAAACTTCTAGGGCTGATGAAAAGAGTAAATAAATTAATGCCCATAAAGAACTTAGTTATGCACCTACCTCATAGTAAGCAGAAAATAAACATTGTTATTATTATCATTTGTGAACATTTTAAAGCATAATGTTTGCTTTTCTGTGTCACGCTTCTGAATGTTATTTATAAATGTGCACGATCTAACTATTATACAACAAAGAAACTCTTGGATTTTAAAGTTAGTCTTTAATTTACACACAATCATCTCTATGGGGTAGAAAAAATTCTAAAACAAACTCTAAACTCATTCTTAATTTTAAAATGGTTAAATACACTTAATTCAAACTGCCATGTGTAATTGAGACCAAGAGTCTGTGAAAAAGCCAAGCCAGAGAAAATAGGAGATTCCAAATGGTGCTTGATAAACATTCATTCAGTACCACAAATACTTATACAGGGGAAAAGATGAATTATTTAATTGGGCAGCAGTTATTGTTAAAGGAAAATAAAGTGGAAAAAACTGAAATATTTAGGTACCTATCAAGAAGTGATGAAAGCCAGCTGTGGAAATATTCTGTAAGAGAGTTTCTGTATTACAAAGGAAATAGCTGTACAATGTCAAGAAGGGAACTGGCGAGATGGAAAGCAAGGAAACCCACAACAATAGTCATAGTCACAAAAGCAGTGTCCACATATAAACTCGGCATCTTCTTACTGTGCTGTGGTTTGAAGATTTTGTTTCATCACTGTTATCACCTCACCTCTGTGAGATCAGCAGGTGGAAGCAGAAACCAGCCAGGGGTGGACTGCAAAGAGAATAGAACTAATGATTAGAATAAGTCATGTAAATATCTTTCTTAAGAATTTGATGATGGAGAAATGTAAGGCATTAACCTAGTAAGAAAAGAAGCTGGGTTAGATAAAGAATGGTTGTTTGGATCACTTGTTTTAACTTCTGTAATGTCTTGAGCACACATACGGCCAGAAAAAAAAGCACGAGAGCAGGGGATGGCGGAGGAAGCCAGAATGTGTGGGCACAGATTGAAGGCTGAGACTTGGAAAGGGGTAGAAATGTTGCCTCTGGGATAATAGGAAGTAGATAAAAATAGGTTTAAGCCTAGAAGTCTGATGATGGCAAGGGAGCTAAACTCAGGGAATTTGTACCTAACAATCTTTTCTTAGAGAAGCAACTGGCTAGAAAATCTCTGAAAGTGAAGTGAGAGGAAATACACTGAAAGAAAATGTTGTTAATAAATACCAGTGTTTTGTTTGCTCCTTTGAAAACACTGCTTCACTTTCTGTAATGAGATAATTAAAGTCTTATCTCAAGAAACATGGTTAAATATGACTGCGGAAAACTCAGGCTATAAAAACTCAGGCTTCTAGGCAGAGTCTACCTATAGAAGGACTGATACCCTGCTTACATAGCTTTGTCTGGGGCTCAACAATTGCTTTTGATAACATTTTCTTTAAGAAACTTGGGAGTTAATACTGGGTATTGCATTTATAATTTATTTGGAATAAAATATTCTGGTACTTCATGAATGTCCTTAAAAAATCTAAGAAACAAGAAAATATTAGGGCCTTTCCCTAGTACGAAAAAAAAATGTCAAGCCTAGGAAGGAATTGATGTGTCCTTCCAGCTTTATTAGAAACCCAAACCACTGATTATCAGGTCTGGTGTGTGCTGCTTGGTTGCCCTGAACAAATGAGCCACGGACACAATTATAAAAGAAAGACATCAGACTAGGCAAACTATCATTTCGAAAGAATTAAGACAGCCATATTGTATGTTAATTATCAGCTCATCTACCTCCTCCCTGGTGTCACTTCTCTTCAGAGGCTACTTAATCTCATTGAGACAAGACAGCCTGCCTAATTGATACAGAAAACGAACGCCTTTTGATCTTATATCAAACAAGAGTTAGACTAAGAGATGGATACAGCAGGCAAGATGACTGTCTTCCAAAGGAGAATTAACGCTGCAGGAAGGAAAGTAGGAAAGCAGTAATATCTTACTTCGGAATTCCATAGACCAGGTTTACTTAAATAAGGATTGAAAAGTAATAAGTTCATCCCACTGAATGAATAGGGTTTGTTTGTTCTTAGTGATAAAGCACAAAGAATACTGCAGCTGTGAAATCTTTCAAAATTATCGATTTTCAGATAAGTGTTACATTAGTGATGGAAAGCACAATAGAAGTATAATAAATGTGAGAACACCTGCCTTTTAGCACTTAACTGTAAAGGACAGGGGTTTGTTAACATTAACCTTTACTGCTGCCATATACTGCCCCTACTAAATAATTTTCTAGGAAGAGAAGAAATTTCTTGGAAGAGACTTGTGATTTAAATAGCATTCAGTGTGCTTTGTATAGAAATTATTTAGCTACAGGGGTGAGGAACCGGCTTTGCAATGACCAGAGTATCTGTGAATATACTAGTGTGTCTGTGAAGTTATCAGGCCATTATTTATACATCAAGAAAATCGTAGAAAGGGATGTTCTCTATTCTAATGCAAAAGGTAATTTAATAATTGTATCTGTTACAGTTTACATAGTTAATATAACGGTAGTTCGGAGAACTAGTCCAAGAGTATGATTACATGAGTGAGATTAAATAAATGTTGGTATTCAGGGAGAAAATATTAGGAAGAATACAGTGTTTTCTTTTTAGATACAGATGATTTGAAAAATAACATGCTCTCTAGTTTAGTGGTTCTACCAATTGGATCACAGTCTTGATATATATGAAAAACTTAGGATATCTGATATTTGGAAAAGTATATCCTCCCACAAACTGACATTTTTTAAGGCCGGGAACTATGAAGAAATACTACAAAACACTGCCAGAAAGGAATGAAGGCAGAATAAAATAACACCTTTTTCTTACCAGAGACAATATCTATAATGATGAATAACCAAATCAACAACAATTAATATTGATTTAAATGAGTCTGGTAAAAAAAAATATGGTTGTCTGATTAGAATAGAGTATATGAGTGTCTTCAAAATAAATTCTGGCCCTCTTGGGATTTTTCTTCCAGTAATTCACAAGTCCACACTTTAAACCTTTAAACTACTCACTACCAAATTGTCCATTTCTTTCTTCTCATTTAAAATTTACACTGGTTCTTTGTTCTACCACCTTAAAGGCACCATGGCTGCTGTTTACTGAACTCCTATGAGACCCACTTCCACTTTCTAAATTAATGCAGCACGTGGCTTTTGATTTTCCTCCACACCGTTATTCTTCATCGTGACCTCTGACAACTTCAAAATTCATGCTAGGGACCCATGAGATACCTCAACTATATAATCCCATAATCTTGCTACCTGTAATCCTCCAACCCCACCCAACCTGAGTGATGCACCAGCAAGATCATTCGCTGAATTTAATTATTACCAGTGCTAAGAATATTCATTCTCCACACACAATCACGGTTCTACCACTGTACCTCTCCACCTTCCCATCTCCCTCTTTGTTTTCTGCTCACCAAGTTCGATAAACACTAAAACCCTCATAGTTTAATGCATCCATTAACTTTCTATAAAAAGGAAGGTTCTTCTAGTTTCTTCTTTTCAGCCCTTTTTATCATCCTTTCTAACACCGAGTCTCAGTTCTCATTACCCACCATATCAGTGGGCAAACTTACATCATACACACTCTCTAATTTTTCTGCTTTTGCTGATGAGCATTGCTGGAGAAAACCTGGGACTGCCCTGGCTCACTATAACATACTGATGCTAGCTTCCACTGTGCTGGAAACGCCAACAACAATCCTCTGATTCATTGCTGGGAACATTCTCCCTAACAGCTCTACAATCATTCTTACTCACTTACCCAAAGCCTTTTGTATCTTTTCTATACCATTCATGCAACGACTTTCTGAAGCAATCAACTACAAACTGGTCTCATCTACCCTCCCCTCCTCTTCACCTCAATATACAGATGTCTCTTCACTTAACTCTCTCCATTTCCATATGCCTTAAAGGCACTATTACCACCATTTACCTAACCCCCAATCCTATATTTTTAGCCTTGAGATCTCTCCTGAAGTCCAGTGCCACATTAAAAGTTTCTTATAACATGTCCCAGTGCTTAGTCTAGAGCTGGCACAGGGTTGATACCCAGTAGATATTTATCGAATGAATGAATAAATGAATCTATACCTGAATGTGCTACTTTCAAAACAATTCTAAAAAAAAAGTAGAGTTACTGGAAAAGAAAGAAAAAGAATCATCAAAGAGAAAGAATGTTTTATTTTGGGGTAGAAAGCAGCTTTCTGCTCCTTCTACTCCAGCTGCTACTATTATCTTCAAATCTAGTATTGAAGCATTCCAGCGATTTTTTTTTTAACTGAGGTTTTTAGGGTTGTTTGGAATATGGAATTGGGCATACATAAGATTAATCCAGCTGAAATAAAAACAACCTGATTGGATATGTAATATTTTAAAGGGCAATAGTTAAATACATATTACTTAAATACACAGTATATCTAAAGTTATATCCTTATAAAAGCAGAAGGTGCATAAAACCACCCCCGAACCATTCTGATCATGAGCATTCTTTTTGCTACCTTCGGATTCTTACAGTCTGGTGACTACTGTGCTTTCTACGTTCTTCAAATGTATAGGATGTTTATGATAATGTAAAAAATGGTCACTTACCACATTGTTCTATATGCTTCCCCACATGCTGTTTCTATTATGTATACTATTTTGAATTTCTTATGATCTTGTTTAAAATATGTTTATAAATTTTAAATTCTGTTTTTCTGATTTCTTCATCTATGATTTTTTGCCCCTCAAATGTGGATGAATTCCAGGAAGCCAAGATCTGAGCAGGGGAAGGAGAAGAATGGCAAATAAACATCTTCCAGTGTCGGGTTAGGAAGATATTTGATCTTTCAATGTGTTCAACAAATGGGTTTAATAATGCACATTTAGGTATAAAACAGTTCACAACAGAAATATTTGCTACTCAGCCCATTTATCCTGGGAATTACACAACATGGACCATTTTCAATAATTCTTTCCATTATAATGATTTCCTCCTGCTCAAGCAAGAGAGATGTACAAACCAGTTTTGTCTAGAAATGTAATATGTTGAGATACAAATGGATTGAAGAAAAATTAAAACACAAACATTTTCATCACTTTGGTTTGGTGTTATAGTCTTTTTCAAAGTAATTTAACCTTCCTAAAACTTTCCAACAGAATATAAAGTTGCTTTTTATTCCGAATCTATACAACTGGAAAGGCAGATTTATTTTAAAGGCATAGTAAAGTACTGGTAGACCAAAACAAAAGATGAAGATATATTTTTAGGAGACCTGTTGGTTTCCTTTAATTTTGTAGCTTAAAGATCTTGAAGTGCCTTTTGAACAACAAAAAATAACACTATGTTTAATATAAATTTATATTCACTTGATTTTATAGCCTAATATAATAACCCACGTAGATTCTACAGATACTAACTTTTACTTATTAAAATCATTTAATTATGTAGACTTCTTCAAACATTCTGAATGAATATAAGTATAACATCATTCATTTAACCATTCTTTCATTTATTCAGCAAACAGGTGTAGAATGTGTGGAGTAAATTATGAGTTAATTCTCCAAGGAGTTTTTCAAGTGACAGAAAGAATTAACATATATTTACATTTCACCATAACTTATAATAATAATTGTCACAAAAGAGATGTTATAAAAATGAATAAGACTATAGAGATCTGTGATAATTATTTCATTAGTGTGACAATTCAGTGCATCAAATTGTGTGTTTTACAAGGCTGCCCAAATGAAAATCACACAAAGCACTGCCCTTATTCATGGTTTTAGGCTTTGAATTCTCAGAATTTTTTACCATGTTTGCCTAATTCTTGGGAAGCAAAAATTCAAGGCACATTTACTTACTGAGCATGTATAGTAAGGCACTAAGCTGGGCAGTAGTCATATATATTAAAAATAAATAGAGCATGCATGGTCTCTTCACTTGAGGAATTCCTAATCTAATAGAAGAAAGAAAAAAAAAGTGTTTCCACTGAACATGTCTTTCATTCCTTCCTACATTCTCACCATCATTGGAGTTGAACTTTATTAGGCACCAAAGCAACCGCATTATTTTATCAATGTCCCTTAGGAGCAGCAAGCAAGACAATTGGTTATGGTTGATTTTACAGTTAGCCCGTGATTGTTGATAAGACGAGTCAGTGTTTTCTAAAGAAACAGACATTGCTGGTACAACCCACACATGGGTTAAAAGTGCTGAGATGGCATTTCTGATCAACTTGAACGAGGAGTCTTTGATAAAGAGTCTCTGAGCTCTAAAAGTAGGGGCTGCTTGAAAGAACAAAATTCTATCTAGGAAGTGAGAACTGTGAAAGATTTGCCTATGAGGACTCTTCCTGGTGACATGACAGGTCTTTCTCCTGCAGAATTCTAACTCTGTGAATGAGAGCAGAAACAGCAGAAGGAAGAGAGAAGATAGAGAGCTAATGCAGAACAGACTGTAGTGTATGAGAGAGGATGTATAGAAAAAAGTAAGGAAAGGCAGAACTTATAGGCGGGAGGGAGGGAGAGAAGGAAGAGAAGAAAACGGAAAAAAAGGGTGAACGGAAGGAAGCAAGGGCTCAAAGGGTGTGGTGACTGTAACCCATTGGACTCAGTGCAATGCAGTAAATCCTGTGCCAGGTGCACAGGAACAAGGACAGTAAAACTCTAAGGAGTGACAGCTGTTTTTTCAGAAGGAATATTAGTAATAATCATAGCTAACACATACTTACTATGTACCAACCCTGTAAATGCTTACATGGATTAACTCAATAAATCCTCAGTACATAGCTACTACAGAGGCTGAGGAAGGAGGATTGCTTGAGCCCAGAAGTTCGAGGCTGCAGTGAACTATGATTGCACCACTGCATTCCAGCCTAGGTGACAGAACAAGACCCTGTCAAAAAAAGACAAAAAAAAAAAAACCACAGGGAGTCTTATCAATTATCAACTATCTTATCAACTGAGATAAAGAAACTGAGACTCAGGAAAGTTAAGCAACTTACCCAAGGTCACAAATCTAACAAGTGACAGAGCCTGGATTCAAACCAACATAGTCTGGCCCCAGTATCCCTATTCTTAGGCACTATGCTAAGCCTCTCATCAAGCATGCAAGAAGCTGAAGCGATAAGCTGATGGATTGAGACTTGAATCTGGCCACCTCTGGCTTTCAAACTGTTTCTCTCTCTCTATGAGGAAAGACAAATGTTTTAAACAAAACTCTTATTTGTTACACACACATTCCAGTGTAGGAGATAATTTCAATTAATGGAATATACTTACCCTATAGTCTTAGTAATTTTATATTGAATTTTGTCTTTGGTGTGTGAGACAAATTATCCTTAAGTAATACCTTTAACAATCCCAGCTAAAGGCTGCTAGTAGGAAATTGGTTTAATATAAAATACCTAAATTTAAGAAGATTACACTAAGGTACATATTATAGACAGTTATTCTCAACTAGTAAACTGTAACCCAGCCAAGGACAGGCCAGTTGCAAGCCCAGGTATAAAAGGGGAGTTCATTCATTCATTCAAATATTTATTTAGTGCCCACTATATGCCAAATGCTTGTTTTAGCAATACAAGAGCATATATAGCAAAGTTCTTGCTCTCCTGTAGAAAACATTCTGGTGGGTATGGTGGAGGCTGACACTAAACAAATAAATGAATAACCCTATAGTGTGTCAGATGGTGACAACTGCTGAGAACAAAAAATAAAGTGAAGTTAAGATGGAGAAGGGGAAAGACTGGGGTGAATGCAATTTAGGTAGGGTGGTCAGAGAATGCCCCTCTGGTGACTTTTGAGTGAGCCCTGAAGGAAGTGAGGAAGACAGACCTGTAGGTGAAGAGTTTTCAGCCATAGGGAACAAAGTGCAAAGGCTCAGAGGTGTGATGTGCTTGGTGAGTTCAGGAATGGCAAGGGAGCCAGTCCAGATGCCATAGAGAAAGCAAGAGGGAGAGTGACAAGAAGAATCAGAGTAGTGGTGGAGTAGGGTCAGATTGTGTAAGGACTTACAAACCATGGAAGGGACTTAGATTTTACTCTGAGAGAAATGAAATGTCACTGAAGGGTCTGAATACTGAAGAGGACTGATATGATCTGGCTTTGGTTTTAAAAGGATCACTTTGACTGTTGTGTGCAGAAGGCAGAGGGCCAAGGACAGAAACAGGGTGATCAGCTGGGAGCCTATTGCAACACATGCAACAGACCAGGTGAAAGATGAAGGTGGCTGCACCAGTAGTCGAGCTGTGTCTATAAGGCTAGCAGGATTTGCTGATGGATTGCCTATAGCGTATGCAAAAAAGACAGGAGTCAAACTTGGTTGGTAAATTTTTGACTAAGTGACCAAAGAACGCATTTCTTAATTTACTATGATGAAGAAAAATGCGGGTGAAGGAATTTAGGGAGGTCAGTTTTGGATGTGTAAGTTTGAGATGTCTGTTAGACATTTATGCAGAAACATCCAGTAGGCAGATGGATATACATGTCTGGAATTCAAAGAGGATATCCGAATGGCGATATAAATTTTGGAGTGTCAGTATGCAAATAATACATAAAGTCATGGAACTAGATGAGGTCACCCAGAGTGAGAGTGGAGAGGGGAAGATGAAGTCTGAGCACCAAGCCCCAGAATATAGCAATCTAGAGATCGGGAAGAGGAAGATGTAACCAACAAGGGAGGGAGTAGGAGAGGCTGCGAGGGAGGAGAAGAAGCAAGAGAGTGAAGTCCTGGGAACACTGAAGGCAGCAGTTCAAGAAGGGTGAGCAGGGAAAGTGCATGGGACTTTTCCCTTGATGTCTTTTATTTTCTCAACGAAATAAAAAAGCAAAGGCATCATGACAATGAGGCCAGGAAGAAGGTGCTGGAGATTTGGGAAGATAGGAGAAGAAATGAAATAATCTCTGGAAAGCAGGATAGAGAATTGACTAGGGAAATACAGTAGCATTGCCTACAAGTGGTGTGCTATTAAAGAAAGCTGCTCTTTTAGCAAACACAGAAGAGGGTGGATTGGAGGCCAGGTGCGATAGCTCATGCCTGTAATCCCAGCACTGTGGGAGGCCTAGGTGGGTGGATAGCTTGAGCTCAGGAGTTTGAGACCAGCTTGGGCAACATGGTGATACTCTGTCTCTACAAAAAATACAAAAAAAAAAAAAAAATTAGCCAAGTGTAGTGGTGGCAGGCATGTGGTCCCAGCTACTTGGGAGACTGAGGTGGGAAGATCACTTGAGCCCAGGAGACAGAGGTTGCAGTGAGTGGAGATCATCCCCCTGCACTCCAGCCTGGGTGACAGAGCAAGACTCTGTTTCACAAAAAAAGAAAAAAGAAAAGAAAAGATGGTGGGTGGGTTGGGTGGCTCTGATTTGCAAAATTCAATGTCAGACTTGCTCAGCTTCAGTGTCAGACAGAAGATTTGAAGAAGTTGTGGGGAGGACCCTAACAGAGTTAAGGCCAACCCCATGGGAGCATTGGCCTCTAGTGCCTGGTCAGAACAGGACTGCATTAGATAAAGTATTTTCCAGGGTGGCCTAAACAACTGAATCAGAGAATGCCTGACACTCACTGGCGGTTGAGTAGAAAAGCCAAAGGTGAAGGCTAACAGTGAGAAGAGGCCATAAGTTTGAAAAGAGTTTATTAAGTCAGCAAGTAGGAAGCAGTGTAGGCAGGCAGGGAAAAGGAGTTTGAAACAGGTCGGGTTTGTGGTTAGGGTTGAGGCAATGAATACTAGGAGGCTGATGGAAACCCATTTTTATGTGCACAGCACAGGGGAAGGCTTGATAACTTCAATGGGAGTAAATGAGTTTGTAGAGGAACAATTCAACTGCTGATTGTTAAGTCTTAGAAGAAACCTCCAGATGTCAGGCAGGACCAGGAGGAAAAGCTGGCAATGCAAGACAAAAGAACATTGAGTCAAGAAATGGCAGAAGTCGTCTGTCATGACAGCTAAGAGAGAAGATAATTTTGAGAAAAGATTGAAAACCAGTGTTAGAATTGCAGAGCCTAACAACTAAGAAAACCTGCATCTGAGTGCATCAGTGATGGTGTTGGAAAGAACAATTTCATGAGAGTTGAAGGAGCAAACATCCCTTGAAGGTGAAGGAGGCTGGAAGTGTAAAATGAATGCCCACATCTGGAATGTCCACCCCAGACCTTCCATCGGGTAGGTAGCACTGGCTACATAATCTGCATGGTCCAGTCCAAAATAAAAATGTGGGACACCTAATTCAAAAATTATTAAGATGGCAAAGCAGAAATTATACCAAGTCTAGGAACTGTGCTACACTGAAGGACGCATGAAGCTGGCCCCACAGATAGGAAAGAAGAAAAGTAGAATGTCATGTGGAAACAGCAGTGGGTTTCTCTAGGATGGCAGGTCTGAGTGTTATCTTAAGGCAGAGCTAGGCAAAGGTGAAAAGTTCTCTATTCCCTGTGCCACTAGATATTTTTATTTGTCATCTCAAATTCAAAACCTTCATCAAGTCATCTTCTTTTGCCATCTTTCTTTTATCTCTTGTGAGCTGCACCATTTTTTTTAATACCTCAAACCCAAAACCTAATAAGGAGTTTGGTCCTCTGCTTCAGTTTCATTGTCTGCAAAATGGAGATAATTGGGTTTAAATAGGCAAATTACGTAAAGTGCTTAGAGCTATCCTGGCAGGATTCTTCTCATTATTCTGTTTGTCTTATTAGCCAAATCCTGTCAAATGTTTACTTTGAATTCTTCCTGGTAGACATTCTTTTTTTCCCCTCTTTCCTAGACTATTACCCGGGGTCTTTTCACCACTTATAG
Source organism: Homo sapiens (assembly GCF_000001405.40). NCBI lineage: Eukaryota > Metazoa > Chordata > Mammalia > Primates > Hominidae > Homo > Homo sapiens. The sequence goes on along the minus strand of NC_000007.14, from coordinate 92,844,865 downwards.
GATCCTGAAGATTGGCCTCTCTGACTCCCATGTCCTGCGCCTGCAACTGCCAAGTCATCTTTCTTGTGCAGCTTTTGTCCTATCACTGCTCCAAGAACTACCTTTTCTGCTGGCAGATCTCAAATCAATTGTGTTTTCTGCCTAATAATCAGGTTTAAGCTTCCCTGCCTGGATTTCATGGCTCTTTTTGGCGTAGCATGGACCTGGGTGGGTCAGATTGATTTAGCTTCCTGAGCTTCCCATCCACCATTCTATATGCTCCTGTTGAGGGAAGCCATGATGGTGCAACCCAAAGATGGAGACTGAGGGTGTCAGAACAATAAAAATGAAGACCTTTACCAGCCCTGCCTAAGAGTTCATCCTCAAAGGAGATAACATGGAATCCATTATAACAAAACAGGTAAGTAAGATGTGGCCTAGAAGTGTGTACCAGGTGACTTCTGAGGTGGAAAATTATCTGATGACACCTGTGTTTCTTGTGATATATCTTTCATTCAACCTGTACTTACTGTCTGAGGATGCTGGACTAGGACTCAGATATAAAGAAAGTCCTCAGTCCCTCCCACCTTTGAGTCCATCATCCTTTATAGTCCTGTGCATATAGTCCTATATACATTTTTATAGCCTCTCTTAGTAGGAGTCAGTGGAGAAGAAAAGTACAGGAACTATGTGGTCAAGGTACCAGATGGCCTATGGATAGGGATAAGAAAACTGTAAGAAAAAATGGCTGACAAGGTAACATTTGCATATCGAAGGCTAAGAAGCCAAGGAACTGTGGAAGTATCCATGGGAGGTTAAAAAAAAAAGGTGAGGGGCAAGTGTGGTAGCTCCCCTTGAGTGTTTTTAGGGAGAGAGTGTGCAGTAGGAAATGCAAAGTCATGCTAAGCCAAGAAGATAAGGCAAGTGGTAGGGAAGAGATTGACAAGGTGACTGTATTAGTCCATTTTCACATTACTACAAAGATACTACCCAAGACTGGACAGTTTATAAACAAAGGAATTTAATTGGCTCACAGTTCTGCATGGCTGGGGAGGCCTCAGGAAACTTACAATTACGGCGGAAGGGGAAAGAGGCACCTTCTTCGCAAGGCAGCAGGAGAGAGAGCAAGCAAGAGCGGGGAAAATTGCCTTATAAAACCATCAAAGCTCATGAGAACTCACTGTCACAAGAACAGCATGGGGGAAACCACCCCCAAGACCCAATCACCTCCCTCCCTTGACACATGGGGATTACAATTTAAGATTTGGGTGGGGACACAGAGCCAAACCATATCAGCGACAAACAGGGGGACACTCAGCACTTCAACAGAAATGGGAGGGGACATAGTGACTATGGAAGAGTAACCAATGAGGGACCTTTTGCAGTTAGGCAGCAAATTATGGGGTTTTAAAGACAAATGCCAGCAAATATATGGGGTATAGATTTAAGGGACATAATGGGGTGGTCCTTGGGCCACACCAAAGCAGTAAGAAAAGGAAAAACAGAACTACATGGAACGAAAAGGGTAAGAAAAACAGCAAGGAACAGACTAAGGAGATTCAGCAGTACTGGGATAAGATCTGAACAAGAAGGAGAGGTCTCCAATGAGAAAATCCACCCTCTCCTCCATTCCTCACATACCTAGAGTCAGCTGTGGTTTTTGTCAAGGCCCAAGATAATCTTGGGTATGTTGTTTCTTGGGTTGCTTTTCCTGCAATGAGTGGATGTTTCATTCCAGTTAAGAAGAAAGACATGTCCATTAAAGGATTAGTTATCCCCCGAAAGAGAAAAAAAAAGGAAAATATGATTTTGTGAAAGGGATATTGACTGTACACAAATATTTATTAAATGGCCATTAAATCCAAAATGCATATAGCAAGCACTTATTTAATTCTCACACCAGCCTAATGTGGCAGATTATAGTATCCCTACTTTATTGATAAGGGAAATTGGTGATCTGAAAGCTTAAGAACCTAGCCCAAGGTTACACAATAAAGCCAGACTTTCAATCCATGACTATCTCGTCCTACCTACCTATATTTCCCTTCCCTGAACATCTAGAGAGGACCTTCAAACAATGCACATGGTCTGATGCAGTGGAAAATAAGAACGCAGAGAGAACAGCTGTTCCTCTACTCACGTTTTAATAACGGCTTTTAATCAATAGCTCCAGAAATATGCTGGAACCTCTCAAATTCACAGTATATTGCCTTTGACCCTCCCACCCCCACCTTCCCACTTTCTCACTGGAGTCCAACTGGCACTGATGTTTTTAATAGTTTACAAATAAGCTTCATGACACCTTTGAAGAATTTCTGTGATAACCCAAGATTTCTAATCTTGGATATCCTGGTTCTATGTATACTATTGTAATTTATTTATCACATTTTTGTTAATGAGGGCTGATTAATTTATCACTTTTAGCTTTGGCCAAATAATCAAGCCTAGCTGCTCCTTCCCCATCTCTAATGAAAACACTAGTGAATTTCCCTAATGTTTTTCTAGAAGTCGTCATTTCTATTCAGTCTTAAAAACCTACAGGGTTAAGTTAGAGATAACTCAATATAATTCACATTTGAAATCCAGAAACCTCTCTAGGTTGCAGACATCAGAGTCATATCCTCTGATATTACTCTTGTTTAGGGGGTTTATAAAAACAGATCTATAATGATGGCACCTGGCATATCACGCTGCTCAGAACTACAGCATTTTCAAGCTGCAGCAGCTACAGAAATCATCCAGTCCAATCATCTCATTTATTGATGAGGACCTTAAAGCCCAGGGGTTTAGTGTGTTGCCCAAGGTCATACAGGTAGTCTGTGGCCAACTCCAGTTTAAATTTCAGGTCTTTCAATACCCAGAACAGCAACCTCCATTATATCTCCATATCTTCTCTTGTGAAGATAAAATTATTTGTTGTCTCTCTCCAGACTATTTTATAATATCTTTCTGAATGATTAGAAAACCCGTTTAATAGGCATAGACACTGAAGGTCAGAAGAATTAAATGACTGGTCACCGAAGATGCAATGAATAGTAAGTACCGAGAGAGGAAGAACTGGGAATGAAAACACAAGTCTTCTGACTTAGAAATCAAGGATTTTATCTTTTAGGACACAGTCACATAGATATTAAGGATATTGGCAAATAAAATTAGCAATCTTTCCAAACTCTGGGCTATATAGTATCTAGTTTACCTCAAAGTCTGGTACTTGCTCTTTTAAAATAAAATTTATTTAATTGGAATTTTGAGGAAACAGAGACATTTATCTAAACACACTTTCTTTCAGCCAAGATTTCAGGAATTTGTCTTTCAAACAAATGTAGAAATGTACCTAAACACATTTTCTTTCAGACAAAAATGTTTCAAATGACTAATATCGGCAACACAAGAAAAAACACACCAAATTTACCCCAAGTAGCAGGATGACCTGGCTCTTTCCTGTTTAAGCAACATGGAACACTGGTCCTCAACTTTCAAATGTTATTCTAGTTATGTCACGGTGTACCAGTCTGTTCTGTGGCCGCTTGACTCAGTAACACTCCTAGAAGGGGACAAGAACTATTACTGCATTTATTGACCACTTACTAGGGCCAGAGGACACAACAAGGAGTTGGAGGATTGCTAAAGGGATAAGCATGCTGGATGCTCTGGGGAGGACTCAGGGTGGCTTAGTAAGGTAGAAAGCAAATTGCCTCAAGGAGTTAGAGCAAAGGGGGATGTCTTCCAGCTGAGGGAATCTCAAAGGTTTTATGGAAGAGCTGAGCGTGCAAGGATGATAGGACTTAGAGAAGAGGGCTAACAAGGAAAAGAGCTGTAGGTAGAGAAAACACATTTCTGAGGTCCTGAAATCAGCACGTAGATCCTTAAACTTTATTAAGCAGTTCCAAAGAAGAGGGTCTAAAGGATGCAAAGTCAACTTTTCTGTTGACATACAATTATTGGACATAAAATGCTTGCCAGTTACTGTGCTAGGTACCGGGGATGCAAAGATATGAGTAATTTTGAACAAATTTATAACAAGGTTTAGAAATCAAACTATCGCTTCAATTTATGGAAAATGTTTGATCCACAGAAATATGCTATGATATATTTTCTTCTAGGCATTCAAAGAATTCTGCAAAGAATTCCATTCTATGTTATTTTCGGGAAAAATCCAGAATAAGACAACATAAAATAGATTTACATGTGAATATGGAGTCATACAGTATACAACCTCATTTAATAAGACAGATTTAATTGCATAATAGGATAGACACAGAAGGCCATTCATCCTGAAAGAATCGGGTTGCCTGGCTACGCCATACCTATAAGCACTGAGGCTGCATCTCTCAGCCCCACGACCTCAGCATGTGCTTCCTTCACTTGTCCCTGATGCCAGGCCATTCATAGAAGTTTCTCCCCGGGTGCCTTCTTTGTCCCTCCTCCTACCTCTGAGATCCCACTTTATCATCGTTCACTCCCACTGTGTTATACCTCCACTGCTGCAACTGAATGGTCTATCTAAAGCATGTAAACACCTTTTAGCTCAACCAAAACCAGCTATGGTAACACAATTTTTAGGCCATGTGTGCAGCTGAGATGCAAGTATTATCTCAGAAAAGAAATGTTAGAAACCAGTGAAAATTACAGGTCACTGTAAATAGAAAGAAAATATAGGTATTTTAACGTGATTATCACCATCTTTTGTAAGTATATTTCCATAGTTATTTTTCTGATTACTCAGAATTCTAATATAGATGATGAAAGAATCTTAAGAACATGTTTCAAACATGTCATAACAATATGCCAAGAACATACAGGTATTCACACACACACACACACAAAGGAAAAAGAAGATATGGGTGTCTATCAAAAGGGAAAAATTAAAAAAGATGATGGCAATTATACAAATATGAACATAGTACTGACATGTTGCACAAAGAAAATTATAGAGTAGTAGAACCAATGGAAGCAGCATGTTCCAAAAGACAGTAATGTTTGTTTTTTCCTCCTTAAATGTTATAAGCTACTACTTTATATCTATTTTTTCCCTCATGGCAGATATCAAAATCATTTCAAGTTTCACTGCTCAAATGCAGTGCAATAGATCACATGCAACAGTAAAAACAGAAAAACCCAGGTCATTTCCAAATTGACAGAAAGAATTTATTTAGAAGACTGAACTTTAAAAATCATTTAAAGCTCAGAATTTTACAATGCAAAAAGTTGATAATACAATTGACTTTTCCTAAGCTATTTAGCAAACTTTCGGTAATATAGTTCAGGGGAAAACCCAAGAAAATATCTTGGAAATGTCTGAGAAGGGAAAGAAGAATGCATTAAAATGTACTGCATTTATATTATGCTATTTCTGTTAAAATTATAGTTTCTCATGATTATTACTCAATAAAGATAACATGTACACAAACACATAAATCAGGTTAAAAAGTAGGGTAACTTGTTTCAAGGTTAAACTAGAAGTGTATTTTAAAATAATTGTGTAGTACATTATAGCAAAATCTCATTTCTGAGTTTCTGGAAAATATATTTTATAAACTCAAATAGCCAATATAAATCAGAAATGAATTAGATTTAGGTGTACATTATATAATTATTATTTGTAACTAAATTACACATTTCCTTAACAAGTTAAAAATTATAGACCAAAATTTAAAATTTTATGTTTATTTTAGTGAAAACAAAATTGTACAGGTATTTGATATATAAATGTTCACACATGAAATACATTCCTTGTGTGACATTAAGAAGTCTTTCAGTGTAAGTTACACCACCATATTTGGAAATAAGTCCATGAAATGTAATTTTTAAATACCTGTAAGATGATTTGCAACTTTAGAATATCTGGTATGTAGTGTGAAAATACTGGTTGGAGTCATTATTCTTGAGTTCTATATATTAATTCTCAGAAGACTCCTAAACAAAGAAGTTGGAATTTGGTTCACAGTTTAAAAAGTTTGAACATATTTTCTTATGATAACCTGTTACCCACAGCAGAAGTTATCCATAAACAAAAATAATCTGGTATTTACTAATTTTATACAATCAATTGTAAAACTGCCTTGGGTCTGAAGCTTTCACCAACTGGGACTTAATGTGAACCATAAGCAGGAAGAGTGAACAATGATAAATTAACATAAAAGATAGCAGTATCAGGAAAAGAAGAGGACAGAGAGTTAACACTCAGTACTAACATATATAATTAAATAAAGTTTCATTGTTTTTTACATTGTCCAAATGATCTAGTAACCTAAATCATGGAATTTCTGATCTAGCAATGGTTGTTGTCAAATTCAGTAACTAAAAATTCAACCCAGTGTAGAAAAGACACTTCTCTGTTAATTTAATATTTGTAGCTTACTATTTTTTTAATAAATGATTTATTCAAATAAATTCTAGCCATGATGTGCTGCTTCCTATTTGCTGGCAATTATTTCTGGATTATATAAACATGTTAATTACCAGCAAGTAAATCTTGTTTTAAAAGGCAAATGATAAGTGTGAACAATTATCAAAATGGAGGATTCCCACTTGTGTCTCTGGCTTAAAGTCTAATTAGTGACTTGTAGTGATCCAATATTTTTATGTAAATATAAAATCTAATGATTTGCCTTCTTAAATTTATAAGGTATATGAGATTATAGATAGCTTTATAAATACAAATTTTGTTCAGAAAACTGGATCTTATTTTAGAAGACATGCTCTTAACACAAATGTATTTTATGAATTATCTTAAGCTTAAAGACATACAATTATTCACTTTTATTTTTAAAGAAAAAAGTATTATAATGCATTGCAAAATATGTGCTACTGAAAATGCATCAATTTTTATTTCCCTAGCCTTACCTCACACTATAACATAGAATCAGTTTTATAAAGGCAAAAATTTGATTTACTGTGAGATTAGTAACATGGTTTTAAAGTCAAAAGATTTATAGAAGTAGTATTTCCAATTCAAACAGAATTTTGCCAGGTTTTAATTTTTCTACAAAGCACTTAAGTAAATAATTTTGTGAAAAGTTTTGCTTTAAGATGTTTTAAAGGGTTTCAAGTATTCTACAGATAGAGATTTTGGGGAGAACACCAAATTCTTTCCAAAAAGACAGCTATTTCAAGTTTTCTTTTACTCCATTGTAGAAAGTTTTAAAGACTTTTTTTTCTCCAAAATCTAATTTTCACCTGAAATAATTGTATTCAAGGGTTTCTCAGCAGGTAAAGTATACATTCTTACAAGGTTTCAAATTTCAGATTTCCAATAATGCATTTAAACTGAGCACTCCTCTTTTTGTGTATGTATCTACTATCTGCAGTTCTATTATTTACACTAAATTTTAGTCTTTTTAGCTCCTCTGAAATACGTTAGTGAACCCTCAGCAGTTACTAACCACTTAATAATTGTGAGCCCGCCAGCCCCTTCAAGTAGATCGTTAACCATAAGAGTGCCTGACAATTTCCAAACCATATCCTCTGTCTAAAAGGAAAAGATAGGGCTTTGTGAGGCAGAAAGGAAGCGAAGGAAAACAAAACAAATGTAGCTCATGCTGAAAGTGAAAAGTGCTTGGATAGATTAGTATTTTCTTTTCTGCAAGGCATCCTGCCAAACTTTTTCTTTATTTTTTTAAGAGAAGAGTTATTTTTTGGTCTGATTTTTCAGTTTCTTGGAAAGTATTGGTATTTACCACCCCCATTGGCCGCTCATAATTATTGTTGGTTGTTTTGTGTTTTTCCCATCCGTCCACGTCACACAGTGAGGATGCCCCCCGCTTCACCCTGTCAAAACCCCAACTCTGGGCGACCCTGGGTTTGGAAACTCCGCCGACTCCCGACGACACGTCCCACTCTCTCCCACTAATGCCGCTTATTTTAGTCGCAGGATCCCCCTACTACAGTTTCAGCGAAAGCCGGAAATTTTCATTTAACTCTCCCCCCCACCCCCACCCCCACCGCGCCCTTCTAGCCCCCGACTCGTAGAAGGGAGCTAGGGAGCCCGGAGCTCGGAGCACTGCCGGGACTCGGCCGCCTCATTTCTCTCCGGAAGGCTTTAATTTGCACACTTTCTTGCCACTGCGCCACGAGCCCCCAGCCCCGCCGGGGGGTGGGTCTCCGGCAGAGTTGGCTTCGCGGGTCCCTGCCCCCACCCCGCACGGTCGCCCCAGCTGCCTCCCCGGCTGGGGCCCCCAGCGCCGGCCGGAGCCCAGCGGCCCCCGTCCGCCCCCAGCGAGCGGCGCGGGCGGCGCCCTCCGCCGTCCCTCCGCCCTCCGCCGCTGTGCCCACCCCCTCGCCGGAGAGAGTGCTGGTAACTCCTTCCCCAGAGTCTGATTACCTGCTCCGCGAGGCCGCGGACACGTGCGGAGAGCCGACTGACACTCGCAGCCCCCTCGGGAGGCCCGACGCGACTGGGCCCCTCAGGTGAGGAGCTGTGCGCTCGGGTGGGTGGGCTGCGGGGTGGGGGGTCCCGGGGGAGATCTGGGGGATTGGCCGGGGTCCGAGGCAGAACTGTGGGTGGGGTAAGTGGAGGGTGGCGGGGGGTGGGGGGGACCTGTGTTTCCTTGGAATCGGCTTTGGTTAACCCCTTACGAACTGAGACGGGATTGGTTATGGGGGCCAGTTTTGGGGAGCTAGAGGATTCTCCTTATCTGATGAGAGGGGGAGATCCCAGCCTAGGGACACCCGCGACACCGAGATCCTGCTTCCACGTATCCGTACGCACACACACCCACACGGAACACGCCTCATACAGTTTCTCCAAACGGAACTGGAACTCTACTCGGACACTCACATAATAATTCACATTTAGGGTTTAAAATGCACTGCCTCTAGGGACTCCATGCTGGAGAATGTGCTTGCATTTCCCCCTCGAAAACTCCCTCTCCAGCTCGCTGAGGTGTGGGTGTGGGCTCCACCTTCCCCTCCACGAGATAAATGTTAACGCAGGCTTCCTGCGGGCGTGTTATACACAGAAAAGTGCACGCAGCCGGCCAGTGCCCAGGCTTGGAGCCCCGCGAAGACGCACGTTTGCTGTAGTTTCCAAGTTTACTTTTATAATTTAAAATATTGGAGTTAAACACACGCCCCGCAGTGAGCAGCCCTGGTCCCCGCAGCGCGCCCGTCCGTGTGCATATGGGCGCATCTGCGTGTGCGCACACGCGGGAGTCGCGGTCCCCGGTGTGGCCTCTTGTCGCTGTGCTGGTGGCGACCCTTGTGGTGCTTGGCAGGCTTCGGGAGAGGCGCATGAAGGATTTCATTGAGTGTGAAGACAGAGAGCAGAGACAGAAAGCAGAAGGAGGCGGCTGCAGCCTTTGTAGTCGCGGAGGAATGCGGAAATGTTGAAGCACTATGTCAAACTTTTTTTGAAATGGGGTCAAGTCACATTCAGCCAGCGTGGGAAAGCAACAACAACAACAAAAAAAAGTGGAGGAGAGGGGGGGAAAAGGCATTGCTGCTCCCGTTTCTCTCCGCCGAAGCCGACCGTCTGGGGGGCGAGTGGGGGGAGAGCCAGGGCAGTGCGGGGCCCGGCGGGGGCAGCAGGCGCAGTTCCCTGCGGGGGTGGGACGTCCCCGACGCTTCCTTCGCTGCGGAGCCCGGGGCTAGACTCGAGCGGGAGGGGGTTGGGGGGATGCAGGACAGGCGGGTTGGGCGGCCGGCGGCGGCTCCCCGGCTACCTGTGTGGCCCTCGACCTGGCTCAGACCCCCGGGCAGTCCCTGGGGGCTCTTTCCTCGGCTTTTAAGGAAAGTTCTGAATGTAGTGAGTGCCAGAAGCTCTGCTCTCGCCGCGGTCCGCTCCACCCGCTCATCGTGGGGGTCGCGCCGTTTGTTTAATTCCTGGCAAAAGGCGAGCGGGCCAGCGGTTGCGAGGCAGGTAATTCCGAGGTGCCCCGGGAATTCCGGACATGCGGCCGTCGTGGTGAAAGTCCTGCCGAGGCCGCGGCGGCCCTGGAGGAGGGAGGCCCCCTAGGTCCCAGATAGCTGCTGAATGGGGAGGGAAAGTTAGGGTACCCTACTCTGGCGCTTTGTTGTGCAGAGGGCTCCGGGGGCGTCCGGCTGCAGACTGGACCGGGCCTTTAGCCGGAGGGGGAATGGGGCAGCCACCTCTGCTACCTACAGCGGGGAGGTCCTGGGAATGGGAAAAGGTTCGCGAGTCCGGGCCCCGAGGACAGAGACCTTCTCTCTCACCCCTGGAGGCGCAGGATTTAACCCCCCACCCCCCACCCTTTGAAAGGGAGGTTGAGTTTTGCTCAGGTCGAAATCAGTTTAAAACTTAAGGACGAGGCGCGATTATGCTATCCCCTTCCTGAAGTTATTCTTTAAGGAGACGACAAGCGAAATTGTGGCGAACACCCCTTTCTCCCACCCTTGGGATCCCGTGGGGGACGGTGTCTCCCCTCCCCCAGGACCGCTCGCTCGCCCACCCCCGATAAGCCCCAACCCTCCCCGACCAGATGGCTGGTCTTCCCAAGGTTTCCACCAGGGAGGTCCTCCCAGCCGGAGAGAGAATTCCGTTTCCAACCGAGACTCCTTTACCCCAAAAAGACCATTTGTGTATGCGAGTCGTTTTTAAATGTCTCCTCGTAGAAAAACTGAAAGTAGAAAGAAAGGAAGCAATTTCTGAGCAGATGTCTGACCACCCCTTCTCGCACACTCCCAGCATCGGGTTACAGGGTCCTGGGAGCCCCCACCCACATTCTGCGGCCCCACACGGATGGACCCACAGTCCTTCCGCTCCAGCTTGTGCGCGACCCCTGAACGCCCTCCGGCACCCCTGGACCCCGTCTCCCTGCACGTCCGGGCCTCAGGAGGCGGGGAGGGTAGCGGCGCAACACAATGATATAGGGATAAATATTAAGCCGTGACATTGACGTGCCCGGCGCCTCCCCTCCCCCGCGCTCCCGGCACACTCTGGGCTGCTCGGCACGCCCCCTCCCGTTCCACTGCGTCCCGCGCCGCTCGCTCATCCCCGAGGGGCCCCTGCAACCTCTCCGCGCGAAGACGGCTTCAGCCCTGCAGGGAAAGAAAAGTAACTTCGCTTTTCTCGGAGGAACCAGGAAGGATTAAGCGGCTTGGGAGAGGGCAGGAGCGCGCGGAGGGTAGCGATGGAGGCTTCGTAAAGGAGGAGGAGGGGAGTCTGGAGGAACCCCGAGGAAGGCTTCTGGGCTGTCTGATTGCACTTTCTTCTTATCCTCCCGTCTCCTCCTTTAGGTGCAATGATTCTGGACTGAGACGCGCTTGGGCAGAGGCTATGTAATCGTGTCTGTGTTGAGGACTTCGCTTCGAGGAGGGAAGAGGAGGGATCGGCTCGCTCCTCCGGCGGCGGCGGCGGCGGCGACTCTGCAGGCGGAGTTTCGCGGCGGCGGCACCAGGGTTACGCCAGCCCCGCGGGGAGGTCTCTCCATCCAGCTTCTGCAGCGGCGAAAGCCCCAGCGCCCGAGCGCCTGAGCCGGCGGGGAGCAAGTAAAGCTAGACCGATCTCCGGGGAGCCCCGGAGTAGGCGAGCGGCGGCCGCCAGCTAGTTGAGCGCACCCCCCGCCCGCCCCAGCGGCGCCGCGGCGGGCGGCGTCCAGGCGGCATGGAGAAGGACGGCCTGTGCCGCGCTGACCAGCAGTACGAATGCGTGGCGGAGATCGGGGAGGGCGCCTATGGGAAGGTGTTCAAGGCCCGCGACTTGAAGAACGGAGGCCGTTTCGTGGCGTTGAAGCGCGTGCGGGTGCAGACCGGCGAGGAGGGCATGCCGCTCTCCACCATCCGCGAGGTGGCGGTGCTGAGGCACCTGGAGACCTTCGAGCACCCCAACGTGGTCAGGTGAGCCAGGGAGCTGCGCCCTCGCCATCTGGGGCCTCGCGCGCGCGGGGAGGGCCGAGCCGGGAATCCTCAGGCCCAGAAAGGTGCGGGGCAGAGGGCGACTGGGGAGGTCCTGCGCGACCTGTTGGTCTTACAGAGTGAGAGTTAAGTTTTGTCGACAGAGCCGCGAGCCAGAGCCGGTGACCTTGCCAGACAGCGAGCCGAAAGACAAGTCAAAAAAACATGACCTGAGCAGGCTTCCCTGCAGCTGTGCAACTTAGAAGCGTTTTCTCCCTGCCCACCCTGAAGGAGGGTCTGGGGGAAGTGGGTGCGTTTTAGGGACAGGATAAGCCAACCTGAGACATGCCCCGCTAGCCCCCGCATATTTTTCGTGGCCATGCCGTTGGGGAATTTTTGAAAGACAGAGTAGGTGAGACTGGAGAATGAGGATGCCGTGTGATAATCAGTGGGAACTTTATGGGTGGAGCCAAGTGTAAATCAGGTTAACAAGATGCAGAAACATCATAATATTTTTGCCAGTCATACTCTCAGTTTCTCTTTATTAAAGTTGCGTAGTAAGAATGACTCCTGGTGGTCTAAGGAGTTTGAGTGCTGATGCCCAATCTCAAACAGCGTCATAAAAATTTCTTCCAAAACTGTTATCCCTGTGTCTGTTTTACTTTATATCTCTGGGCGGACATACTCTTTAGACTAATTCTCCAAAGGGTTAAATGTGAGTCCAAGATGTGGTATGGTTAGATCATAAATGTTCTGCCCATGCTTTTCCCAGATGGATTGTGCGAGTGGGTGGGGAGACAGCAGTTCTTACTCTCTCCTGTGTGGTAACCAGTATTAAATGAAAATGTGTGACTTAGGATAATGGTGTTTTCTTAGTGATCCTGGAATTTCCCCATTGTGTGGTTGACATTGTTTGGTTGTGTCATCCTTTTCTTTTTTAAACAGAGATGCATAGCTTTACATTGAAAAGGAATGCCTAGAAACTTCTGCAAATTGGGTTGTGATTTTACCTTTCTCGATCTTGAGAAAATGTGTAGCAGAAATATCTTTTTTCTCATCCATTTAGGGCTTCTGTTCAACAAATACATGCCTACTGTGTGCGCTGAGGATGAAATGATGTAAATAAGCACAGCTAAATATTTTTGTAAAAAGTCAAACAATTTAACATTAGTCATCAAAGTGGAGAGACCCAAGACTGACCTTTGAAATACCAAACTCTCTACAGACTCAGAGAGACCAAATATCTACAGAATCTTCTTGGGAGGTTTTAACTTGTCTCCTCTTATCCCAGGCTGGTGATTTGTGCGGTGCTTTGTTCCCAACGCAGTTTAGACTCAAGCTAGAAGGCATCAAAGAATCATAAATATATAAATAAGGCAGTAAATGGTTATAAAGTTAAGACCGCATTATACCTCGGCCTAGCTAGTGAAGGAGAATGAGTGTTTTAGAAGATGAGATTATATATAAAAACCTATAGATGACTTTTTTTCATGTGTATTTTATTTGTTAAAAACAACAAAATCCGTTTTTGGGGCTCTTTGTGATATTGGAGGGAAAAGGGGAGGGTATATTTAGCCCCCTGTAACTCAGCTGTCGTCCTAGGGGAATCACCTAATACATCCCGAAGGATGAATTCCACCACTACAATTTTAAGACGGAAGTTCTTGTTTTATTTTGTCTGTTACCTATGGAGTATCCAGTTAAGGGTGCTTATCATGTATATGAATGAATAGTGTCCTTCCAAACGTAGAGGTACTACAGAGGCACCCCTGTATAACACTATTGTTTACAAAGCTTACGCCATTCTTATACCAGAGGCACACTTTCTGCCATTGTGCTTGTAGATTTTGTCTGATCCATCCTATTCTCTTGATTTATCCTCCTGAGATTGATGTGTTTCTAGACGTTTCTAACTGACCCATGACTTGGATTCTGTACTGTGAATTTCAGGAGGATATTCTTATGAACTGAAGACAAAGGCATTGTTTTCTAAAATTATTTTTACGTGTTAAGGTGATGATGGCACCTACCTGTTAAAGTCGTGAGAATAAAATGAGATGGCGTATGTGAAAGCACTTTGTAAATTTGAAAGTACTTCAGATATCTAAAGGATTGTTTGCGTTTCAGCAGATTGATGGTCTCTTGCCATGGAGCAGCTTCACAGGGAGGGGTCAATTCACCTGACCTTTTTTGTAGAACAAATCATATTCAAACCCAGACATTACAGGCTCTGGAACCAAGAAGATCCTTGAGGATAATTAGCCTGTAAGATGTCAGAAAAGACTCTCAGTCACGAGCCATGAAATTCAGTGATACTTGAGGAAATTATTGATGATGTCACCCTCATGAGCTACAGATCTTCATTCCCTTTTTGTTTCCTTCCTGTTTCTTCTCTTCTGCCTCTGCCTTGAAACAACCATTGGTCCCCATGACTTGCTTGGCCAGACTAAGAATTCTGGATTTTAGAGGCTGCGAATATTTGCTCAGACAGGGTCAGGAAATAAGGACAGTTGACAGCAATTCTTTTCTTTCCAAGGGAGAGTTGTCAAAGTTGGGTCCCCAAACCTGTGATTTACTATTGCCCCTGGGATTAGTTTTACAGTCTTAAGCCTGGTTCTTTAATGGTTTCTTAAAAGGGCAGATGCTTTTATAAGTACCTTCAAGTCATAAGTAATTGATCATAATTATAGGCCCTCCCCCACAGATAGTTAAGCCTCTAAGCTAACAGGAGCATAATAAACATATTAGTTTTTTCAAAAGTTTAAGATTTAATTTTGATGGATTTGCCAGAAAAGCTGACTTGTTATTGCTGGCACTGGTACTGCCTGCATGCACAGGGATAATGACTTGAAATTCTTGCTTACCTGCATTTGATGTATCCCAGGCCCTCGCCTGATCAGCCAGTGAGTGTCTGGGAAGTAAATTTACTCTTTTTTTACATTTGGTAATCCCAAATCCTGGAACCTTTGCCAGAATAGGACTTCACTGTGAACCTGTATTGGAGTTTCTGCACTGCACAAATGGATCCTGTTTGAACAGCCTGAACTAAAAACAATAGAGATAAAATTATAGCATGTTTTGTCAGCAGTCTGTTCATTCACCAAATATTTACTGAGGGTCCACTATGTGCCAGACTCTTCTAGAAGGTGGGGATATAGCAATGAACAAGCCTGGAAAAGTCTCCGCACTTGTAGAACTTGCCTTGTAATGAGATGAGCAGTTCTTTCTTCTCTTTAAAAATTTACTCATCTTTGTTTTAATTGCCTTGTTTTGTTATACTTAACCTAACCAGTTTTATAGAACAACTGATATTTCTGATAATTCGGTTACCAGGAATTTCCTGATTGAGTAGGCAACATAACCAAAAGGCTAATCAGAATCAAGTGCTTTTTGAAGATTAAATTTTACCTCCCTAACATAGGGATTGATCTATATGAGATACTGACACATAGCTAATATAAGTGAACATTTGAGCTCCATTTATTCAAAAAGGATTTAGGAAGGGCATATGCTTTAAAAACCATGGGGCTAGGTGCTGGGAAAGATACCAGGGTAAATCATACCTAGCTACTCTCCTGAAGCAGTTCTTCCCATGTTTGAAGGAATAAGATGATCACCATAACCCTGATACATGATAGGATCATGTGCTGTAAGAAAGATACAAGCCAGTGCTTACCTGTATTGTTTCTAGGGATTATATTTATTAGTGTAACAGTAAAAGCAATTCAAATTCAAGTATTGGCTCTGGAAACTAAAAGTCATTACATATCAGTGAATAAACTTGTGATGTTTAAATATTATAATTAGAATAGTCACTGCTTTAAAAACAAAACAAAAAACCCAAAGAAAAGGCTGTAAAGCTTAATGATTATTCAAGGAGAGTTTTCTAATTTTCTCTCTTTTTTAAAGATCTTAGTAATATATTGCATAAAAGGTGAGTAAAAATGTGATTTTCTCTGGAAAACCTAATTGTTAACAGGGTAAAAGAAACATGACATATTTGACTCTGTAAAGCCAGGTCTTCAATTGGATTAGTTCATGAGAATCCTTCTGAATAAAATTGCTATTTGTGTGGTTGAATAATACATTTACTAGGGCTTTTTTCAATAAAAGCAGGAAAAGCAGGAGTTTAATTCTCCTTTTAAATATCAGTATGTTAAAAGTATGTTTGTTCTTTCTGTCTCTGAGAGTTCCTTGAAAAGTTTCTGATTTTTCAAGGTTGTTTAGTAAATAAACATTTTCACAATGGTATTCTGCTCATTTTTTGTTCCTACAGAAGAACTTGATAATGCTGAATTTTTGACATTGCAGTTATATCCCTTTTATACAACCACTATCAACATAGAATTATTAGAATCTCTCTATGGAATCAAGGACAAAAAAGGTCTATAAGAGGAAAACTTGTATAAACTTGAATATCTTTGAGGATATTTTCCTATGTTTAAGACATGGGTAAATGAATATCTATGCAAATAGGTTCCTATTAAAAATAAATTATTTCTTTTTTAAAAAAACAAATGTCTCACTATTAATGATTTCTTAGGAAAGTTTTTTAAGAAGGAAACACAGCATACATGCAGCCTATCATTGTAAAACCATGGATATTAGGGTTGGAAGACACTCTGGAGGTCAAGCTACTTGTCTGTCATGCCATTTTAAAGTTATTGACTTGTTCTTAAAACTAAGTAGCAATTTTTGTTTGTTTGTTTGATGGAAGCAGTTAAATCGGGTGAGTACATTTCTAGTTTGGAAAAAATGAACTGTATGTAGACAAAAGTGACAGTTTGCCAGGAATGAATGACATAACGATAAATGAATAAAAATTCAGTAAATTCCTGAATTCTGCAGTATGCCATACTGAAGTATATCTCTACAAGAGTATTATTCCAGTAAATTCTTCTTTTAAGGAAGTTGTGCTATAATTATGATAATTTAAATTAATTATAATAATTTAAAATAGCTATAGTTAAATGATGATACAGGTAAATTATGCAGGTAATTCATTAATAATATTGAATTCATTTTAGACAAAGAGGAGTAGGAAAAATTGAAACACTTAGTACTTGTCTGATGAATGAAATATTACATAATGTGGCTCTGGCACATTATGTAACATTCTGGTTAATGAAATAAAAACATCATAATACTTAAAAATTAGATGGCATAATAACCATCAGACACATAAGCAAATATGTGTTTTCCATGCCTTCTGAGGAACTAATCACACTATTGTTCTTTCTCATGAGGTTCAGATGAGTTGCTCTGTCTTCATAGGAAGTAAATTAATTGTGAGCTTCTTGATGTAACAGAACACAGCAGAGATGAAATCTGGGTGTCAGTGAATTGTTAACAGGAGAAGTTAGTGTGTATGATGTTGGGCTTTGTCCAAGATCCAGGAGGCAGCACTGAAAACGCACCGGTGGTTGATAACAAGCATACTTACATGAAGGTCACTATTTGAGTGATGATCCATAGATGCTAGGTTTGGTGGAGCAGGCAGGCCAGCAATCAGAGAGATTTTTCCAAGAGCTGCTGGGTAGTTTTCTTGAATATCACCAGTTTGCTGCCATACCTGATTTTTATTTTACCAGCTGCACATGTAGCTGCTCTTGCCTGAGAGGTGAACCGGAGGGACTGCAAGGCATGTGGCAGGAATCTATGCAAGTGTACAGTTGTAGTCTGGAAGTCCATTTGAGTCAGGATTATTATTAAACATTTTTGACCATCTCCTTTGTCTATAGTAGTTTGCCGAAATTTGGATATCTACTGGCTTTGTAATTTAAGTAGCCACTTAAATTATTCCTATTCTCTGGCCTTCCTAAAGGATTTAGTTCAGTAGAATTAGAATCACAGCATAAGGATTTTTTTAATTGGAAGAAGTCTTAGATTTAACCTAGTGCAACCCCCTTTGATCTGTTTTATAATAATAAAATTTGAGTTGTTTTATGAATGCAAAAAATTATCTCACTGTTAGTGAACAGTTTTATTCTGTGATTGTATGCATTGTAGATATAAACTGATTGAGGATGGCTAAGATTCAGACAGAGGTTTATATTAAACATTGGTAAGACAGGATGACTGATGGTCATTGGATATACCAGAAAAAAATCCCTTGAGATGTAAAAGTATTTTCAGTTTAGTGACTTTATGTTTGCTGACTTGAGAACCAGGATTGTGTATTTTATATCCATAAATAACATGGTGTCCATAACCATTGGTTAACCCGTATATGTTTCCTGATTGATTGAAATTTTAAACCCCTTAGATAAGCACTTTTCATCGTTTTAGAGTTGTATACTGCATTAGCAAGTATCTTGGACTATTGACATTGGGAGATCTGTGGGTATTAACTGTAAGGCATACACATGTGAAGTCTATTTAGTAAGAGTCTTCAAATACTTACTCATATTTAAACTTTTCCTGACTATGCATTTTTTATCTTCAATATTGTACTTGCTTTGGCTTTGACAGGATATTCTCATGTTCTTCCTCTGTATTTGTTAACA
The DNA here is from genome assembly GCF_000001405.40 of Homo sapiens. Taxonomy (NCBI): domain Eukaryota; kingdom Metazoa; phylum Chordata; class Mammalia; order Primates; family Hominidae; genus Homo; species Homo sapiens. The sequence goes on along the minus strand of NC_000007.14, from coordinate 92,826,587 downwards.
TGTATCCTACAGACAGATGGACTACTCCATTTGCCCTAATGGATTTCTTGCCATCCACCTCTATTACTTTAATTTGAACAGATCTCTGAATGTGCACTTGGTACCTCTCCTGCACCACTCTCCACCTGTTGAAATTCTGCTTATCCTTCAGGGCCAACCTCAAATGTCACTTTCTTTGTTCTGTATTCCTTAATACCTCGATTTGGATAACATTTCTGCTTCCTTTGAGTCCTGGTAACTTTGGACCTCCTTTATGGCACTTAGCTTGTATCTGTCCCCTTATATTATTTCTGTTATGTAAGATGGAATGTTAACTCCCATGACAGCCCTCTTCTGACTCTCTACTCTTTCACACCCTATTTGTAAGCTCTTTAAGGCAGAGAGTGTCTTGTGATTACATTCGTTTATATCCTGTATCCATTGGATATAAGGTGAATACGTAACAAGTGAGTGAAATCATTGAAAAGGGGTCCAGTTATAAAGGAAGACACCATATGAATTATTTCTATCATGTGAAATAATGTTAATACTAAGGAGTGTCAAGGAGGGAGAACGGATCTGCATATTGGATTACACTTATTGGGATTCCTGGGAAATAATTTAGGAAATACTGAAAAAAGGAAGTTTCATTTTTGTCTTACTCCAATCTACATAGTTTATATGAAAGTTTAAGTATAATTCATTCTTATAGTTAACTGTGCAACTTTGGACTTAATTTATATACTGCAAAGAAGACATTAACATTAGGAAATGAGCATACATTCAGCAAAAGCTGAAAATGATTTGAACATTTCAAATGTAAGAAAGTAAGGTATTATAAATACATTTTGATCAATTGCTTGAGTTCTTTTATTTTTCCCATTAATTTTAATTTCTTTGGCTTTCAATAGTGGAAAACCTGTTAGCAGAATTAGGTAAAACCTTCCTAATAATTTCTATAAAAGATGATGATTCTGAATTTCATTTGAGCCTTGTCTTCTACTCCTCTTCATAATTTGTGTACAGAGAATTTGGATTCCATCTTGACAAACTGGTAGGTTTAATTAAGAAGTATACTTCCAGTTTGAATTCATTCCAGTTTCTTAAGACACATATGGTTGGGGTGTGTGTGTGTGTGTGTGTGTGTGCACGCATGTGCATGCAGAACAGTGGAGTACAAGATTCTTGAAAGAAGGGACTGTGTTGTCTTGTTCCTTGCAGTATCCCAAGCATTTAGCATGATGTCTGGTGTCTTGTAACCCTGAATAAGTATTTCTAAATGACAGAATATGCGCCATTTAGAAATTCAGAATTTAATTTTTTTTAGTTAGAAATGAGTAATCATGTCTGAAAATACAGGTGAGGTCTCTGGCATTCAGCAAGTATTTATGAGTATCTGTTATATTCAACGCTTTGTTAAATGGGATTAAGGCAGTAGTCACAAAAAGTGCATATTGAAATGTTTACCCAAAAAATGGTATGTGGTCTGCAATTTGTTTCACAATGGGGTAGAGATGCAATAAGAATGAACTATGAGTTGATCACTGTTGAAACTGTGGAGTTTTATTGTACTAGTCTCTCTGCATTTATATATGTTTGAAATTTTCCATAATAAGTTTTTCAAATGTTCCTGCTTGTGGGCTAGGAGTCAGAAAACTGATTCTTATCCTGATTCCTCTGCTTATTATTTAATAGTTGAGTAACCTAGGGTAAATTCCTCATGTCTCTTGGCTGCCATATCCCCACAATAAAAATAGAAATTACTACTGCTCTTTAGACCTTAGTGGTTTACTCTGATCAAATGAAATTATGTATACAAAGATCCAATATTATACAAATATAAGGTATTATTAACAAAATGAATTCCTGCTTTCAAGTAGTTTATAATTTCCTGGAAGAAACTGACATGTACACAGATATCTGTATTACTGATTGGTAGCACTTTCATTCCACCTCACGTTGTGAAAGTATGAATGGAGCTAGGTACTTCTGAAAAGATGTGTATTGAGTTTATAGTAATTAAAGTAAAAAATAATCTTTCATTTGGGTATTGGATATTGGTGTCGTGTTTACCCAGTGGTCTTTCCTGTTTATTAATGGGTTTATTGTGAGAGTATCTGTGGACCAAATGCTGCTGAGAACACATTGTCAAAACTGATGGGAGCTTGATGATTTCTTCTGTATTTGACTATTCAAATTAACCCAAAGAGGAGTTGGATTCTTTGCTTGTTCTTTCTTTCTTTTATTTTTTAATTTCAAAATCTCAAAGAGAATTATTCATTTTTGTCATACTTTGGAATTTCTGCTTGTTTATTTTCTGAGGCTGTTCCTATGGCGTGACTGACTTATGACATTTAAAATTTTGTTCTGTGTCCTCTGTTTAAATCGTTAAGAGTTCTATTCACAGCAATGAAGCAGTTCTTTTTTAGGGGCACTAATCTTTAGTGAATTTGCTTTTTTTTTTTCCTTTGCTTCCTTTTATTGCAAAGTAATCTCATAATTTCTGTGGTAGGTGTTCCTAATGATTAAAAAAAAACATTCATTTATCCTAAAATACTTTTATTTTTAGAAGGTTCAAAGTATAATGTTAGGAACATTAACTCTCACACCTTTCCAGCAGCAGAGCAAGAAAAACAAAAGAAGGCCAGGCACAGTGGCTCACACCTGTAATTCTAGCACTTTGGAAGGCTAGGATGGGAAGATTGCTTGAGCCTAGAAGTTAGAGACCAGACTGGGCAACATAGGGAGACCCTGTCTCTACAAATAATAAAAACTTTTTCTGAAAAAAGACATCTTTGCATTTCAAGGGTAGACTTTTAAACTTTAGTTTAAAAGTTTAGTTTACTCAGACCAGTACATTTTAAAACTTTTTAGAAGAACCCAAGAGACTGTCTGAGTCGTTTCAAGTTGGGAGTTTTAGCTGATATAGTATACATTTCAACCATGTAGAATCACTTTAAAAAGTTATTAAATAATCTTGGGTTAAAATGGGATATTTTCTTGTTGAACCTTGAGAAACCAAGAGACAGGTTTGGAGATTGGGGCTAGAAGGGACTCCCAGTGCTGATCATGAATGAAATACATTCAAATTATGTAAGTTCCCTTGACCTGGGAGAACATAGCTTCTTTGAAATGACTTTTTTTTTTTTTTTTTTTTTTTTTTTTACATATTAAGACTCAAAAGAAGAGTGGTAACATTCTGCTAATTCTTACAAATTATTTTAAGCCCATGAAACTTAATCAGTGGCTATTTAACTTCTAGCTGATTAGATGAGAACTGATGCCACTTGGTTCTCAGCTAAAGTTTTGTGAAGGGAAGAAGTCTGTTTCACAGACATTACTACTCAAGTATTGACTGACTCAAAGTGATGGAACTGATTTCAAGGAGAGCTGTATGAATGTGACTGACTCGGTGGTACCAATCCAATCCTAGAAAAACTAGACTTTTGAGATGAGTCAAGAGAAACATCTTTGTTTAGGAAAGATGGTATAGGTTTGGTTTTTTTTTTTTTCACTTTAGTTGATAAAAGTAAGAGGTGAATCCATCATTAGGCAAATAGAAAATGGTCTGGAGTTGTATTTATGTATCTGAAAGGACAACATGCTCATTAAAAGAAGGGAAGACGGTGGTAGAAGATAAGCTAAGTTAAGGTAGCAATGAGAGAGAAAATAGAAAAAACAGTAAGAGAACTTGGGATAGTGAGTAGATCTGAAGTTTCTTGATAAACTTCAAACTCTGAAACCTGGTGATCTGAAAGTAGATGAAAATTCTGCCATATTTAGAAAACCCTCAAACCAGTGCTTATGGAACGAGTAAACTCAGATTATCATTCTTACAATTCTGCAAAAATAAAATGGCATTGCTGTCTGCTTTTTCTTGGGCACCTTATTTTAATCATTTTTGCATTGCCCCGTGTGCCTAGCACTCAATTACCTGTTGAATAGTTGTATGAATTAATGTTGAATGTCAGCTTCCCATTAGAATATAGGCTCCCTGAGGGCAAAAATTTTTGTTTTGCTCACGCATTATCTCCAGCATCCAGAACAGTTCCTAGTAAATATCAATTGAGTAAATGACTGAGTGAATAAATAGTTAAGCCATGACTCAAGATTACTGTTTTCACAGCAACTTTATTGACAGTAAAAATGTAAATTAACACTACAATTTATTAGATATTTTATTTTTCTATTCACTCAGTATTGCATTTAAAACTCTTCAAAATTATGTAGTCTCTAATAGGTAGTAAATTGGATTCTGACCTGGGAATTAGGAGTTATTTAATAATGTAATGATTGGCAAGTAGATTGGACAATGAGATATACCCTTTCTAAGCTAATTCATCCACTACTGTTTTCATTAAATTACGAACATAATTTTATGCCAATAATATTGATATTTTAGTGATATTTTAAATCATCATATCAGTTTTTGCAGATTGAATTTACATGTTTTGATGGAAGTTTGTGAACATGGTTTAAGATTCTCTGGGCTGTGACTGCTCATTTTTGTTTTACTGTAAAATTAGTTATATTAAAATATGACTTCTAAAGAGTCATATTTTATATTTCCCTAAAGAGCCTTATATTAATGGCCATAGCTGTCCTTACAAGTAGGGATGTCCATGTAATATGTATGTCATATTAAAATATTGACATGCATTCCCCTAAAGAGCCTTGTATAAATGGCTATCACTGCCTTTATAAGCAGTGAAGCCCAAGTGGCCAGTCCCATTATGAACCTTGTCCCATTACTTCTGTTTGGGGCTACCATTCCAAGCACCTTCCTCCTCTGCTTAGAACAGCTGATTGTGATCACGTAATGGGTTGTGACATCACTGATAATACTAATATATTATTACATAGCAATAAACTAATTATATATATAACATAATTTATACAATATATATAGTAATGAAAGAATTAAGGAAAAGAAAGGGAAAGAAGGAATGAAGAGAGGGAGTGAGTAATAGAATAGAAAAGAAAAAAAATTGTGGTGTTCCCAGTCAGTTGTCAGATATGTTTCAAGGAAGTTGTTAATAAAGTAGAGTACCAAAGTTTGCAGGTGAGGAGAGTTATTTGCAGTTTTTTGTTTAAAATAATTACATTTTTCTATTAAAGCAATTTTTCTGGTTAATATTGCTTGTAGTAAATTACTCCAACATGTAGGGGCTTAAAACAACCATTATCTTATATTCATGAATTTAGCAGGTGGGGAATTCAGACAGAGCACAGTGAGAATGGCATATCTCTGTTCCAAGATGTCTGGGACATTAGCTGGAAATTACTCAAAAACTGGTAGTTTGATTATTCTAGGCGTCTTCACTTTCAAGCCTGGTGGTTCATGCAAGTTGGTTGGCGAAGGCTGGGATCTGAACTCAGGTTTTTGAGCAGAGCACCTACACTGACCTACACCAGGTGGCCTGGGCTTCCCTTTCAGCATCAAAGCTTCAGAATAGTTGAATGTACATGTTGGCTCATGGCTTTAAAAGTTGGTGTCCCTGAGAACAAGCAGTGTTAATTATGCCACGTTTTGTTGTTTATATTTGAGTTCAAAGCCCCAGAGATTCAAGAGGTAGAGACATACACCACCTCTTAATGGAAGGAATGTTAAAGAATTTCCACCCCCCCACCCCCAGCTTTTTTGTAATCATGACATTAATACTAATACTAAATAGTATGAAAGGGCTTATGATAAAAAGGCAAAGCTCCTGCCCCAGTTCTCAGATACAGCTATTCCTATTCCCAGTACTCAGATACAGCTTCTTTTCACTGTCTGTTTTTGGTGCTTCTGTTTATGGTCTCCATAAATTTAGATAATATGCTGTTGCTCTAGTTCTTGATATTTAAACTTCAGTAATATCTATTGACTTTCTACTCTGAAAAATGAGGACTTACCTTGTTAATATTACTGTGTATTTCCTTCGCTTTCTGTGAGATAGGGATATTTTTATTTCATATAATAATTTTAAATAATATCCCTAAACTTCAATTTTTCATACTTTCACTTTGGGCAGTATCTCTTGATTCTCCATTTAGTAAGAGGAGAATATTTTATCCCCGTAACCTTTCTTCCACTTATGTTCTCCCTTTAACATCACAATTTCTATCAGCTACTTTGCTAAAATTGTTTATTTGCATTCTGTTCCGTACTGCAACAGAGGCTTCCCTGCTTTTCTAAAGGTTGACCCTTGCAAGTTGAACACTGGTAAACAGTGCTTACATTCTTCTGACTATATAGAGAGAGTTCAGTGCTAGGCCAAATATTCAGCCCTTATGTTTCCTTCTCTCCAGGTTCAACATTATAACCCTATGAAGCTGATGGAGTCCTTCTTTTGTAAAAACAGACATCTGGATTCTCTTTCCTTATTCTGCATCACTTGTTTAAAATATGCCCTATTTTCGTGTACTTTTTATTCAGGCCATGACTTTCTTGTATCATTTTGTTTTTCCTGGAGTTTCTAATTGCCTTTTTATTTTTTCTTGCCATGTTTGCCTTTATCACAATCTGTGTTCTCCAGAAATACTATGTGTCTACATATGGTGGGTTTCCCGCCACCATTTAATTTGCTGGGCATTCTGTGGAATCTTTCTAAGTGCAGATTTGCTTCGTTTTATTTTTTTTAATGGCTGCTTCTTCATCATTTGTTCTATTCTCTTTACAAGGTTCTTCTGTTAGTCAGATATTTGATCTTGCAGTTGGGATCTCTGTGTCTCTTCTTTTAATCTTTTTTCTAATTCATCTCTTTTCTCTGGTTTTTGCTTTGTATTCTAAAGAAACTTCTATATTATTTTCCAAATGTCTACTGAATTTACTCTCAGTAATTAATATTTTTAACTTCAAAACATCATTTTTTGTTCTCCACTTGTTGGTTTTTAAAGCATCCTCCTCTGGTTTTCTGTAATATTTCTTTGAATTACTGTGAATTTTTTTAAAGTCCTCCACATTATCTCTGTTTCTGTCAGTGTTTAGTTTTTTTGGTTAACTTTTTTGTTTTTCCTGTGGCTGAATTTTTTAAATGCCTGGTGATCTTTGAATATCCTTTGGCTTTTTTAAAGTCAAAACGAGCTAAAGGTATAATTTTTATACAGTAAAATACACCCATTTTAAGTGTGTGCTTTTTATGAGTTTCGACAAATTTATTCACCTACTAACCACCACCACAATCAATATCTAAAATACTCGCATTATCCCACAGGGCCCTTTGCAGTGAATCTCCTCCCTCTACCAGGACCCCTGCCAACCTAATCTTCTTTCTGTCATTATAGATTTGTCCTTTCTAGAGTTTCATATACACAGTATCAAAGAGTATTATGTTCTATTATATCTGGCTTTCATTGATAGTGTTTTTGAGATTCATTTATGTTGTTGACTGTTTGAGTAGTTCATTTTCCATTATATGGATTTACCACAATTTGTTTATTCATTCACCTGCTGATGATCATTTCTGTTGTTTCCAGTTTAGGGCTGTTATAAATAAGGCTGTTGTGAATATTTGTGTACAGGTCTTTGTATTGATATGACATATGCTTCATTTGTATGGTAAATACCTACAGGTAGATTGCTGACTGGTATGGCAATTGTGTATTTAATTTTTAAGAAATTGTCAAACTTCTCCAAACTGGTTGTTCCATTTCCAGTGCTAGTGTATAAAGGTTCCATTTGATTTGCACCCTCCTGAACACTTGGGACTGTCAATCTTTTTATTTTTAGTCATTCTATAGTGAGTGTGAACTAATAACACATTGTGATTTTAATTTGCATTTACTTGATGACTAATGTTGTTGAATATCTTTTCATTTGGCTATTGACCATTCTGATACCTTCTGTTGGGAAGTTTCTGTTCAAATTGACCGTTTTTTAAAATTGAGTTATCTTATTGTATTGTAAGAGTTCTTGAGCAGTCTTTTGTCAGCTACATGGATTACAAATATTTTCTTCAGGTCTTTGGCTTACCTTTTCATTTCCTTAATGCTTTATGTCAAACAGAATATTTTAATTTAACCTAAGTCCAATTCATCTTTTTTTTTCTTTGATAGCTTATGCTTTTTTGTATCCTATCTAATAAATATTTGTTTACCTCCAGGGCATATAGGATTTTTCCTATGTTTTCTTCTAGAATTTTATAGTTTTTGCTTTTATTTTAGATTTGTGATGCATTCAAGTCAAGTCTTTGTGTTTGGCTTGAGCTAAGAGTTCAGGTTCATTTTTCCTGTATGGATATCCAGCTATTTCCGCACCATTTATTGAAAATACTTTGCTTTCTTCATTTTGAATTACCTTGGCAGCTTTGCTAAACATTAGTTGAGCATATACATTTGGGCCTGTTTTTAGACTCTTTGTTCTTTTGCATTGATCTATATATCTATCCTTTTGCCAATGTCATACTTTGATTACTATAATGTATAGGTCTTAATCAGGTAGTATACATTTTCCAGCTTTGTTCTTGTTTTTCAAAATTGTTGTTGCTCTTCTTTTGTATTTTCATATAAATTTTAGAGTCAGCTTGTTAGTTAACACAAAAATTCTCCTATTGGGATAGCATTTAATCTCTATTAATTAGGGCGAAGGCATAGATATTGACACTGACTTCTGATCACGAACATGGTGTATCTCTTCATTTATTTAGGTCTTTAATTTCTCTCATCAGAGTTTTGTAGCTTTTAGTGTAATGCCCTTGCTTGCATTTTATTAAATTTATCTCTTTGCATTTAATGTTTTTGGATGTTATTGTAAAAGGCATTGTTTTTTCTTTTTAAGTGTTTGTCATTGAGAGCTATAGTCTTTTTTGTATAGTGACCTTGTGTCTTGTGATCTGAAAAACTCCCTTATTAGTCTGGTAGCTTCTTTGTAAATTTTAGTTTTTTTACATACACAGACACATCATCTGAGAATAGACAGTTGTACTTTCCCCCCTATATATATATATGTCTTTTATTTCTTTTCCTTTCTTTTTTTGCCCTGGCTAGAACCTCTAGAAAAATGTCAAATAAAAGTGGTGAGAGCAGATGTTTTTGGCTTGTTCCCAATAATAAGGAGAAAACTATTCAGACTTTTGCCCTAAAGTATGATGTTAGCTGTAAGTTTTCCTAGGTGTCCTTTATCAGATTGATGAAGTTCCCTTATATTCCTAGTTTGCTTAGAGAGTTTTTCATGATTGGGTACTGAATTTTGTCAGTGTTTTTTCTGAAGAATTGAATTGATTATTTTTTTAAAAACTCTGTTATTGTGCTGTGAATTATACTGATTGAATTTTGAAAGTTAAACCAAGCTCACATTCCTGGGATAAACCCTACTTGGTCATGATGTAGCCTTTTTATATATTGCTAAAATTTTGTTAAGAATATTCATGAATGATATTGGCCTATAATTTTTTTTATAATAACTCTGATTTTTGTTCTGAGGTAATGCTGGCTTCATAAAACGAGTTGAGAAGTGTTTCTTCCTCTTCTATTTTCTGAAAGATTTTGTGTAGGATTGGCATTCTTTCTTTCTTAAACATTTAACAGAATTTACTAATGAAGTCATCTGGGCCTAGCATTTATTTTTGAGTAGGTTATTAACTACAAATTATATTTTCTTAATAGATATGAGACCTTATAGGTTAGATCACCTTTTATAATTTTGTATTTTTCAAGGGATTTGTCTATCCTAGGGTTTTTTTGGGGGGGTGGTAGTTTATTGGTATAGATTCTTTAACTCCTTATCTTTTTTAATGTCTGTAGAATATGTAGTGATGTCCACTCTTTTATTCCTGATATTGGTAATTTGCATTTTCCTCTTTTTATCTTGACATACAGATAGAGTTTTGTCAGTTTTATTGATGATAATCCAGTTTTTTGTTTCATTAATTTTCACTTCTGTTTGTCTGTGGTCTCTTGATACTTATTTTGTTTTTATCTTCTTTTCCTACTTACATTGGGTTTAATTTGTTCTTAGTTTTAGCTTCTTAAAATAGAAGCTTGGATCTTCAAATATATGCATCTTCCCACAAATTTGAATATGTTGTGGCTTAATTTTCATTCAATTTGGGTTATTTTAAGCCATTTTTAGTTATATATTCTTTAATCCATGGATTCTTAAATTTCCAAACATGTAAGGGATTTTTCTAATTTCTTTCTGTCTAATTCTGTTGTGATCAGAGAACAATTCTGTATGATTCTAATACTTTTTAAAGATAGTAACACTTGCTTTGGTCCAACATATAGCTTATCTTGGTACTTGTTCCATTTGATTTTTTATTTATATATTTCCAATTTTCTCCTCACTGTGTCCATGTTTTCCTTTAAGGCCTTGGGCATTTTTGTAGTGTTTATAATAGTTTATTTAATTTCTTTGTCTGCTATTCCATAAGTTCTGTCATTTCTGAGTCTATTTCTATTGACTGATTTTTCTCCTGCTTATGGGTCATGTTCTGTATGGCTGCATGTCTAATAATGTGTTATTGGATGCCAAACATTGTGACTATGACATTGTCAACTGCTGGATTTTGTTCTACTCCTTTAAAGAGAATTGGATTTTGTTCTGGCAGGCAGTAAAGTTATGTGTGGTTCAGTTTTATACTTCCAAGGCTTATTTTTAGTTTGTCTCTTTTGTTGTTGGGGAGAGGATCTAGTGTATGTAGGCTTTGCTTCCAGGCTAGTTTAGCCCTACTAAGACATTACTCTTTTGTAGTCTCTCTTCTTTGGCTGGTAAGGAGTTTGAAACATTTTCTGCCCTCTGTGAGCTCTGGAATCATTCATCTTACAACTCCTTGGTGATCTTTTCTCAGAAGCTGACCTTTCTTGACTTCATGCAGTTCCACATGTGTAGCTTAATATTCAGCCAGGGACTCAATAGACCCCATGTAGATTTCTGGAGCTCTTCTTCAGTATTGTGTCTTCCAAATTTTAGCCACTTTGGCCTCCTTGTCTTCTCAACTCTGATCTCTGCCTACCCAGCTGGGCAAGACTACAGAATTTACAGAACTCTGAGGTTCCTCCTTCCTGTACCTGTGGTCTGGAAATTGCCTCCAAACAGAAAGCTAGGGCAATCTAGGGCTCACCTCATTTGCTTCCCCTCTCTCAGGGATCACAGTCCTCTACTACCTATAGTCCAATATCTGAAAGCAGTTGTTTCATATGTTTATCTAGTTTCTAGTTGTTTCTGGCAGGTAAGAAGTCTGGACCTTCTTGCTCCCTTACTGCCTTGTATGTCCATTAGTTTTTATAAAGACTGGTTAGCTAGTAAGACTATTAAATAGGATCTTTTCCTCCCTGCTGGCTCTCATTTCTGAGTAAAATTTTTGGGAGACTTGTTTGGCATAGGAATCTTGGGATGGGAGTATGCTTCACAGGCTTTACTTTTGGGTGGCTGGAAAAATGGCTGTCAGGATGTGGAAAAACTCTCAAATGTCACAATAAGAAATGGTTTACTCCAAGATCTTAGGTACAGGGATGGCAATAGGAATGCTAACTGGTGCAGTTACCCTATATACAGACATTTAGTTGACTCCCCTGAATGTGGGAAGAAAATGGCTGCCCTTCTTCCTCCCTTTTTCCATTGCACCTGTTGACTCGTAGTCCAGCTTCTGCTTCCTCCACGGTGCCCTCATGGCTTGTTCTAGGGCAGTGGCCTCCCTTCTAGTAAAAATATTTGAGCATGTCACTGATATTCACTGAATTATAAAAATTATGTACATATACAGATATATTATTATATATTTAATAAAAATAATGATTTTGAAATGAAGGGGTACAAAATACCTAAAAATAGAAGATATTTTCTTAATACATCTCCTGATTATATGTTCTTCACTTTGGAGACTACTATCTCTTTGGTGACTTCTTCCATCACCTTATTTCTGTTTATTTTCAGTCACCCAGCAAATTTACTAAATTCTCTCCTTTTTGTGTATGTGGGACGCCCTTTTGTAATTATGGGTTTATTTCTTTTACTGAGAAAGAATGGAGGCAAATATTTGTGATAGGTCCACCATTTTGAACTGGAAGTCTGATTACACTTCTTAAAATAAATTTTTGAATAATCAAAATGTCTTTTTTTTTTTTTTTTTTTTGCAATTCAGTTTGCTTTCCTGGTTGGGAGCAGAAGGGCTGCAGCCCAAGAATTGCTTATTACCTGCGGGAAGTTTTTGTTATGCAGCAGTTCTTAAATTTGGGTAATGTCAAAGGGCATGTGAACCAAGGAAGTTGTCTGCTAATTTCACCAGAAGCAAAAAAGTTTAAGAACAGCTGCTCTGGAGAAATATTGGGATCACATGAGATATACTTTTCCCCTATTTATTCCACATTCCTTAATTTAGAGGACAGTATAACCATCTGGAGAGGATCCATAATTGAAGAAAGAACATTGTTTCATTCTTCTGTTGCTGATTGCACCTGGCTATATAAATTCATTGTCATCTTCTAGGTTTTCATACTGTTGATATACCATCCCTGAAACCAACAGCTGATATAAATTGTAACATAGAAAAGCTAATTTGACATCATATTGGGAATGTTAGCCAATTGATTTTTCTTAAGGGAAACAAACTGAAAAAATAAGCCCACTATGAATTAATTCTTTGCAGGAAATTCCCATGTCTGATTATTTAAAAGAATAAATTCTGCATGCAAATGAATCATTACAAGCTTAATTGAAGCTTGCGGGATACTCAAGTTTACTCACTGTGGTGTGTTTTTGATGGAGACAGGAAGTGAAAAAGCAAGGTCTATGAGACTTTTTTTTCCTATGAAGTCTCAGCCAGTCTTTTAATGTTTCTCATTGAGAAACTTTGGTTGGGAGGGTAAATGACTCAAGGTATCTATTGCTGCTTAGCCGTTTTTAAGGGGGCATTTCCCCCCATGTTCCTCCCCTCCCCAAAATAGCTAATTATGTACTGGAAGTTTCAATACATTGTTCACAGTTTGTGAAGTCAGCATATTTCTGGAAGCTCACTGTGAATGTAATTCTTAACTGTACAAATGCTTTTGTTTCTCCATCTCTGCAGCTAGCTCTGTACTGTAAGGACACAATTCTATCGCTATTTTTTCCCTCACATTTGATGTGGTAGTTTGCATACAGCTGCAGAGTAGACAGTTACCTTTGAAAGGAACATTTGGCTGCTCTAATTTGATTAAAGAAAACCACCTCAATCATTTCTAGACTGAGAACGTTTTCATTTTAACTTGGCAGTAGGAGTTGGGAATGTACTCATTGCACTTAGATATGTGGGGGACCAGTTAGGGAACAAAACCAACTGCTTGAATGAAGAAAGCTTTGGTGCATTTTTTTTTTAAAAGCAAGCAGTATGATTCCCTTTCTGTTTCCCTCTCAAATTCTCTACAACCTTGATTTTCACCTCCATCTTCTTTTCACGGTTATTTACTTTGTAATTCCAGTAAACGAATTCTGGCAGGAATAGACTGCTACCCTAAAGTGATTTGTGATTTAAAGGACTTCAGGGTCCTTAAAAATTATCCCATTTTACATAGAAATAAAATCCCAAATCATGAATTACTATGAATTGCATATATTTTCTTGGCCACTGTTGAGAAAGGCAAAAAAAGTTGTTAGATCATGGGTGTACAGACCAAGGCTGGGAATTTAGTTGTAACTTACTTAGAAGAAAATTGCTCCTTGTCAGAAGGCTGCAGTCAACTCACATATATGCCCTTTGTTTCTGACATAGAAGAGGGTCTGATCACCAAATTAGTATGACAATTAAAAATAAATTCTGGTGATTGTGAATTGGCATCAACTTTATATATGTTTTTAGAAATGATTGAGCAGTGGTTAATGTCTGTACGGTAAACCATGAACAAACTTTTGAACCACAGCTCAGTAATTCAATATATGATATCCTTGTGAAAGGTACTGTGCTGTCATCTTAAAAAGTTTGAGTGTGGGCCAGGCACAGTGGCTCATGTGTGTAATCCCAGCACCTTGGGAGGCTGAGGTGGGAGGATTGCTTGAGGCCAGGAATTTGAGACCAGCCTGGGCAACGTAGTGAGACCTCATTTCTACAAAAAATATTTCCTAAAATTTAGCCAGGTATAGTGGCACTCACCTCTGGTCCCGGCTACTCTGGAGGCTGAGGTGGGAAGATCAAGGCTTGAGCCTAGGAGTTTGAGGCTGCAGTGAGCCATGATCACACCACTTGACCCCAACCTGGGAGACAGAGCAAGACCCTGTCTCAAAAAAAAAAAAAATTGAATGAGAAAATTTAAATTAAAAGTCTGAAGCTACACATGGGCCTCAGAAATAACAAACACTATTACTTATTGATTATTGGATATTATTGATTACCTAAGAGAGGAGGTCAAATGTGGGTTCACATTCCAGTTCTGCCACATGACTATGTGTCTTAACCCCATTATGCTTCCTACCTCTAAGCTTCAATGTCTTCATTTGTAAAATTAGGACACATATTAAGTGATGTCTCTGAAGTTAGGTACCTTTTAAGTGTTTTGTTTTGTTTTGTTTTGTTTTTTTGAGTTGGAGTCTCACTCTGTTGCTCAGGCCAGAGTGCAATGGCACCATCTTGGCTGATTGCAATCTCCACCTCCCAAGTTCAAGCGATTCTCCTGCCTCAGCCTCCTGAGTAGCTGGGATTACAGGCACATAGCTAATTTTTGTATTTTTAGTAGAGACAGGGTTTCACAGTGTTGGTCAGGCTGATCTCGAACTCCTGACCTCATGATCCTCCAGCCTTAGCCTCCCAAAGTGCTGGGATTACAGACATGAGCTGCTGCGCCTCGCCCTTTTAAGTGTTTGATACTTGTCAAGTACTTAGTTGCCTTACTTATTCCTCTCCTTCAGAATATTTTGTAGGGGGGTGGTTTTGTTAATAGGATTGGTGGCAGAACTTGACAAAATCTTCAAATTCTAATATTATGTGCATCTCTCATTCTCTTGGACAAAATGATTAAGTCCATTAGGAATCTCTCAAGTCTGCCTACTTTTTCTCTGGTTAAGTGTGACATTATATCAGGTAGTAGTTGCAAGGGCAAGGCATAGGTACTACGGACATAGGAGCTGTTCAACAAATGGTTGCTATTAGATGGAGTTACACTGTCATCTTGAATGCCACCTTCTGCCATCTTCAAGTGCTATAATTATTTCCACATTTAATCTCAAGACTGTTCACTCGAAGCCACCCCAGTTTGTTCTTCCTTCTGAGAGTCAAAGGCCAAGAAAGAATCTTTTCATTTTGTTTTTACACACGGTAAGGAGGGCGTAAATATTTTCAGCCACGTGTCTCAGTGTACAAGGATGGTGAAGGGACTAAAACGATGTTTGCCTAAAGTACCCTGCTACATTGGGGTTTGAGCACTCAGGATTTCTAGTAGATACAACATTATAACTGTAGTTGAATCCCAGGCTCGTTCACAATGCTTATTTATATAGCTGAAGAATGTCCAATGAGTAAAATACTGCAGAAAGCAATGCTGGAGACCTGTGGAAATTCTATGAGAAAATGCTGGGTACTGATTATTTATGTTACTTCAAATTTTCTTTCTCTCAATAAAGTATTATTTTGATATTTCTCCTATATAATTGCCTTTTTTTTTCTTTGGCGCTGGGGGGGTTCTCATTCTGTCACCGGGCGCGATCTCGGCTCACTGCAACCTCCGCCTCCTGGGTTCAAGCAATTCTCCTGCCTCACCCTCCTGAGTAGCTGGGACTACAGGCACGCACCACCATGCCCAGCTAATTGTTGTATTTTTAGATGGGGTTTCGCCATGTTGGCTAGGATGGTCTCAATCTCTTGACCTCGTGATCCGCCCACCTCAGCCTCCCAAAGTGCTGGGATTACAGGCGTGAGCCACTGCACCCGGCCTATAATTGCTTTTTTTGAAGTATATTTATATAGCCCTTTACTATTGAATTCTGCCCATCTACTTACTATTACTGTTTATCTTCTTATGTCACTTCCAACCTGGGTGACAACTTAAACATTCAAATCCAGTAAAATTATTGTATGTTTCTAATAAAATGCATAGAAGCTAGCCTGAGACTGAAGTTTTGTTTTTTAAAAAATATGTAATGAATTCATCACTTCTTTTCGTCATGACAGTTGTCTACTTCTTAAGTGCTGTTAATATAATTACGTTCACAGCAGCAGTGAGGGAGACTGGGGGAGGATTGTTATTCCCGTCTTGCAGATAAAGAAACAGACAACGTAAATGACTTGCTCAAGGTCAACTGTCTGCTGGCAGAGTCAGGACTAGACCACAAGCCTTTTGACTCCAGGGTGTTATTTCCCCTATTATATAGTTTTTCTACCTAATACTACAAGTGTTTCAGTCATGCAAAGGTCATTTGGATTTGACTGTTTTAGTAAGACCTGCTTGGCAAATTAAATGCACATAAACTGCATGCTGACAAAGGCATGCTGTTTATTTGAAGAGGAAGCTATCTTGACTTACTGGAAACTAGAGGTATAATGGCTTAATTCTGACAGATAGTAAATGATATACATATACACACACATACACACGCATATATATTTTCAAACAATCTATTTTCATAGCCATATCTAGAGACCAGCATATAGAATTGACAGTGTTAAGTAGTGTTATTTGTTAGGGTTCATGCTGCTTCTCAACTTGGTGGCAGTTAGCTTTCCATGACCTACCCTGCGTTACTGAGAAAAGGATGGAAGAGTAGCAGGTCAAAGGAAGTACGCATACCTTTGAATCTGGCACCAGAAGTGCTGACGAGGATGTTGCATATGCTCACGATGACTCAGCACTTCCTGGTTTCTCTTTTCAGCCACACTCTGGCTAATGATATCGAATGACCTTGGTTCAAACTGAGA